>NC_000023.11:48485837-48785837 GCF_000001405.40 Homo sapiens | reverse complement strand
TGAGGTGGGAGCCAGGGATGATTCCTCGAGGAGTGGTATAGGGTAGGAAAGGAAAGGGGTGGAGTGGGAGAGACAGAGGCAGAGAGACAAACAAAAACAGAGATAGGCGGAGAGAGATGGAAATGGGGAGAAAGAGAGTGACAGAGATGAATAGAGAAGGAGACAGACGTGGAAAGAGGCAGAGAGAGGGCACAAAAGAAAAGGAGAGACAAAGAGGGCGAGACACCCGGGGAGAACCAGAGACCATTAAAGACATATAGAGAGAGGCAAAGAGAGAATGAGAGACAGAGATGGACAGAAGTGACAGATAAAACCTGAAAGGGAAAGAGGCCAAAGACAGAAGTGGAGAACTGAGAAGGGAGACAGAGACAGAGGGATATTCAGAGACAGACTCAGAAGAAGGTCCAGGCAGACTGGATCACACCCTGGGCATGTGGTGCCCATGCAGGTAGGATGGGAGGATGTGGATTGATGTAGCCTGTGGCTCTGCCCTCAGCCCTCAGCAGGGGACAACCAGAATGTGGCTAGGCCTCCGCACCCCAGTCCCCACACTCTTGCCCTGCCCCACCTCCTCCAAATATTAATGACAACAACCACAGTGTCTCATAGACCTCACATAGACTTGTACCTAACCTGAGCACTTTTTCTATATGAAAGCATCTGACACACATGCACACGTGGGACAAGGAGCTGTCCTGCCCACCTAGTCTACAGATGGGGAGACTGAGACCTACAAAGGGCAGAGGCCAAGGGTGGAGCCCCAGGTCAGTGGGGTCAGCTTGCCCACTGGCCCACCCTGGAGGGATCTTACCATTCTTATCTCACTCCTCTGAGCCTCAGTGTCCTCATATGCAATGGGAGATTTGAGGAGGAAAGAGAGCAAGCCCATGAATTCCTATTTATTGAGCTCCTGCTGGTGTGCCACGCCCCATGCTGAACCCTCATCAGTAATAAGGAGAACGAATACAAAGACACCTCTGACTTAAGTGGCAGTGGTTTCAGGAGATGGTCTCTAGAGCCAGCTCATCCTCGTTCATAGACTGCCCTAACCACTAATGGATCAGGTGACCTTGGGAGAGTTACCATCCCCTCTGGAATTTAGCTCCTCATCTGTAAAAATGGGGTAATAATATACCCCAATAAGCCACTCCATGCAGTGACTGGGGAGACTAAATGAGTTTTAACCCATGTTACATGATCTTAACTTACTTGAATCTGAAATCTCAATAAATATTAAGTACCCCTATTTATTTATTGAGTACCTACTGCATACAAGGGAGAGTACATAGCCCTTTCTAACCCTACTACTACTTATAGTACTAATGCTAATAATATGCTGACACTAAGAGTAATACCAATATTGTAATATTGATACTGACACTAAAACTAATTTTATTTCTTTAAATTTATGATTGACACATAATAGTTGTACATATATATGGGGTAAAACATGATGTTTTGTTACATGTATACATTGTGTAGTGATCAAATCAAGGTAATTAGCATATTCATCACCTTAAACATTTATCTTTTCTTTGTGATGAGAACATTCGAGAACGCCTCTTTCAGCTATTTTGAAATATACATTTATTGTTGACTCTAGTCATTGTACTATGCATTAGAACACCAGAACTTATGCCTCCTATCTAACTGTAGCTTTGTACCCATTGACAGCCTCTCCCCATCCCTCCCTGCCTCCTACCCTCCCATCTGCTGGTAACCACTATTCTACTCTCTACTTCTATGAGGACATACTAATTTTCATAGTAATACTCATCTAATGCTAATACTAATTTTAATCTAACACTAATACTATTATTAATACTAACACTAATTCTAAAACTATTCTAATTCTAACAACAATAGTGATAATGATACGTACTAAATATTTTTTGGGGACAGTGTCTCACTATGTCACTCAGGCTGGAGTGCAGTGACAATCTTGGCTCACTGCAGCCTCCACCTCCTGGGCTCAAGTGATCCTCCCACCTCAACCTCCTGAGGAGCTGGGACTTCAGGTGCATGCCACCACACCCAGCAAAAAATTTTTTTTCAATAGAGATGAAGTCTCGCTATGTTGCCGAGGCTTGTTTAATTCTGATATTAATAATAGCATTAATAGACTAATAATAACAGCAGCGGCATTATTTGCTGAGTGACCCCAGGCACTGTGCTAAGCGCTCTCCACCCATAATTCTATCGCATTCTCACCAGCTCCTTGTGGTGCAAGTGTGTATAATTGCCCTCACCTCCAGACTGGTTCTACATAGGTGTGTGGAAATGAAGATGTTCCTCCAGGGCCCTGGGTTCTTGTCTCAACTCTGATTTGCTGTGTGATTTGCTGTGTGATTCCTGGGCCAGACGCCCTCTGAGCCTCAGTTTCTTCATCTGGAAAACGGGTAAAGTCCTAGCCCCCCACGTGGGTAGGAACCACTCAGCACAGGGCCTGCTGGCACACCATAAATGGTGTGCTCTGTAAATGGGAATTATCATCATCATTATTATTATTAGAAGCAGCGGTCGCAACATAGGGAAATCTGTCCTCACAGGGAATGGCAGGCTCGAGGCATGTCTAAGAGCTAAGACAAGGGTTTGGCCGCTGGACTCACCCCATTTCTTCATTTCTGGAGAGCACAGAGCGCTCAGGAAGAGAAGCCAAGGGTGAGGAGTAGGGCGCCCCAGAGCCCTGCCTCCAGCAAGAGCTGGAAACCCCGAGGCTGTGAGGCCAGGCCTCACCCCATTCCCTCCCCCATCCCCGTGGAGGGGGCGCAGGCTCAGAAGTCTGCGGCGACAGTTCAGCCAGCAAGGAGGCAGCTGGGAGTGGGCAGATAAGGGAATCAGTGGGGCCAGATCAGGCTTTGGGGGAGACGAGGGCGGGGGTGGGGTGTCCTGGCCGCGCGTCTTCTCCGTCAGGCCTAAGTTTGAGACTCTTCTTCAATGTCCTCTCTTCTCGGAAGCCTTCCCTGACTGGCTCACTCCCTCCTGGCATCTTCTGGGGTTCTAGAGCCCCTGCTTGGTCCAGGCCCCATGGCATTTGTACTGTTTGTGCCTCTTCTGTACTGTGGAGCCCATCAGGGTGGGGACAGAGCCTGACAGACTGTGGTGTCAAAAGCACCAAGGCAAATGTCAACCAAAGCCTGGTTAAGGAGTCAAGCGTTTGCCCTCAGAAACAAACTGTTGGTTGACTGTTTTAAAAAATGGAAAGTATAAAGGGTGCTGTAACAAGCATCTACTTTTGTCAAACATTAATATTTTGCCTTATTGACTTCAGATTGTTTTTAAAGGATATGCGATATTACAGATGCTCTTGTACTGATTCCATTTCCCTCTCTCCTTCTACTGCCTTGAGCTTGGTGTTTATCTTCCTCATGAGTATTTTTACTCCATCACTCCATATGTTGGTACCCATAAACACCATATGATACCTGGGGTTTTTTTGGCCTGTTTTTGCACTTCATGGAAATGGAAGCACATCATACAGTATGTGCTGCTTTTGCTCAGCATAATGTCTGTGACATTCTTCCACATTGTCGTGTGTATCAATAGTTCATTCTTTTTTTTCTTTTTCTGTTTATTGAGACATAATTCACATACCATAAAATTTGCTCTTAACCATAAAATTCACTCTTAAAATGTATAGCAAAGCGATTAGTATATCACGAGGTTGTGTAACTATCCACTACCTAATTCCAGAACATTTTCATCACCCCCAAAAGGAACCCTATATCTATTAACATACACCCTCCCATTCCATTTCCCTCTCCTCCCATCCCCGGGCCATCACAAATCTCTTTGTCTCTATGAATTTGTCTGTTTTGGACATTTCATATAAATGCAGTCATATAATATGTGGCCTTTTGTAACTGCCTTCTTTTACTTCACATAAGTTTTTTAAGGTTCATTCATATTGTAGCATGTATCAGTACTTCATTCATTTTCATGACTGAATAATATTCCTTTGTATGAAAATACCTACTACATTATAGCTAGGATGCGGTGGCTCACACCTGTAATCTCAGCACTTTGGGAGGTTGAGGTGGGTGGATTGCTTGAGCCCAGGAGTTCGAGACCAGCCTGGGCAGCGTAGCAAGAACACGTGTCTACAAAAAAGAAAAATTAGCCGGGTGTGGTGGTGCATGCCTGTGGTCCCAGCTACTTGGGGGGCTCAGGTGGGAGGATCAGCAAGTTGAGGCTGCAGTGAGCCATGATTGCACCACTGCACTCCAGCCTGGGCAACAGAGTGAGACCCTGTCTCAAAAGATAAAAGGAAAAAGAAATGCCACATTATGCTTATCCATTCACCCATTGATGGACTCTTGGCTATCACAAATAATGCTGCTATGAACATTCATGTGAAAGTTTTTATGTGGACATATGTTTTTCGTTTTCTTGGGTATATAACTAGGAATGGAATTGCGGGGTGATATGGTAATTCTATGTTTAACTTTCTGAGGAACTGCAAGTGTTCTCCACAGCTGCCATATGGGGATTCAAATTTAAATTTAACCACATTCTCTCCAACACTCCTTTCTTTCTTTCTTTCTTTCTTTCTTTTCTTTTCTTTTCTTTTCTTTCTTCTTTCTTTCTTTCTTTCTTTCTTTCTTTCTTTCTTTCTTTCTTTCTTTCTCTCTCTCTCTCTCTCTCTCTTTCTTTCTTTCTTTCTTTTTTCTTTTTTTTCTTTTTTCTTTTGTTTGGCAGGGTCTCACTCTGTTCCCCAGGCTGGAGTACAGTGACATGATCTCTGCTCACTGCAGCCTCAACCTCCTGGGTTCAAGTGATCCTCCCACCTCAACCTCCTGAGTAGCCAGGACTACAGGTGCATGCCATCACACCCAGCTAAATTTTTGTTAATTTTTCGTAGAGATGGGATTTTCGCCACGTTGCCTACGCTAGTCTCAAACTACTGGGCTCAAGCAATCTGCCTGCCTTGGCCTTGCAAAGTGCTGGAATTACAGGCTACCATGCCTGGCCTCCAACACTTTTTATTGTCCCTCTTTTTGATTCTAGCCATCCTACTGGGTGTGGGTGTGAAGTGGTGTCTTGTTATGGTTTTGATTTGCATTTCCCTGTGACCACTGATGTTGAGCATATTTTCATAAACTTGTTGGTCATCTATCTTCTTTTTTTTTTTTTTTTTTTTTTTGAGATGTAGTCTTGCTCTGTCACCCAGGCTGGAGTGCAGTGGCACGATCTTGGCTCACTGCAGCCTCCACCTGCTGGGTTCAAGTGATTATCCTGCCTCAGTCTCCTGAGTAGCTGGGATTACAGGCACCCGCCACCATGCCTGGCTAATTTTTGTATTATTAGGAGAGATGGGGTTTCACTATGTTGGCCAGGCCAGTCTCGAACTCCTGACCACAAGTGATCCATCCGCCTCAGTCTCCCAAAATGCTGGGATTACAGGCATGAGCCACCGTGCCCAGCCCATTTATCTTCTTTGGAGAAGTGTTTATTTAAATCCTTTGCCCATTTTGAATTGGGTTATTTGTCCTTTTATTGTTGAGTAGTAAGAGTTCTTTATGTATTCTGGATACTAGACTCTTTTTAGATATGTGATTTTCAAATATTGTCTTCTGTAGGTTGTCTTTTCACTTTTTTTTTTTTTGAGACAGGTTCTCACTTTGTCACCCAGGCTGCAGTGCAGTGGGGGTGAACGTGGCTCACCGAGGCCTTGACCCCCCAGGCTCAAGTGATCCTCCTGCCTCAGTCCCCCAAGTAGCTGGGACTACAGTTGCATGCCACCGTTCCTGGCTAATTTTTGTATTTTTTGCAGAGATGGGGTTTCACCATGTTGCCTAGGCTGGTCTTGAGCTCCTGGGCTCAAGCAATCCACTCACCTCAGCCTCACAAAGTGGTGAGATTACAGGCGTGAGCCACTGCGTCCAGCCAGAAAGCTTATAGTTTTGATGAACTCCAGTGTGTCTATTTTTCTTTGGCTGCTTATGCTTTAGATGTCACGTCTAAGAAACCATTGCCTAATCCAAGGTCACAAAGACTTAAGCCTGTTTTCTTCTAAAGCAGCGGTCCCCAACTTTTTGGCACCAGGGACCAGTTTCATGGAAGACAATTTTTTTCCACAGAAGTGGGGATGTTTTCAGGATGATTCAAGCGCGTTACATTAGAGTCTCATAAGGAGTGCACAACCTAAATCCCTCGCATGCACAGTTCACAATAGGGTTTGAGCTCCTAAGAGAATCTAATGCTGCAGCTGATTTGACAGGAGGCGGGCTCAGCTTCATGAATGGCAGCAAGCCGCAGCTCACCTCCTGCTGTGTGGCCCAGTTTCTAAGAGACCACAGATGGGTTTGTGGCCTGGAGGTTGGGGACCCCCGTTCTAAAAGTTTTATCGTTTTAGCTCTTACATTTAGGTCTTTGATCTGTTTTGAGTTGTTTTTTGTATATGGTATGAGGAAGGGGTCCCACTTTATTCTTTTGCATGTGGATACTCAGCTGTCTCAGCACCATTTGTTGAAAGGAGCATTCTTTCCCCATTGAATGGTCTTGGTACACTTGTCAAAAATCAATTGCTAGCTGGACACAGTGGCTCACACCTGTAATCCCAGCATTTTGGGAGGCCAACGTGGGAGGATCACTTGAACCCAGGAGTTCAGCCTGTCCAACACATTGAGACCCTGTCTCTACAAAAAGTTTTTTAAAAATTAGCTGAGCACAGTGGTGCATGCCTGTAGTCCCAGCTACTTGGGAGGCTGATGTGGGAGTATCGCTTAGCCCAGGAGTTTGAGGCTGCAGTGAGCTATGTTTGTGACTGGGCAACAGAGCAAGTCCCTGTCTCAAAAAAATCAGTTGCCTATAATGTATGAATTTATTTCTGGACTTTCAATTCTATTTCGTTAATTTATATGTATGTTTTTATGCCAGTAGCACATGGTCTTGATTACTGTAGCTGTATAGTAAGTTTTTAAACTGGAAGGTGTGAGTCCTCTAACTTTGTTTTTCTTTTTCAAGATTGTTGTATTTTGGGCCCCTAGCACTCCCATGTGAATCAGCTTGTCAGTTCTGCAAAGAAGCAAGCTGGGATTCTGATAGGGATTGCATCAAGTCTGTAGATCAATTTGGGGAGTATTGCCATCTTAACACTATAAAGTCTTCCAATCCATGAACATGTGATGTCTTTCCATTTATTTAGGTCTTCTTTAAGTTCTTTCAATAATATTTTATGGTTTTCAGTGTATAAGTCTTACCCTTCTTTCATTCATTTTATTACTAAGTATTTTATTCATTTTGAAGCTATTGTAAATGGAATAGTTTTCTTAATTTCACTTTTGGATTGTTAATTGCTAGCATATATGATACAAAATCTTATATCCTGCAACCTTGCTCTAATGGTTATGCACTAATGGGGCTCTAATGGTTTCGTGGTGGATTCCTTAACATTTTCTATGTATAAGATCATGTCATCTGCATATAGGGATAGTTTTACTTCTTCCTTTCCAATATGGATACGTTTTATTTCTTTTTGTTGCCTAATGCCCCAGGTAGAGCATCCAA
Organism: Homo sapiens; assembly: GCF_000001405.40. Classification (NCBI taxonomy): domain Eukaryota; kingdom Metazoa; phylum Chordata; class Mammalia; order Primates; family Hominidae; genus Homo; species Homo sapiens. Next base: position 48,778,328 of record NC_000023.11, on the reverse strand, counting down.
TACAGTGTTGAAAAGACATGGTAAGAAGGGGCATCCTTGTGTTGTTCCTTTCCAACTTTCACCATTAAGTATGATCTTAGCTGTGGGTTTTTTGTGGATGTCCTTTATCAGGTTGAGGAAGTTCTCTTCTATTCCTAGTTTGTTGAGTGTTTTTATCATGAAGGAATGTTGAATTTTGTCAAATGTTTTTTCTGCATCTCCTGAAAAGATCATGTGGTGTTTGTTCTTTATTATGTTAATATGATGCATTATATTGATTGATTTTCATTAGTTGACCAAACCTTGCATTCTTGGGATAAATCCCACTTGGCCGTGGTGTATAATCCTTTTATATGTTGCTGGATTCTACTTACTTGTATTTTTTTGAGGATTTTTGCATCTATACTTAGATATTGGTCTGTAGTTTTTCTTGTGATATCTTTGTCTAGTTTTCTCATCAGAGTAATGCTGGCCTCATAAGTTCGTTCCCTTTTATTGAAAGTAATATTCCATGGAATGGATATACCACATTTTGTTTAACCACTAATCTGTTGATGAACATTTGCATTGTTTCTAGTTTCTTTCCCTATTATAGCAAATCTGCAATTCATAAACTCATATTCCTCTCTCTGTGCACACCTGTGAAGGAGTTTCTCGGGGGAGGAGGGAGGAAATATCAGAGCATCTACCCATTCATTCATCTACCTACCCACTCACCCATCCACCCATCTGTTCCTTCCTTCCTTCTTCTATTCCTTCATTTTCTCTTTCCTTTCATCCATAAATCATCCATCTTCAGGCATATAATGTCTGGGTCCATGGCAAATTGTCTTTTAGAATGAGGCAGAAAACCCCTTTCCTCTTTTTTTCCACTGCCAGAAAATGCTACAGGTTTTAGGAAAGCCTTTTACTTGCTAAAACTCATATCCTCACACTCCCTCTCTTCGCAGCACTCTTGGGGCTCCTTGGCGGTTCAGTCACAGGGTCTGGCTGAACTACCGTCTGAAGACTATTTAGCGACCAGAGTCCAGAAGACCAGGGGCTCCTTTACTTCAGGAGACTCTCACGCATGCTCCTCCATCCATCACTCCTTCACTCAGGAATCCACACACTTCCCTTCCCACTTGCCTGACTCATCTGTCTGTCCCTTCTCTTGTTTTAGAACCCAAAATGTCCTCAGGCCTCTTCTCTAGCTGACATCCTCTTTTTTGTTGAACTCATCCAGTCCCTATCTTCAAAATATCTCCAGAATCTAACCATTTTAAAAAAATCATCTCCATGCTTGCTTCGGCAGCACATATACTAAAATTGGAACGATACAGAGAAGATTAGCATGGCCCCTGCGCAAGGATGACATGCAAATTCGTGAAGCGTTCCATATTTTTTTGGCAAGGCATGTTGGTTTGCGTGTGGGAATCCCAAAGGAGACCCCAGCTCTCACGATTAATAGGCTCTGTGGTTCTGGTTTTCAGTCCACTGTGAATAGGTGTTAGGAAATTTGTGTTAAAGAAGCTGAAGTTGTTTTATGCGGAGGAACCAAAAGCATGAGCCAAGCTCCCTACTGTGTCAGAAATGTGTGTTTTGGAACCAAGCTTGGATCAGATATCAAGCTGGAAGATTCTTTATGGATAGGATTAACAGATCAGCATGTCCAGCTCCCCATGGCAATGACTGCAGAGAATCTTGCTGTAAAACATAAAATAAGCAGAGAAGAATGTGACAAATACGGCCTGCAGTCACAGCAGAGATGGAAAGCTGCTAATGATGCTGGCTACTTTAATGATGAAATGGCACCAATTGAAGTGAAGACAAAGAAAGGAAAACAGACAATGCAGGTAGATGAGCATGCTGGGCCCCAAACAACCCTGGAATAGTTACAGAAACTTCCTCCAGTATTCAAGAAAGATGGTACTGTCACTGCAGGGAATGCATCGGGGATAGCTGATGGTGCTGGAGCTGTTATCATAGCTAGTGAAGATGCTGTTAAGAACCATAATTTCACACCACTGGCAAGAATTGTGGGCTACTTTGTATCTGTATGTGATCCCTCTATCATGGGTATTGGTCCTGTCCTTGCTATCAGTGGGGCACTGAAGAAAGCAGGACTGAGTCTTAAGGACATGGATTTGGTAGAGGTGAATGAAGCTTTTGCTCCCCAGTACTTGGCTGTTGAGAAGAGTTTGGATCTTGACATAAGTAAAACCAATGTGAATGGAGGAGCCATTGCTTTGGGTCACCCACTGGGAGGATCTGGATTGGTTGATGAATTAAGGCGTCGAGGTGGAAAATATGCCGTTGGATCAGCTTGCATTGGAGGTGGCCAAGGTATTGCTGTCATCATTCAGAGCACAGCCTGAAGAGACCAGTGAGCTCACTGTGACCCACTCTTATTCTACTTGGCCAGGCCACAGTAAAACAAGTGACCTTCAGAGCAGCTGCCACAACTGGCCATGTCCTGCCATTGAAACAGTGATTGAGTTTGTTCAAGCCATGGTGATACAAAAATGCATTGATCATGAATAGGAGCCCATGCTAGAAGTACGGTCTCTCAGATTTGTACCAGTGAAATATGTATTTCTGAACTAAAACTCAACTATAGAAGACATTAAAAGAAATTGTATTCTTGCCAAGTAACCACCACTTCTGCCTTAGATAATATGGTTATAAGGAAATCAAATAAATGTTGCCTTAACTTCAAAAAAAAAATCATCTCCTGGCTGAGTGCGGTGGCTCACGCCTATAGTCCCAGCAGTTTGGGAGGTTGAGGCAGGAGGATTTTTTTTTTTTTTTTTTTGAGACAGAGTCTCCCTCTGTCACCCAGGCTGGAGTGCAGGGAAACGATCTCAGCTCACTGCAAGCTCCGCCTCCCGGGTTCACACCGTTCTCCTGCCTCAGCCTCCCAAGTAGCTGGGACTACAGGCGCCCGCCCCATGCCTGGCTAATTTTTTGTATTTTTAGTAGAGATGGGGTTTCACCGTGTTAGCCAGGATGGTGTTGATTTCCTGACCTCGTTATCTGCCCGTCTCAGCCTCCCAAAGTGCTGGGATTACAGGTGTGAGCCACCGCGCCTGGCAGGAGGATCTCTTGAGGCCAGGAGTTCGACACCAGCCTGAGCAACATAGCGAGACCCCGACTCTACCAAAAAAAACAAAAAACCCAAACAAATAAAAATCACTTCCCCTGTCCCTGCCATCACACTTGCGTGGACCACTGCAGGGGCCTCCCCCTCACTGGTCGCCTGTTTCCACCCTCGCCCTGACAGTCTATTTTCCGCAGTGGCCAGAGGGAGCCTGTTAAATCCTAAATCAGATCACATCCCTCCTCTGCCCACAACCCTCCTTCAGCTGCCTGTCGCTCATAGTAAAAGACAAAGTCCTCGCCCTGGCCTGCCAGACCGCACCCATCTGTACCCCTTGCTTCCCCAACTGGCGTCCTTGCTGTTCCTCACACACAGCAGGCACATTCATGCATCAGGGCCTTTGCACTGGCCGATGCCTCTGCCTGGTGTGCCCTTCCTCCACTGGCCATCTGTGTGGCTCATCCCTCATCTCTTCAGATCTGTGCTCAAGACACTTCTCAGTCACACTTTCCGGGACCGCCTCATTAGACATCAGAAGCTGTCCTAGCAATTTTTTTTTTCAAGTCAGAGTCTCGCTCTGTCACCCAGGAAGGAGTGCAGTGGTGCAATCTCAGCTCACTGCAACCTCTGCCTCCAGGTTCAAGCAATTCTGGTGCCTCAGCCTCCCAAGTAGCTGGGACTACAGGCATGCGCCACCACAGCCAGCTAATTTTTGTATTTTTAGTAGACACGGGGTTTTGCCATGTTGGCCAGGCTGGTCTCAAACTCCTGACCTCAGTGATCCACCTACCTCGGCCTCCCAAAGTGCTGGGATTACAGGCGTGAGCCACTGTGTCCAACCTGCCCCAACAGTTTTTATCTGCATTCCCTCTTTTCCGTGTTTTCTTTTTCTCCAAACCATTTACCAACCTGTAACATACTTAATATTTTACCTACTTAGTTTTATTTATTTTCTTTCTCTCCCACTAGAATGGCAACTCCACCAACAGGGGTATGCTTATCTCCTTTGCTCAATGCTGTCTCTCCAGTGCCTGGAACAGGGCCTGGCACACAGGTGGTTAACATATGTATTTTAGTTGACTGAATGGTGGAGGGGGGGCAGAAACAGGAAATCTGACCTTGTCCCACCTAACCTGCCACAAGCTATGCTTCAATTGAGATGATTTGGCTTATTTCTTTATTTATTTTGTGGAGGTGGGTGGTCTCACTATGTTGCCCAGGCTGGTCTCGAATTCTTTGATCTACTAGATCCAAAGGTAGAAAGTGCTAAATACCCTGAGAGTGAGACTAGAGAAGGCTCTCCTGAAAGAGGTAGTATCACCTGGTGCTGGTCCTGGAAGGTCTGATGGGAATAAGAGATCCTGGGATTCTGCGAGGCCCAGGAATGGAGAAAACAGCAGGCAGCAGCTGGAGGAGTGAGAAAAGTTAGGAAAGGATGAAGACAATGGCATCACTGACAAGGAGAAATCTGTCAGGGGCCTTGAATCCCGAGGTGATGACCCTAGATTCGGTGCTCAGAGGCGTCATACCCTGGTCATAGGCCTCCGACCGAACAGCTCAGAGATCTCACACCCTACATAAACACCCATGCATGGCGCCAATACAGTAACGAAGACCCCGTATTCATTGAGAGGTTATGCATTTATTAGGCCAACTTTGATGACATACAGACATGTAGGTTTGGTCCCAAACCTGTCTTGGGTCCCCCCTCAGCAGGATGTGTGAAGTGCCTAAGTCCTCAGTCTTTGGAGATCTCTGGGCCTGGGTGGGGGTTTGCAGGAAGGAAAGGAGAGGGCGACATCAAGGGGGACAGAATGGAGGAGGTCCAGCCTCCATCACGAGGAGATGTAGTTGGACACCTCAATCAGATTTCTGTCGGGGTCTCGGAAGTAGATGGACATGATAGGCCCTTTTGCCCCTGTTCTGGGGACTGGCCCCTCCTCAATAGGGACATCACAAGCCTGAAGTGGGAAGAAAAGACAAAAGTCGTTCGTCAAAATGTGTGTGTGAGACCAAAATTTAATGCCTTTTTTTTTTTTTTGTGACAGAGTCTCGCTCCGTCACCCAGGCTGGAGTGCAGTGGTGAGATCTCAGCTCACTGCAACCTCCGCTGCCTCCTAGGCTCAAGCAATTCTCCCACCTCAGCCTCCTGAGTAGCTGGGATTACAGGCGCATGCCACCATGCCCAGCTATTTTTCATAGAGACGAGGTCTTGCTGTGCTGCCCAGGCTGGTCTCGAACTCCTGACCTCAAGTGATCCGCCCGCCTCAGCCTCCTAAAGTGCTGGAATTATAGGCATGAACCACTGCGCCTGGCCTGTAAAATTTAATTCCTTATAGTGGCCTAGAAGACCTTAGAACACCGCTGTATCTTTCTGACCTCATCTCCTACCATCCTCCCCTCCATCACTCCGTTCCAGCCACTTATCAGCTAGATGGCCTTGGGCACAGTACCTAACTACCCTGTACCTCGATCTCCTCATCTGTAAAATGGGAAGGATAATAGTACCTAGTATTATCTAGTAAATGGCAGAACCAGAATTCGAACCTAGGCAGTCTGGGTCAACGACCATACTCTTAACCCCTATGCTTCACCCATTTTACTTCCAAACCAGTCTTTTTCACTGACACTTCCCAAAGAAGGAGTCTAGGTTATTTGCACAGAATATATATAAGACCTCAATCCGTGTTCTGCAAAAGGGAAACTAAAACCCCTTTTATTTATTTATTGTAGAGATGGGGCCTTGCTCTGTCACACTGACTAGAATGGAGTGGTGCGATCACAGCTCACTACAGCCTCAACCTGGGCTCAAACGATCCTCCCACCTCTTAGCCTCCCAAGTAGCTGAGACTACAGGCACACACCGCCACGTCTGGCTAATTTTTTTTTGTATTTTATGTAGACACAGGGTCTCGCCATGTTACCCAGGCTGGTCTCAAATTCCTGGGTTCAAGTGATCCTCCCTCCTTGGCCTCCTAAAGCACTGGGATTACAGGCATGAGCCACTGTGCCCCAGCCTTATTTTAATTTTTTAGAGACAGGGTCTTGCTGTATCACCCAGGCTGGAGTGCAGTGGCGTGATCATAGCTCACTGTAGCCTCCACCTCCTGGGCTCAAGTGATCCTCCCACTTCACCCTCTTGAATAGCTAGGATTACGGGCATGCACTACCATGCCTGGCTACTCTGTTTATTTTTTTTAAGAGATGGGATCTCACTATGTTGCCCAGGCTGGTCTGGAACTCCTGGCCCAAATGATCCTGCCACCTCAGCCTCCCAAAGTGCTGGGATTACAGGCGTGAGTGACCGTGCCCAACCAATGCCTCTTCTAGATGACATCATTTTAAGTATTACAGAGACACTGGATTAAATAACAACAAATCAGAAATTATTCCCTCTCCAATCTTCTTTCAGTCCTTCTTTTTACACATAGAAGGTGGATGCTAACAAGTTCTTAGTATCTCTTTAACCACCTGCCATATCTCCCTTTGTAATGTCAGGGCCAGGGAGTACAGGGAACGGAAGTGGCTAGAATCTAATGACATTGTTATGCTTTCATAGCTGTTGGTTTTTACAGTTACTTTTCCTTTATGCCAAGATATAATGGGTTTTTCATGTACTTGGATGAACGTTTTCTTTTTATATAAATGTATTTAGGGCTGGGCACGTGGCTCATGCCTGTAATGGCCAGCACTTTGGGAGGCCGAGGTGGGCGGAGCACTTGAGGTCAGGAGTTTGAGACCAGCCTGGCCAACGTGGTGAAACCCTGTCTCTACTAAAACTACAAAAATTAGCCAGGTGTGGTGGCACGCACCTGTAGTACCAGCAACTTGGGAGGCTGAGGCAGGAGAATCGCTTGAACCCAGGAGGTGGAGGTTGCAGTGAGCCGAGATCAAGCCACTATACTACAGCCTGGGTAACAGAGCAAGACTCTGTCTCAAAAAAAAAAAAAAAAAGTATTTCAGTGCATAAATGTAGGTTTGTTTGTTTGTTTGTTTGTTTTACAATGGGAACGCACAGTTTCCTTTTTAAACACATTTATTTACATGAAAGAATTGTCAGTCAAAATAGTACATAACTGTGTGCAGACATTATCTGGTTGTGGTAAAACTTGTTACCTCTCTGGGTCATTCTTCTGTTTTCACTGCGTTTGCAGCAGCTTTTGCAAAAAGAAGAGAAGTCCCACTCACCTTGAGGTGCTGGATCATTTCCTCCAAAGGCACCTCTGTGATCAGACATATGTCCAGGGAGCCAGGAACTGGGTGAGCGGCTTTGGGTTCAAATTCCTTTCCCACCTCGTGGAGGTTAAATTTCTGGTCTCCAAAACACAGTGCTTTCCGGTCTTCCTACTTGGTGGGGAGGGGCAGAGAAAACAGCCTAGAATTAAACCTCCAAGATGAGTGTGAGATGAAGCCTTTCCACCTATCCCAACAAGGTTTAAAAAAAATAAAAACTAGAATGGGGCTACTACACAACAGCCCTTTGCCCCACCCAAGGCTCATTCCCTAGAGGCAAGTGTACGAGTTTATTTCTCCTTGAAATTATTTCCATATCTCCAAATAGTGTTTATACCACTCAAGGCAGAGATAGCAATTTGCCTACCCAGTATACATTTCCCCTTTATTTCTTATAAACACAACAGAAATTTCAGTGGGGTCAACCGTGTACCCAACTTTAAAAACCTACATTTCCCAGCACGTCCGGAGGCCACGTTAGCTGGACCAGGCAATGAGATGGGGGCAGAGGTGTGGATGGGGCTTCTGGGAACCTCCCAACCCTACTGCGCTGGCCCTTATTGCTCATTCACTTCCTCTTGCTTCCCAGCCACTGCCCATGACCTGACTAACTACCTCTGGACTGGTTGTTCAGTGAAACGAAAAGAAAACTCTTGTCTTGTTTAACCCACAGTTAGTTGAGTTTTCTCCTACATGCCTCCAAAGTCCCTAACTGATGCACCACTGTTTGTTTGTTTATTTATTTATTTATTTATTATTATTTGAGACAGAGTCTTGCTCTGTTGCCCAGGCTGGAGTGCAGTGGCACCATTTTGGCTTACCGCAACCTCCACATCCCTGGTTCAGGTGATTCTCGTGCCTCAGCCTCTGGAGTAGCTGGGACTACAGGCACACGCCACCATGCCCAGCTAATTTTTATATTTTTAGTAGAGATGGGGTTTTGCTATGTTGGCCAGGCTGGTCTCAAACTCCTGACCTAAGGTGATCTGCCCACCTCAGCCTCCCAAAGTGCTGAGATTACAGGTGTGAGTCACTGTGCCTGGCGTCTTTTTTTTTTTTTTTTTGAGACAGAGTCTTGCTCTGTCGCCCAGCCTTCAGTGCAGTGATCACGGCTCACTGCAGCCTCAACCTCCCAGACTCAAGTGATCCTGCAACCTCAGCCTCTGAGTAGCAGGGACCACAGGCACACCCCACCACGCCTGGCTAATTTTTTTTTATTTTTTGTAGAGACCGGGTCTCCCCGTGTTGCCCAGGCTGGTCTTGAACTCCTGGCTCAAGTGTTCCCCGCCTCGGCCTCCCAAAGTGCTGGGATTACAGATGTGAGCCAGTGTGCCCGGCTGCACCACTATTTCTTGATTTAGCAACTCCCTGCTATGACAAATGAAAATTTAGCTCATTCACATTACTATCTCTTCCAATACAATTTGATTATCGTTTTTAGTTTCTCTTTTAGCTCCTTAACAATTTTTAACTAACCCATTTGCATGTTTATTTTGTTTATTTATTTATTTTTTTAAGAGACAGAGTCTCATTCTATCACCCAGGCTGGAATGCAGTGGTGCAATCACGGCTCACTGCAGCCTTGACCTCCTGGCCTCAAACAATCCTCCTGTCTCAGCCTCCTGAGTAGCTGGGATTCCATTATAGGTGCGCACCACCACGCCTGGCTAATTATAAAACTTTTTTTTTTTTTTTTGTAGAGACAGTAGTCTCAGTATGTTGCCCAGGCTGGACTCCAACTCCTGAGCTCAAGCGATCCTCCTGCCTCATCCTCTCAAAGTGTTGGGATTGCAGGCGTGAGCCACCACGCTTGGCTGCAAGTTTATTTTTGTAGATCAACTACAGATTAACTCACAGCCCTGCCATGTTCTTCATGAATCCTCCCTCTCCTGGACCTCTCAACATGTGCCATTTCTTTTTTTCTTTTTCTATCTCTTTTATATCACTATGAATGATACCACATCCATTCAATCAGAAAATGACTTTATTTCACTTTTTTTTTTTTTTTGAGACAGAGTCTCGCTCTGTCACCCAGGCTGGAGTGCAGTGGCGAGATCTCAGCTCACTGCAACCTCCGCCTCCTGAGTTCAAGCAATTCTCCTGCCTCAGCCTCCCGAGTAGCTGGGACTACAGGCGCGAGCCACCATGCTTGGCTAATTTTTGTAGTTTTAGTAGAGATGGGGTTTCAGCATGTTGTCCAGGCTGGTCTCGAACTCCTGACCTCAAGTGATCCACCCATCTCAGCCTCCCAAAGTGTTGGGATTACAGGCGTGAGCCACCACGTCTGGCCAACTTTATTTCACTTTTGGACTTGAGGATAGTTTGGCTCAGTGTGCAGTTGTAGGTTGCAGCTTATTTTCCCATAGCCTTTTAAATATGTTGCTTCATTGTCTTCCCCAAATGTGGTGTTGCTGTTAAGAAGTCTGATGTTCATCTGCGTTTTATTCTTTGGTTGGTGATACATCCATCTTCCACTACTGCAGCTTTAGGATTTTTCTTAATCCTAATGTTCTGAAATTTCACTCCATTGTGTCCAAGTACAGAGGTTGAGGCATCATACACCTCGTTATCACCATTGGCCCACGCAAGGACTATCTCTTGTTTTATTTATCTTTTTCTGTTCATTATCCATTCCCATCTCCACCTTAGGCAACCATTATAGTGCGTTTGATGTGTATCCTTTGGTTTTCATAAATTGCTGTAAAAAGTGTGTTACTGTTTTATGTGTGTGTATTGTAATGGGTAGCATGCTGTAGACCTGATTGTTTCTTCATTTTTCACTCAGCACGTTCTTTTCAAGACCCGTCCGTGTTGCTGTGTACACATCCAGTCTGATGTTGCATAATACTACATTTCTGCATAAGGTTCCATGTTAGATTTAACATTTTTAGCCAAATAGAAAAAATTGGCCAGGTGTGGTGGCACGTGCCTACAGTCTCAACTACTCAGGAGGGTGAGGCAAGAGAAGCACCTGAGTCTGGGAGGTTGAGGCTGTGGTGAACTGTGATCGCACCAGTATACTCCAGCCTAGGCAACAGAGTGAGACACTGTCTAAAAAAATTTTTCTTCTCCTGTTTGCGATTCCTCAAGCCCTTTCTATTTAAGTTATATGTGTGTGTGGGAGGGGTGTTCATGTGTACTTAATTGTTTTAGAGCGGTTTTAGGTCCACAGCAAAATTGAACAGGAGGTATAGGGATATATACACCTTGCCCCCACATATGCACAGCCTCCCCCACTTCTTTTACTTAGTAATATGCATTTAAGTTTCCTCCATGTCTTTTCATGGATTGATAGTCCATTTATTTTATTTAATTAATTTATCTATTTGAGATGGAGTCTTGCTCTGTCGCCCAGGCTGGAGTGCAATGGTGCAATCTTGGCTCACTGCAACCTCCGCCTCCTGGGTTCATGTGATTCTCCTGCCTCAGCCTCCCGAGTAGCTGGGATTACAGGCGCCCGCCACCATGCCTGTGTGGGATTATAGGCTGGCCTCAAACTCCTGACCTCAGGTGATCCACGTAATCAGGGATTACAGGCGTGCACCACCATGCACAGCTAATTTTTGTACTTTTAGTAGAGACGGGGTTTCACCATGTTGGCCAGGCTGGCCTCAAACTCCTGACCTCAGGTGATCCACCCGCCTCGGCCTCCCAAAGTGTTGGGATTATAGGCATGAGCCACTGCACCTGGCAGATAATCCATTTGTTTTTATCACTGAATAATATTTCATTGTCTGGATGTGCCACAGTTGATACATCCATTCACTTACTGAAGCACATCTTAGTAAGGCATTTTTTGCTTTCTCTGCATTTACCTTTTTTGAAGTTATTCCAAATTCTCAAGGGTAGTTCAATCTCTGGAAACCTCTTTTTTTTCCCCTTGGATCTGTCTTTCCTGGGGTCTTTCTTACACCTGTTCCAAACTGGACTGATGGTTCTCTAAGTACCTTTCTGGGATCTTCCTCTTGGGATCCATTGTGGCCTGACTTCCATGTCTTCCATATTCCCAGATTCATAGTCATCCAATGTTGGTTTTTTTTTTTTTTTTTTTTGAGATGGAATCTTGCTCTGTCACCCAGGCTGGAGTGCAGTGATGCGATCTCGGCTCACTGCAACCTCTGCCTCCCAAAGTGCTGGGATTACAGGTGTGAGCCACTGTGCCCGGCCACTCCCCCATTTTGATATAGCATAGCCTCAGGTAATTTTCAAAGCAAGTGGGAAATTTTGTAAGACTTCGTATGACTAAGAATGCTTTTATTCTACATTTACATTTTTGTTTGATTTTTTTTGATACAGTCTTGCTCTGTCACTCAGACTAGAGTGCTGTAGTGCAATCTCAGCTCACTGCAACCTCTGCCTCCCAGGCTCAAGCAATTCTCATGCCTCAGCCTCCCAAGTAGCTGGGATTACAGGCGTGCACCACCATGCACAGCTAATTTTTGTACTTTTAGTAGAGATGGGGTTTTGCCATGTTGGCCAGGCTGGTCTCAAACTCCTGACCTGAAGTGATCCGCCCACCTCGGCCTCCCAAAGTGCTGGGATTACAGGCATGAGCCACCGCACCTGGCCCCTACATTTACCTTTGGTTAATAGTTTGGTTGGACATAGAATTCTAGGTGGAAAATTTTCCCCTCAGAATCTTGAAGGTGTCCTTTTATCTTTTGGTCTCTGGTCTCTTGGAAAATCTGATATTTGTTTTTTTTTCCTTTGTAGATAATCTACTTTTTAATCTCTATGAAAGCTCTTAGGATCTACTTTTTCAGTTTGATGTTCTATAATTTTAGAAGGATCCATGTTAAGTGTCAACATGCTGGATACTTGGTTAACCTTTTCCATGTAGAGACTGCAAAGTTATCTTGCATTGTTTCTATGATAATTTCCTCCTCTCTTTTTTCTCCATTCTCTCTCTGGAAGTCCAAATATTCAGTTTGGAATCTCCTCTATTGATCTCTTTATATTTTCTCTCAGATTTCCTGTGGTTTTCCTTTTAGAGTTAAGTTATATGTTAAAGTGTTATCAACAAATTTTAGCCCACCTGAATTTTGGCATTTGGGGAAGTGCTTACCTTAAAAGTCATGACCTCCATGCCCAGGATCTTGGAATAAAACATGGTGGTGTCTTTGATGCTCTTCACCGTCATCACGATGTGGTCAAGTCTACGGATAAGACATGGGGGAGGGGTCTGACTGCTGTCCCTCCATGACTAAAAAAAGAAAAAAAAGTCAGAAGAGACCACATTGCCACTTGTCAACGCCTGTGTTTTCTTCTCCTCACCTCCCCCTACCTCCCCAATTACACTACTTCCTCCTCACCCCCCTTCAAGGGGAAAGGCCTGAGAGAATACTTACTGGTAGAGTCTTACTGCCCATGTGTGGATTCATGAGAGCCCACATGTCTACCATGACCACTTTCCACTGTTTCCTTGTTTCCTTTTCTTTTTTTTTTTTTTTTTTTTTTTTTGAGACAGAGTCTCACTCTGTTGCCCAGGCTGGAGTGCAGTGGCACAATCTCACCTCACTGCAACCTCCGCCTCCCAGCTTCAAGCGATTCTCCTGCTTCAGCCCCCTGAGTAGCTGGTACTACAGGTGTGTGTCACCACGCCCAGCTAATTTTTGTATTTTTAGTAGAGACGGGGTTTCACTATGTTGGTCAGGCTGGTCTTAAACTCAAACTCCTGACCTCAAGTGATCTGCCTACCTCGGCCTCCCAGAGTGCTGGGATTACAGGGGTGAGCCACTGCACCCAGCCTTCTTGTTCCCTTTCTCCTCTTCCAGAAGTGAAGATTAGGGGAGTGGAGACCAAGACAATGCCCTCCCCTGTTTTTCCCTAAATAGAATTCATCTCTTTTCCAAGAAGTGACAAGACACAGAGGAGGCCCAGTCCTGTGAATTGGCCAATTTTACCCAGCCCCCTCCTTTCCCATTCTGCAGCTTCAGTCACAGAGAACAAGACAAGAAGGGGGCATCTCAGAAGAAATGAAGGTTTCTGGGCGTGCGTGTTTACAGATCCACCTTGACACCCAGAGGGAGGACCACTCCCCAACCTTCCACTTTCCCGCCCTCAGCACACTTCCCATCAGATCTTTCTCTTGACTTGAATTATTTAGTAATTTGAATATTTATAGTATCTATGCTACAGGATTATAAAGCACCTGTGGTCTGGCACTATAGGCAATGGAGTATAATGCTTAAAAGAATAGATTCTAGTGGTGGCACCTGTAATCTCAGCACTTTGGAAGGCTGAGGCAGACAGATCCCTTGAACCTAGGAGTTTGAGATCAGCCTAGGCAACACAGTGAGACCCTGTATCTACAAAAAAATATGAAAATTAGGTTGTGGGGCGCTCACGTGTAGTTCTGGTTACTTGGGGGCCTGGGGTGGGAGGATCACTTGAGCCTGGGAGGCGGAGGTTGCAATGAGCTATGATCACTCAACCGGACTCCTGGGTGACAGAGCAAGACTGTATCTAAAAAAAAAAAAAAAAAAGAAGATTCTGGAACCAGATTGACGTTTAAATAATTTATCTAATTTATCTGTGCCTTGGTTTCCCCTTCTATAAAATGAGCATGATTTTATACATGTAGGATTATTGTGAGAGTTTTAAAAAAGTACTGTTTTTAAGGGCATAGAACAATGCCTAATACATATCAAGTGCTATAAAACGATTGATGATGATGATGATGTGTGGTCATCTTGTTAAAATCTAGACTCCAGTTACAATGACACCCTATCTCTACAGCCTCATCCATTGCTCTTGAACTCCAATCTACACTGTCCTTTAGCCTGTTCCTCATAAGGACCACCCTTGTACCTTTCATTTATGGGCCTTTGCAGATGGTAATGCCTGTCTCCCTGACTAGAATGTAAGCTTCATAAGAGCAGGGACTTCTGTCTGTTTTGTTCCCCACTCTTTCCCAAACAACTAGTTCAATCATATTTGTTCAATAAATAAATATCTACTGCAACAACTAGGGACAGTGCTTGGCACAAAGTCTGACTAGTTTCTATTCTGTTCGATTCGATTCCATTGGATTCCATTCTATTCTGTTCTACCCTTTGCTATTTTATTATTTTCTATTCCACTGCGTTTAGTTCCATTGAAACCAGCCCATTTTAAACAATTGATTTCACTGAGCTCCAGCTAAAAAAAATCCTGTACCATTCTATTTTCCTGAGTGGAGGAGGCATTAGCAAAGTTGCTGAGTTTTGCTCTCCCGGTGGATACAAAAGATCCACATGGACATAGGAACTGCAGAAAGAGAAAATGACCGACATTTTGGCTCCATTGAAAATAAAGTCATATGTTGAAATAAATTTTATTAACTTTCTTTTTTAATTCCCTTTTTGAGACAGGGTCTTGCTTTGTTGCCCAGCCTGGAGCATGGTGGCATGATCACAGCTCACTGCAGCCTCAACCTCCTGGACTCAAGCAATCCTCCTACTTCAGCCTCCCTAGTAGCTGGGATTACAGGTGTGTGCCACCATGCCCAACTATTTTTTGTTTTCTTTTTTCTTTTTTTTTGTAGAGGTGAGGGCTCACTATGTTTCCCAGGCTGGTCTTGAATTCCTGGGCTCAAGCAATCCTCCCTCCTCAGCCTCCCAGAGTGTTGGGGTTACAGGCATGAGCCACTGCACCCAGCCCTTATTAACCTTCTAACATCTGTAGAATCTGTCACAATACCCTGTTTATATTCCTGATATTGGCAATCCATATATTTTCTTAATTTCTCGAGAGAAAATAGACATTGCTAGTATTTTATTAATCTGTTCAAAGAATCAACTTTTAACATTGTTGGCTTTATTGTATCTTTGCTTTCTATTTCACCAGTTTCTGCTGTTATAATTTCCTTCCTTCTACTTTCTTAGGTTCCACTTGCCATTCTTTTCCCAGTTTCTTGATAGGGAAGCTCAGGTCATTGATTTTCAACTTTTCTACTTTTCTGATCTGTGCATTTAGAACTATAGATTTCCTCTAAGCACTGCTTTGGCCACATCTGCATCATTTTGATAGTCTGTTAGAAATAAACTCCACCTATTCCTCCCATTATTCTATTCTTCCCTGCCAGCTTAGATTCACTCCCCAGATCCTGCTTTGCAGACTCGGAGCTCCATCCTTGCAAATTCAAGGACGAGCAGGGATGGCTGTCTTCAATAACAGGAAGGCCAGCGTAGCTCAGAACCCAAGAGTGAGTGAGAGATAAGTGGGAGGGCAAGGCAGGGTCTGGATCCTGCAGACTCTTGGAGGTGAAGTTACAAAGCCTGCTTTATAAAATGATGATCAAGACATAGTCATCACACAAAGGACTGGGTGCAGTGGCTCACGTCTGTAATCCTAGCACTTTGGGAGGCCAAGGTGGGTGGATTACATGAGGTCAGGAGTTTGAGACCAGCCTGGCCTACATGGTGAAATCCTGTCTCTATTAAAAATACAAAAATTAGCTGGGCATGGTGACGTGCACCTGTAATCCCCTACTCGGGAGGCTGAGGCAGGAGAATCGCTTGAACCTGGGAGGCAGAGGTTGCAGTGACCTGAGATTGCACCACTGCACTCCACCCTGGGCGACAAGAGCAAACCTCGGTCTCAAAAAAAAAAAAAAAAAAAGACATAGTAATCACACAAGGCTTACTGTGTGCCAAGCCCCGTTTTACACACTCTACAAAAATATAATCCATTTTATTTCTCACCACAGCATATAAAATCCCTATAGTCAGAGTGCCCGGAACACCATGTCCTTCCTCCTTTGGCCTCCTCTACAGGGAAGTGTTCTGTCTTCCTACAGGGTCCTCTTCAAGGTCCCCTTCAGGTTGCCAGGGGCCTCTGAATTCCTCTCCTAAAGCTCAAGGTCAGCGCTGTGTTTCCTAGCCTCTCTCCACATGGCCTTAATCATGACAGCTTTGGGGGCACCCTGCGTGAGCCACCTTTGTATCTCTCCACCTGTCCCTGGCTAAACTGGGGGAGGAGCCAGCCCTCAGCCCCGGCCCAGCCCTGCACACCTGAGCACAGGGCCCTCCATGGCTTAGAGCCGGGCCTTTCCATGGGCCTCTGCTGCCCTCTGCTTGTCTCTGAAAGAGAAAGGGAGAGAGGAGGACAGGAAATGGGAGCCCGCAGAGAAGGGAAACAGGTTACTAGACCAGTTTCAGTGCCAACACCCTTGCCCCAGATCCCCAGGGGCCATCTTGTTCACCTGTTTCTCCAAAGTCCTGCCCCACATCTTGACTGGCAGCCTGGAGGGCAGATGGCGCAGCATGGCAGGGTAGGCGTCTTTGCCCAGGGTCCTCCCGACAATCCTCTGGCTCAGCGCCTGGAGATCAAGGGGCAGGAATGGGAGGGCACAGGCTGAGGACTGTGGGAGGTGACACAGGTAGGTAGTGCAAATGGAAGGACTTTAACATTAAATTCAGGGCCTCAAAATTGAAAGCTTAAAGTGGATGTGTGTAAGGGATTACTTCTTGTTAACACTGAAGGCTGGGTGCGGTGGTTCATGCCTGTAATCCCAGCACTTTGGGAGGACAAGGCACGTGGATCACCTGAGATCAGGATTTCGAGACCAGCCTGGACAACATGGCAAAACCCTATCTTTACTAAAAATACAAAACATTAGCCAGGCATGGTGGCGGGCGCCTGTAATCCCAGCTACTTGGGAGGCTGAGGCAGGAGAATCGCGTGAATCCGGGAGGCGGAGGTTGCAGTGAGCCGAGATGGCGCCATTGCATTTCAGCCTGGGTGACAGAGCAAGACTCCATCTCAATAATAATAATACTGAAAAACCACCAAGTATTAAGGGGATCTTTATTCTAGCGTGTGATGCCTCTGGTCTACTTAGGGGTATGTCTCCAAAGTGTGAGATCTGTGAGCTGTTTGAGAGTGTGTGTCAGGGGTATGAAGTTGTGAGCTATCTGAGTTAGAGTATGACTGCTCTGACCCATTAGGTGTCTGTTTCCAAGCCAAGATCCCTGAACTCTTAAGAGTTCTGAGCCCCTTGGTCAAGCACGGTGGCTCACGCCTGTAATCCCAGCACTTTGGGAGGCCAAGGTGGACGGATTACTTGAGGCTGGGAGTTCGAGACCAGCCTGGCCAACATGGTAAAGCTCCATCTCTACTAAAAATACAAAAATTACCCAGGCATGGTGGTGTGCACCTGTAGTCCCAGCTATTCAGGAGCCTGAGGCAGGAGAATAGTTTGAACCCGGGAGGCGGAGGTTGCAGTGAGCCGAGATCGCGCCATTGCACTCCAGCCTGGGTGACAGAGTGAGACTCTGTTTAAAAAAAAAAAAGTTCTGAGCCCCAGGGTGTGATGTTCCTGAATTATTTTGGGGGATGAGTTTTGGGGGATGAGATTTGCAGTCTTCCTCCTCCTCCCCACTCACCCTTCACTCACCCTCACCTTCCGCTGCTGAGAGTCAGAGAACATTCATCAGCCCAGTTGCTGTTCACTTTACCCTGAGCAGAACTCCCCCATCTCCCTTACAGGTTACTTGTCTGGCCCCTGGAGCATGTGAGTTTGAGATTTTTGTTTCTAGTTACCCCCAACACAAACACTTTGTGTTGTGGATATTGTTTTGTTTTTGTTTTTTTTTGAGACAGTGTCTCACTTTGTCACCCATGCTGGAGCCCACTGGCGCCATGATGGCTCAGTGCAGCCTCAAACTCCTGGGCTCAAGGGATCCTCCTGCCTCAGCCTCCTGGGTAGCTGGGACTACAGGTGTGTGTCACCACGCCTGGCTAATTTTTGTATTTTTAGTAGGGATGAGGTCTTGCTATGTTGCCTACAATTGGCCTGCTTTGGCCTCCTGAAGTGTTGGGATTACAGGCGTGAGCCACCGTGCCCGGCCAGATATTGTTTTTAAGCATATGATTTTCCTTTAAAAAGAGTTACACAAATAATATGTGAATACAGGTTTGTATAAAAGATTTGAAAAACAGGCTGAGGGTGGTGGCTCACACCTGTAATTCCAGCACTTTGGGAGGCTAAGGCGGGTGGATCAATTGAGATCAGGAGTTCAAGACCAGCCTGGCCAATATGGTGAAACCCCCATCTCTACTAAAAATACAAAAATTAGCCGGGCATGGTGGCACGCAGCTGTAATCCCAGCTACTCGGGAGGCTGAGGCACAAGAATCACTTGAATTGGTGGCAGAGGTTGCAGTGGGCTGAGATCGTGCCACTGTACTCCAGCCTGGATGACAGAAGGAGACTCTTTCTCTCGAAAAAAAAAAAAAAAAAAAAGATTTGAACAACACATCAGTACATGGACTCTAGCAATCATCTCTATCCCCATTCCCCCAGAATGACCACTGGGGTCAGATTCTGGTGTTTCCTTCCAGATACAGTTCCCTGTGTTTCCATAGTGTGTGTGTGCGCACACTACACACATGCACTAGGTCACTGTAACTGACTCCCCCTTGCTTTTCCCTGCCTATAGCACATCCTGTAGAAGATAACCCCCACCCTTGCAGGTACACACAAGTCCCATCCATTCTGTGTCACGTCCAGTGGGCACTCTGTGCTGTAACATGAACCCTCATTATTCGTTTCACTCTGCAATAGTCCTTGGGTATCAGTGAACATTTACAAGATTTTCCTGGTTGTTTGTTCCTACCAGCCTTGTTCCCACAGCTCTGTGCACATGTCTGAGTACTAGAATTAGAAGTGGAATTGCTGGGTGTATTAGAGTTCTCCAGAGAAACAGAACCAGTAGGAGAAACAGAACCAATATGTAATATATTACAAGGATTGGCTCCTGTGATTTTGGAAGCTGAGAAGTTCCACAATATGCCATCAGCAAGCTGGAGACCCAGGAGAGCCAGTGGTGTTGTTCTGAGAACCAAAGGGCTGATGGTGTTGGCTGGGCATGGTGTCTCACGCCTGTAATCCCAGCGTTTTGGGAGGCCAAGGTGGTTGGATCACTTGAGGTCAGGAATTCAAGACCAGCCTGGCTAACATGGCAAAACCCCATCCCTACTAAAAATACAAAAATTATCTGGGCGTGGTGGCGCACACCTGTAATCTCAGCTACTCAGGAGGCTGAGGCAGGAGAATCGCTTGAACCTGGGAGGTGGAGGTTGCAGTGAGCCGAGATTGTGCCACTGCACTTCAGCCTGGGTGACAGAGCAAGACTCTGTCTCTAAAAAACAAAACAAAACAAAACAAAAAAAGGGCTGATGGTGTAAGTACCAGCCAAGGGCAAAGGACTGGTGTTCTACCTCAAGCAGTCACGCAGAGAGCAAATTCCACCTTCCTCCGTCTTTTTTGTTCTATTCCAACCTTCAGTGGATTGGGTGATGCCCATTTACAATGGGCAGAGCCATCTGCCTTACTCAGTCCAACAATTCATATGCTAACCTCATCTGGAAACACCCTCACAGATCCACCCAGAAATAATATTCAACAGGGCACCCTGGGTCCCTATCAAGTTGACACAAAATTTACCATCACAAGTCCACCCCTTATTAACTGTCCTTTTCCACTGTCCTTCAGAGGTGTCTCAGAAAGGGGCCATAGTGCTTCAGCTGTCCACTTTCAGAGTGTGCCTGCATAACATGCAGAATCATCTGTAAACCAGGCCCAAGTCTTCTCTTCCTCTGTCAACTAATTGTAGGGAACTCCCCATGAGGCCACAGTTGCAGGCTGGGAGAAAGGAGGCAAGGTAGAAGGAGTGGGGACCATGGGCATTTAGGCCTCTTCCTCATGTAACTTACTTGTGTCTTCAGGGCCTGCTTAGGCCCCATCACATATTTCCCATTTCCATTCGACGATGGAGCACTGCTGGGCACACCGACTCTTGGTTAGTCAGGTAACACCCAGTTCATGATGGGCAGGAATGATGTAACTTGGTGGCCCATGGTCAAGTATTTAGTTTCTACTAAGACCCAGTAGCAGACCAAGAGCTGTTTCTCTCTCTCTCTCTTTTTTTTTTTTTTTTTTGAGACAGGGTCTCACTTTGTCACCCAGGCTGCACTGCAGTGGCACAATTACAGCTCACTACAGCCTCGACCTCCTGGGCTCAAGCGATCTTCCCACCTCAGCTTCCTGAGTAGGTGGGACTACAGGCATGCACCACCCCACCCAGCTATTAATAATTTTTGTATTTTTTTGTAGAGATGGATTTTTGCCATGTTGCCCAGGGTGGTCTCGAACTCCTGTGCTCAAGAGAGAGATGTGTTGGCCTCAACCTCCCAAAGTGCTGGGATTAAAGGAGTGATCCACCACACCCAGCCAAGAGCTGTTTCTCAAAAGGAGGGTAGTTATCTGCAGAGAATAGCAGGGCTTTGCTCCAAAATCCTAAAGGAGGCTCACCAAATTTCATTTGGGGGGCTGAGACGTGTGGATTGCCTGAGCCCAAGAGTTCGAGACCAGCCTCGGGAACATTGGGAAACCCTATCTCTACAAAAAATACAAAAGTTAGCCAGATGTGGTGGTGCACACCTGCAGTCAGTCCCAGCTACTAGGGAGGCTGAAGTGGGAGGATCACCTGAGCCTGAAAGGTCAAGGCTGCAGTGAGCTGTGTTGTGCCACTGCACTCCAGCCTGGGTGACAGAGCAAGACCCTGTCTCAAAAAATAAAATAAAACAAAATCCTAGAGGGCTAGGCTATGACTAACTTATAGCGGCCTGCCAAGAGCTCCAAACAGTATCCCTATCTGCCACTGTCACTTCAAGCACCACTGGATCTCCTGGGTCCTATGGCCCAAGTGGCAAAGTAGCTTGCACAGCAGCCTGGACATGTTGCAGAGCCTTCTCCTGTTCTGGGCCCCACACAAAACTTGCAGCTTTTCAGGTCATTTGGTAAACGGGCATGTGTAACATACCCAAATGAGGAATGTGTTGCTTCCAAAATCCAAATAGGTGTGCCAGGCATTGTGCCTCTTTTTTGATTGTAGGAGGGGCCAGATGCAACTACTTATCCTTCATCTTAGAAGGAATATATTGGCTGGGTGCAGTGGCTCACGCCTGTAATCCCAGCACTTTGGGAGGCTGAGGCGGACGGATCATGAGGTCAGGAGTTTGAGACCAACCTGACCAACGTGGTGAAACCCCATCTCTACTAAAAATACAAAAATTAGCTGGGCATGGTGGCGTGTGCCTGTAATCCCAGCTACTCAGGAGGCTGAGGCAGGAGAATCGCTTGAACAGGGAGGTGGAGTTTGCAGTGAGCCGAGATTGCATCATTGCACTCCAGCCTGGGTGACAGAGCGAGACTCCATCTCAAAAAAAAAAAAAAAAAAAAAAAGAATATGTTGACAGACCTCACACCACTGGACTCCTAGAAATTTCACTGAGGTAGAAGATCCCTGAATTTTTGTTGAATTTATTTCCTACCCTCTGACACAGAAATTTCTCACCAATAAGTCTAGAGTAGTTGCTACTTCTTGCTCACTATGTCTACTCAGCATAATATCATCAATGTCATGGGCCACTGTGATACCTGTGGAAGGGAAAGGCAATCAAAGTCCTTGTGGACTAAATTGTGACATAGGGCTGGAGAGTTGATTGATATACCACTGAGGCAGGATGGTGACAGAGTACAGCTGGCCTTGCCAGTTCAAAGTGCTTCTGGTAGCCTTATGGACAGGGATGGAGAAAAAAGGCCTTTGCCAGATCAAATAACTGCACACCAGGTACCAAGGGATGTGTTAATTTGCTCAAGCAATGCAACCACCTCTGGTACAGCCGCTGCAGTTGGAATTACCACCTAGTTAAGCTTACGTTAAGCTTAAGTCATCACCTGGCTAATCCACTGTCATTCTGCAAGATCCATCTGTCTTCTGCATAGGCCAAATAGGAGAGTTGAATGGGGATGTGGTAGGAATCACCATCCCTGCTTCCTTGAAGTCCTCTGCAATCCCTCCAGAAATGCAGCAGGTCCCCTTCATTCTGTATCATGTCCAGCAAGTGCTCTGTGGAGCGACATGAACCTCCATCATTCATTTCACTCTGCAACAGTCATTCTTTATAAATGGACATTTACAAGGTTTTTCTGATCTGCTCCCACCAGCCTTGTGCACACAGCTTTGTGCACATGTGTGAGTGTTAGAGTTAGAAGTGGAATTGCTCAGGTCAGGCGCAGTGGCTCATGCCTGTGATTCCAGCACTTTGGGAGGCTGAGGCAGGCGTATCACCTGAGGTCAAGAGTTCAAGACCAGCCTGGCCAACATGGTGAAACCTCGTCTCTACTGAAAATACAAAAATAAGCCGGGTGTGGTGGCAGGCACCTGTAATCCCAGCTACTCAGGAGGCTGAGGCAAGAGAATTGCTTGAACCTAGGAGGTGGTGGTTGCAGCGAGCTGAGATCGCACCATTGTACTCCAGCCTGGACAACAGGGCAAAAACTAAAAAAAACTAAAAAAAACTAAAAAAAAAAAAAAGAAGTGGAATTGCTGGATCAAGTTTCATTCATTCAACAAACACCTAATGTGTGTGTACTGTGTGCCCAGCACTGTTCTAAGTGCTGGCCAGACAACAGAAAATAAGGCAGACAAATGTCCCTGCCCACATGGAGCTGGGGGTAGTGGGGAGAGTGTCCAATATTGATTTCTGTAGATGCTTCACAAGGTCCTAGAAGGTTTTACTCTCATCAGGAATGCATTTCCTGATTTCCTCCCCACTACTCTCTATGGGGTGGGGCCTGCAGCAGGGGGTTGGCTTCCTTGATCTTTGCTCCCTACAAGCTGTGCAGGGTCTGATGCTGGGATGGTCTATTTGGGGATGTGCATGCACATATATGTGTATGCAGGTGGGCACCTGTGTGTGTACATGTGGTTGGGAAGTGGGGGATGGAAATTGAATGGTCCACTGGAGAGACAGAGGGGCAATAGGAATAGAAGAGACCACTTAATGGTGTTGGAGGGAGCTTGGGACAAAATGATCCATTGAATTGAGGCATGAACAGCCCCTCACAGGTCGCACCACAGAGGGTGTGCAGGAGTGGCGGTGGTGAGGAACTTAGTACTGTCTTGGAACCTGCTGTTGTGCAATTGTTGTGTGTATACTCCTGGGATCGATCACACGACTGTTGTGTAGACAACCTTGCAGTCATAAAGACAGGGGTGTGGATAATCCTGGAGTCACAGAGTGGGGTGTGAGCACTCCTGGGGTCACACAGATAGAAGTGTGAATGCCACCTGAGGCAGCACACACTGGCATGTGGACAGCTGTGGGTTACTCAGATGGGGTTCCAGACATTCCAGGAGTCTCACACACACTGCAGAGCGGACACTCCAGGAATCACACACACTGGAGAATGCACACTTTCGGGGTCACACAGAGGGGGATGCAGGCACTTCTGGGGTCAGATTGACTAGGGTGTCAACACTCTTGTTGTCAAACAAACTGAGGGGTGGGCAGTCTTGGGGTCCCAATGATTGGAGTGTGGACATTCCCAGGGTCACATAGATTTGTATGTGGACATTTCCCACGTAGACCGGGAAGCAGACACTCCTGAGTCATCCAGACTGGCTAGTGGACATTCTTAGGGTCACATACACGAGGATGTGGACATCCTAAAGGTCAGATAGTCTGGGGTGTGCACGTCCCTGGGTTCACACAGATTGGAATGTAGAGCCTCTTGGGGCCTCTCGGACTGGAATGTGGCCACTCCTGGGCTCATACAGCCTGAGGTGTGGGCAATTGTGAGGTCACCTAGAGTGCTGGCCGGTCACAAAGATGGGGGTTTCGACATCGCTAGAGTCACTCAGACTGGACTGTGGACAGACTTGGGGTCATATAGACAGAGGTGTGAACACTCCAAGGGCCACCCATACTGGAGAGTGGACACTTCCAGGGTCACACAGGGGGTTTGGGACACTCCTAATATTAAACACACTGGGCGGCAGGCACCCCTGAAATCACACATTGTGGACCAGGTACTCCTAGTGTTACACAGACTGGGGTGTGGACACTCCTGGGGCCACAGTGACTAAGGGGGGGACAGTCCTGTGGTCACGTAGGCTGTGTTAGGAACATTCCTGCAATCTCAGTTTTAGGGAAGTGGATATTCCTGTGGTCCAAAAAAAAATGATGAATTGGCACCCCTGGGGTCACAGACTGAGTTGTGGATGCTGCCGTGGTCACCCAGGATAGTCATGGACACTCCTCGGTATGCAGATTTGGGAGTAGATACTGCTGAGGTCACAGCAGCTGCAGTGTGGGGCGGCCCTCGGGTTACACAGACTGGAATGTGAATTATCCTGGGCTCACACAGATCAGGTGTGAACATCGCTGGGGTCTTGTAAATGGAGTAACACACCCTGGGCAGTGTGCTTCCTGGGATCACATAGGAAGGGCAGCAGACTGTCATGGGGTACTACACATGGGGGGTCAGCACTCCCGTGGGTCACTCACATGGGGGTTTGAACACTCACACACACTGAGTTGTAGACCTTCCTGGGGTCACACAGACTGGCTGTATACTGCTGGTGTCACACAACTTTGGAGGTAGGCACTCCTGGGGCCACACATACTGGCATGTGGACACAACTGTAGTCACACAGATAGGGGTTTGGACACTCCTAGAGTCACACACCCTGCGGTGGGGACACCTCTGTCATCACAAGAGTGTGAACACTCATGTCATACAGACTGGTAAGTGGACACTCCTGGGGTCAGACAGACTATGGGGTGGACAGCTGTGCTGTCACACAGAATGAGGAGAGGGTGCCCCTGGGGTCACACACATTGGGGAAGGAATGATGCTGGAGGTGCACATTCAGGAGTCACTGACGAAAGGGGGGAAAGTTTGAATATCACCTAAGCAGTGCACATGACACATGGGTTCTAGAATGTGGGCTTCACTTTTCATCAATGTGGAAGACCCACAGCCTGCCTCTTTTCATGGACATTGAGGATACCGGAGGAAGAGAAACATCTGGAATCTATTGCTGGGAAGGTCTGCAGTGCCTGGGACCTTGGGCTTTTCACTGCTCTTCAGAACTGATTGTACTCAGTTGCTTTTTTTTTTTTTTTAATCTGTTAAATGGGGATCACTGGCTTCCTGCTTCCCTCACCAGGACATTTTGAGGATGAGGTGAAGTTCTCAGGTTAAAACTGCTTTATAAAGTAAAGCACCCTCTGGATGAGGAGGCCTGAGACTCTTCCTAAAATTCAAAGCAGTGAGCTGGCTGATCAAGGTGGCATCAGGCCAGGAGCTGGAAGAGGGGACACCTAGTTTGTGATCATGATAACGAATCTAGCTAAGTGACCTGGAGTGAGTCCGTTGCCTGCATTGACCGTCAGATTCCTGATCAGTAATACGGGGATGATACCCATCTGACAGGGTGTCACAGTGATGTTTAGCTGCTCCCAAAAGTCACGCACGTTGAGCTGTTGCAAAATAGCTGTCCAGCCAGAAGTTCCACTTCCCACTGTCCCTTGCCCCTGGGTGGGGCCATGCGACCAGTTCTCCCAAATGGAACTTGAGCTAAAATGGTTTGTGTCCTTAAGAAGCAGTAGTGCTTTCCCCATTGCTCTTTGTCTATGTTTTGGAGTTCTTGAGCCCTAGTGGAGGGTGGTGAGGCCACAGTGTCCAAGGAGGCTGGAGTCCTTAGCCCCCACATGGAAGTCCGCTCATCAACCAGGAACACCCACAGCAGTCTGTGATGAGAGCAAGAAATAAACTTTTATTAGCGTGTGAAGCCATGGCATTGTCGGGTTGGTTTGTTACTGCAGGAGAAGGAATTCCTCAATACAGTGGATCAAATCCTGTGTGGAGAAGCTCTCTGCACACTGGGAAGCTCAGGGACAGGGAAGCATTCTTCCAGAAGGACCTCCTGGCTTCCAGGAGATGGCTCTTTCCTCTACTGCAGGAAGAGCTCTGTCCAGGGTGAAGGGAACCAGGCCAGAGCAGAGGTGGTAACCAGGAGAGCATCTGCACCTCCAACCTGGACACTGGCTCCATTGTGGGAGGCTCCTGGACGTGGGACCCTGTTCTTCAGAGATCCAGAGGTGAATGAGGTACTGCTTGGTGCTGACGCTTGGCTTGGCTTTGGTAACAGGCTTCAGGGTACATCTGGTAGAACTCAGCCACTCCTTTCCATAAACGGATCCAAGATAGCTTTGGTTTCACTAAATGTTTCCAGCAGACGATTTCTTGTCTCCTTAGAATGGAGGCACTTTCTGTTGAGTAACAGAGACCTACCGTGCTTCTTCCCCATCCACTGCTGGCCCCAGCACATCTCCCAGGACAAAGCCCAGAGAACCAGAGAGGCAGCAGCCAGGGCTTCCCAAACCATGGCCACCTTCAGGGCCAGTTGGTGTTCCTGCAAACACAGGCCCACCAATGCGCTGGGACAGCGCTTGTTTAGCAGATGCATTTCTTTCTCCTCCTCCCCATTTAAAAAATTGTGGTGAAATACATATGACAAACTTTATCACTATAATCATTTTAAGTGTACCATTCAGTGGTATTAAATACACTCATAGTATTGTGCAACCATCACCACCATCCATTTCCAGAACTCTTCTTCTCTTGTAAAATTGAAACTCTGTACCCAACAACTCCCCATTCTTTCCTCTCACAAGCCTCTGGCAACCACCCTTCTACTTTCTGTTTCTATGATTTTTTTTTTTTTTGAGACACGGTCTCACTCTGTCACCCAGCACAAAGCGCAGCGGTGCAATCACAGCTCACTGCAGCCTTGAACTCCTGGGCCCAAGCAATCCTCCTACCTCAGCCTCCTGAG
Organism: Homo sapiens; assembly: GCF_000001405.40. Classification (NCBI taxonomy): domain Eukaryota; kingdom Metazoa; phylum Chordata; class Mammalia; order Primates; family Hominidae; genus Homo; species Homo sapiens. The sequence continues at coordinate 48,751,362 of NC_000023.11, read as the reverse complement.
CAGCCAGGCCCACAGGTGTATGCCACCATGCCTGGCTAATTTTTTTCTTTTTTTTTTTTTTTGAGATGGAGTCTCCCTCTGTTGCCTAGGCTGGAGTGCAGTGGCATGATCTTGGCTCACCGCAACCTCCGCCTCTCAGGTTCAAGCGATTCTCCTGCCTCAGCCTCCCGAGTAGCTGGGACTACAGGCACGCGCCACCATGCCGGGCTAATTTTTGTATTTTTAGTAGAGACAAAATTTCACTATGTTGGCCAGGCTGGTCTTGAACTCCTGACCTCGTGATCCACCCGCCTCGGCCTCCCACAGTGCCGGGATTGCAGGCATGAGCCACCACGCCCGGCCTAATTTTTTTTTGTGTGTGGGGGGGATGGAGTCTTGCTCTGTCACCCAGGCTGGAGTGCAGTGGCGCAATCTCGCCTCACTGCAAGCTCCGCCTCCCGGGTTCACGCCATTCTCCTGCCTCAGCCTCCTGAGTAGCTGGGACTAGAAGCGCTCGCCACCACACCCGGCTAATTTTTTGTATTTTTAGTAGATATGGGGTTTCAGCGTGTTAGCCAGGATGGTCTCGATCTCCTGACCTCGTGATCCTCCCGCCTCGGCCTGCCAAAGTGCTGGGATTACAGGCATGAGCCACCACGCCCAGCCTACCCGGCTTAATTTTTAACTTTTTTTGTAGAGACAGGGTCTCGCTATGTTGCATAGGCTGGTCTTGAACTCCTAGGCTCAAGTGATCCTCCTGCCTCAGCCTTCCAAAGTGCTGGGATTACAGGCGTAAGCCACTACGCCTGGCCCATCTCTGTGACTTTGACTACACTATGTTTCTCATATAAGTGGAATCATACAGTATTTGTCTTTTTGTGACTGGTTTATTTCACCTAGCATAGTTGTCCTCAACGTTCATCCATGTCGTAGGATGTGTCAGAAGCCGGAATTTCCTTCCTTTTTGAGGCTGAATAGTATTCCATTGTATGGATAAACCACATTTGCTTAGCCATTCGCCTGTCTGTGGACACTTGGGTTGCTTCCATGGTTTAGCTATTGTGAATAATGCTGCTATGGGCATGGTTGTACAAATATCTCTTCAAAACCCTGCTTTCAATTCTTTTGGATACATACCCAGAAGTGGAATTGCTGAATCATATGGTCATTTTATTTTTTTTTTTTTTTTGAGACAGGGTCTCGCTCTGTCACCCAGGCTGGAGGGCAGTGGTATAATCTCAGCTCACTGCAACCTCTGCCTCCCAGGTTCAAGTGATCCTTCTGCCTCAGCTTCCCAAGTGGCTGGGACCACAGGTGCACGTCACCATACCTGGCTAATTTTTACATTTTTGGTAGAGACGGGGTTTTGCCATGTTGGCCAGGCTGGTCTTGAACTCCTGAGCTCAAGCAATCCTCCCACCTTGGCCTCCCAAAGTGCTGGGATTACAGGCGTGAGCCACTGCGCTCAGCCTATTTTTAACTTTTTAAGAAACTGTCATTTTGTTTTCCACTGTGGCAGTTCCATTTTATGTTCCCAATAACAGTACATAAGGGTTTCAGTTTCTCCACATCCTCGCCAACACTTGTTATTTCCTGTTTTTTTTTCAATAGTAGCCATCCTAATGGATGTGAGGTGGTATCTCATTCTAGTTTTGATTCGAATTTCCCTAATAATTAGTGATGTTGAACATCTTTTCATGTTCTTATTAGCTATTTGTATGTCTTCTTTGGAGAAATGTCTATTCAAGTCCTTTATCCATTTTTGAATTGGGTTGTTTGTCTTTTCATTGTTGAGTTTTGGGGGTTCTCTATACATTCTGGATCTTAATCGCTTGTTAGGTACATGATTTACAAATATTTTCTCCTATTCTGTGGGTTGCCTTTTTATTAGAGAGTGTATTTCTACTCCAAAGAAAATGCCTGCCTTTCTCTCAAATCTGGAGTTTCTGAGGACTTGAGGACAAACACTGAAATCACATAGGCTCGGTAGCTCAGTTTCCCTGTCCATAAAATGGGCATGCTAGAACCTAGCCTGGCCATCCTAAGGGTAGTTAAGAGATTATGTGTAAAGAGACTTTGGCAGTTAGGCATTCTTCCCCTTTAAGTAACAGAAAGCCCTATTAGAGGCCAGACGAGGTGGCTCACGCCTATAATCCCAGCACCTTGGGAGGCCGAGGCAGGTGGATCACCTGAGGTCAGGAGTTCAAGACCAGCCTGGCCAACATGATGAAACCCCATCTCTACTAATAATAATAAAAAAAAAATTAGTCAGGAATGGTGGTGTGCGCCTGTAATCTCAGCTACTCAGGAGGCTGAAGCAAGAGAATCGTTTGAACCCAGGAGGCGGAGGCTGCAGTGAGCCAAGATCGCGACACTGCACCCCAGCCTGGGCGACAGAGAGTGAGACTCTGTCTCAAAAAAAAAAAAAAAAAGTTGTTGGGGGGATGTATCTCTGCCCTCCATCTGAAGAGAATAGGGATCGGGTAGTGCAAAAGAAGGGGATAGAGTTGAAGATTGTAGGGAAAGCAGTGGAAAGCATATTTCATAGAACCACAGACTTGGAAGCAAGGTGAGCTGAGTTCTAGGCCTAGTTCTCCATTGGCACTGCTGTGTGGCTTGGTTTCTGTCCCTTGCACTCTCTGCATCTTGTTTTCCTTTTCTGTATCAGGAGGAGGTGAGCTTAGTGATCTCAAAGGACACTCCATGCATTGGTGACCCTGTGGCTTTGACTTGGCCCTGGGGGCTGGGCTGTAAAGTCTACCTCAGAGAAGGCCCACTGAGTCTTTAAGATACAGGGTCTCACTCTGTCACCCAGGCTGGAGTGCAGTGCCACAGTCATAGCTCACCGCAGTCTCCGACTCCTTGGGCTCAAGCAATCCTCTCACCTGGGCCTCCCAAAGTTCTGGGATTACAGGCATCAGCCACTGTGCCTGGCTGCCCACTGAGTATTTTTTTTTAAGACAGAGTTTCGCTCTTATTGTCCAGGCTGGAGTGCAGTGGTGTGAGGTTGGCTCACTGCAACCTCCACCTCTCAGGTTCAAGCGATTTTCCTGCCTCACCCTCCCGAGTAGCTGGGATTACAGGCATGCGCCACCACACTTGGCTAATTTTTGTATTTTTAGTAGAGACAGGTTTTCACCATGTTCGCCAGCCTGGTCTCAAACTCCTGACCTCAGGTTATCTGCTCGCTTCTGCCTCCCAAAGTGCTGGGATTACAGGTGTGAGCCACCACACCTGGCCCCTACTGAGTCTTGAATAGGGAAGGTGTAGAGACTGCCACCTAGTAGGGGCGAGGATTTCTCTTCCCCTGGGATTAAGGTCATTTTTGGTTGTCCTTGAAGAAGTCACTCTGAGTGTATATAAGGGATTCCTGGGACAGAGCCAGGGGCTCATTTCCCCGTTTGTTCAGTGAGGGGGTTAGACAAGATGGTTTCTGCTGGACTTTATAGCCCTAAACTGCTGAGGCTGACTGGGTTTAAGGGAGACAGAAGAGAAAGGTGAAGTCTGCATTCCTGGGAATGTGGGAGGCCCTTGGAGGCAGGAGGTAGGGCAGGGGCAGGGGGAGTGGCATGGAGTCAAGGGCTGCCAGAGAAAGACAGAGAGCTCCCCTGTCACAGGGGAGCTGGTGCTGCTTTCAGAGCTAACGACCTGCCTTCAGCTGAGGCCTTGACACTGCCTCCACTCAGAGCCCCTAACCCTGCATCGGAGTCCCTGGGGAAGAGTGGATATTCTGGTAGCCTTTCAGCTTCCATCTGTCGGCTGTTTCACTGCCACCTGCAAACGCAGCTCAGAGTCAACCCTGCTCTCCCAGTCTTGGGGCCCGTGGTGTTTCCACGCCTTCCCTCCAAGAAAAACCCAAACTTTTGTGGATGGCCACCTCCCTGTACGCTCCCTCCCTTCCTCCTGTGTAGGTAGAACAATGCCTGCACCCTGGAACCTGGGGATATTCTATGTTACATGGTAAAAAGGAACTAAGGCCAGGCATGGTGGCTCACACCTGTAATCCTAGCACTTTGGGAGGCCAAGGCGGGCAGATCACTTGAGGTCAGGAGTTTGAGACCAGCCTGGCCAACATAGCAAAATCCCATCTCTATTAAAAATACAAAAATTAGCCAGGCGTGGTAGCACGCGCCTGTGGTACCAGCTACTTGGGAGGCTGAGGCAGGAGAATCGCTTGAACTCAGGAGGTGGAGGTTGCAGTAAGCTGAGATCACGCCACTGCACTCCAGCCTGGGCGACAGAGAGAGACCCTGTCTCAAAAAAAAAAAAAAAAAAAAAAAAAAAGGAGCTAAGGTTGCAGATGGAATTAAGGTTTCCAACCAGTTGGTTTTAAGACAGAGAAATTATCCTGGATTATCCAGTAGACCCAAGGTCATCACAAAAGTCCTTAAAAGTAGAAGGAGGCAGAAGTGATGTGACTTGAGAAGACACAACCACAGTTGCTGGCTTTGAAGATGAAAGAAGAAGGTCATGAGTAAAGGAATGTGGGTGACCTCTGGAAGCTGGAAAAAACAGGAAAACAGTTTCTCCCCTAGAGCCTCTAAAAGACAACACAGCCCTGCTGACACCTTGCTTTTAGCTCACTGAGACCCATGGCAGACTTCGGACCTCCAGAACTGTATGATAGGGCATGGTGGCTCACACCTGTAATCCTGGTACTTTGGGAGACCAAGGCGGGAGCATCACTTGAGCCCAGGAGTTTGAGAAGAGCCTGGGCAACATGGCGAAGTCCCGTCTCTACAGAAAATGTAAAAATTAGCCGGGCATGGTGGTGGCGCGCCTGTGGCCCCAGCTATTCAGGTGGCTGAGGTGGGAGGATAGCTTCAGCCTGGGAGGCAGAGGTTCCAGTGAGCTGAGATCGCGCCACTGCACTCCAGCCTGGGTGACAGAGTGAGACCCTGTCTCTAGAAAGAAAAAAAAAAGGAACTGTGTGAGAGGAAATTCATGTTGATTTGACCCACTAAGTGTGTGGTAACTTGTTACAGCAGCATTAACAATGAAGAAACTAGCATAGCAACCATTTGGTTTTCTTCTGTTGATTCAATTGCAGAAAAGTATAACAACTTTTACTTTAACACTTATAGTACACACACATTTGTAAAAATTGCTTTTGTTTCTTTCTGTCTCTCAACCCAGTGTTCTTGCCTTCTTTTATTTTTGGCTCCAGTGTTGTTTTTTTGTTTTTTGCTCCAGTTTTTTTTTTTTTTGCTCCAGTGTTCTTGCCTTCTATCTGTGTATGTGGAGACAGCATAGTGTGAACGTTGGTTATTTGTTGGTAGTGGGATTTGGAGTGTTTTTTTTTTTAGTTTACATCTTTGTGGCTGGGCGCAGTGGCTCATGCCTGTAATCCCAGATCTTCGGGAGACCAAGGTGGGGCGGATAACCTGAGGTCAGGAGTTTGAGACCAGCCTGGCCAACATGGTGAAACCCCATCTCTACGAAAAATACAAAAATTAGGCTGGGCGCGGTGGCTCATGCCTGTAATCCAAGCACTCTGGGAGGCTGAGGCGGGTGGATCACCTGGGGTCAGGAGTTCAAGACCAGCGTGACCAATACGGTAAAACCCAGTCTCTACTAAAAAAATACAAAAAAACTAGCCAGGCATGGTGGCGTGCACCTCTAATCCCAGCTACTCAGGAGGCTGAGGCAGGAGAATTGCTTCAACCCGGGAGGCAGAGGTTGCGATGAGCCAAGGTCGCGCCACTGCACTCCAGCCTGGGTGACAGAGCGGGACTCTGTCTCAAAAAAAAAAAAAAAAAAAATTAGCCAAGCGTGGTGGCGGGCCCCTGTAATCCCAGCTACTAGGGAGGCTGAGGCAGGAGAATTTCTTGTGGGAGGCAGAGGTTGCAGTGAGCAGAGATCACACCACTTCACTCCAGCAGCCTAAATGACAGAGTGAGACTCCATCTCAACAACAACAACAACAAAAAATTGTTATTTTTTTACCAAAACGATGAGGTCATGATTATGTATTTTCATTGACAAAGCATGTGTTGCTACCCATGTCCACCACTGAGTGAGCAACCTGCCCATACCTGATGAGCTCTTCCCAAAGCAAACCAACACAGCCCAGATGCAGCCAGCTGCCTCCTACTCTTTCCTCATCTCACGCAAATAGATAACATTCATCTCTGGCTGTTATAGACTGAATTTTGTCCCCCTCCAATTCATATGTTAAAGCCCCTAGTACTTCAGAATGTGAGTGTATTTGGAGATAGGGCCTTTAAAGATGTGATTACGTTAAAATGAGGTTGGCAGGGTGGGCTGCAATTCAATCTGTCTTGTGGCCCTTATAAGGAGAGGAGATCAGGACACAAACATGGGTGCACAAGGAGGAAGGACCGTGTGGAGACACGGGGAAGAGGTGGCTGTCTACAAACCAAGGAGACGGGCTTCAGAAGAAACCAACCCTGCTGACACCTTGATCTTTGATTTCCAGCCTCCAGACTGTGAGAAAATAAACTCTGTTGTTTAAGCCACCCAGCCTGTGGTATTCTGTAATGGAAATCTTAGCAAGCGAATACGTTGGCATTATCACCTATTTTGCTCCAAAGAAACAACTTTTGGCGGGGCGCAATGGCTCATGCCAGTAACCCCAGTGCTTTGGGAGGATCTCTTGAGGCCAGGAGTTTGAGACCAGCCTGGCCAACATGGCAAAACCCTGTCTTTACCAAAAATACAAAAAAATTAGCCGGGCATGGTGGCACACGCTTGTAAAAAATAATAATAATAATAAATAAAAACATTAAAATGTGTTATATTCTGAGACAGATGATTTAATTAGTCAAAGATACTTCATTTTCACTGTCTTGTAATCTCCCAACAAACCTGAAACCCTGTGACAAGTCAGAATGGCGCTTATGATTCCCCACTGGGCAGAAGGAAAACTGAGTCCCACGGGGGACACATGACTTGGTCAAAGCTACATAGCTAGAATTCACATTTTCAGACTCCAATCCTGAAGCCTTGAGATCAGGAAGATGTGGAAAGGGAGCCAGGAATTCGGTCTTCTCATCTCTGACATAGTCCATCAAATTGCAGTCTTCTGGAAGAATCACATTGGTGTTTGGTCCAGATCTCTAAGATGGCCCCATCCTATCCTTCAGAGAGCCTTTTATAAGTAATGAAAAGCATACAAGACATTTGTTTAAAAGTTGCTAATGGCCAGGCGTGGTGGCTCATGCCTGTAATCCCAGCACTTTGGGAGGCCAAGGCGGGCGGATCATGAGGTCAGGAGTTCGTGACCAGTCTGGCCAACATGGTGAAACCCTGTCTCTATTAAAAATACAAAAAAAATTAGCCGGACATGATGGTGCACGCTTGTAATCCCAGCTACTTGGGAGGCTGAGGCAGGGGAATTGCTTGAACCAGGGAGGTGGAGGTTGCAGTGAGCCAATATCGTGCCACTGCCCTCCGGCCTGGGCGACAGAGCAAGACTCTGTCTAAAAAAAAAAAAATTTGCTAATATTAATTTTATATATTTTTGCCCTCCTCCCCTTCTTTTACAGACAAGGTCTTCTCTGTCACCCAGGCTGGAGTGCAGCAGTGAAATCATAGCTCACTACAGACTTGAACCCCTGGGCTCAAGTAACAAAAACCATAGAAGACATTTGTTTAACTGTTCCTAATTTTAATTTTACAGATACAAGACCAAACCGGACCCTTCCTGGCTCTTTCCATTAACTCAAGATTAACAGATGTGTTATTTAAACATCCCTACTAATGGGAATATGGATCAATTTTAATTTTTTAAATTTCTAATTTAAAAAAATTTTTGTGGAGACAGGGTCTTGCTATGTTGCCCAGGCCGGTCTCAAACTCCTGGGTTCAAGTGATCCTCCTGCTTCAGCCTCCCAAAGTACTGGGATTACAGGTGTGAGCCACTGTGACTGGCCTCAGTTTTTATTTATTTTTATTTTTATTTTTATTTTTTTGAGACAGAGTCTCACTCTGTCGCCCAGGCTGGAGTGCAGTGGTGCAATCACGGTTCACTGTAACCTCCGCCTCCCAGGTTCAAGCAATTCTCCTGCCTCAGCTTCCTGAATAGCTGGGACTACAGGCTCATCCCACCACGCCCGGCTAATTTTCGTGTTTTTAGTAGAGATGGGGTTTCAACATGTTGACCAGGCTGGTCTTGAACTCCTGGCCTCAGGAGATCCGCCTCTCGGCCTCCCAAAGTGCTGGGATTACAGGTGTGAGACCAGCCTGGCTAACATGGTGAAACCCCACCTCTACGAAAAATACAAAAATTAGCCTGGCGTGGTGACGAACGCCTGTAGTCCCAGCTACTTAGGAGGCTGAGGCAGGAGAATCGCTTGAACCTAGGAGGCAGAGGTTGCAGTGAGCTAAGATCTTATCACTGCACTCCAGCCTGGGCAAGTGAGACTCTGTCAAAAAAAAAAAAAAAAAACAAAAAAGAAAGAAAGAGAAAATATTCACCAGTCGCACCTGGGCTGTACAGCCAGGTGAGAGCTCAGAGAACACGCAGGGCCCTGGGACATCAGGGGAGGTATAAGTGGTTGGAATGGGGGCAGGCCCTATGGAGAAGGGATCAGGACTTGACTGTGAGCCACTGCTCATGTAGGGCATGAAGAATGTGGGAGCTTACTCGGGAGGCTAAGGTGGGAAGATTGCTTGAGCCCGGGAAGTCAAGGATGCAGTGAGCTGATATCTCACCACTGCACTCTAGCCTAAGCGACAGCAAGACTGTCTATAAAAAAAAAAAAAAAAAAAAAAAAAAAGTGGGAACTAGAGACAACTCCCGAGCTGGCATGTGAGTAACACTCACCCCCATCTCTCCCTGACCTTTCTAGGTTTGCAGAGAGCCCAGTTGGCAGGGGAAGGTAAAGAAAGAGGTGGAGATGGAATTAGGGGGTGGCTGCTACCTAAACCGTGTTGCTATCTCGGCTCACTGCGACCTCCGCCTCCCAGGTTCAAGTGATTCTCCTGCCTCTCAGCCTCCCGAGTAGCTGGGATTACAGGCGTGTGCTGCCTGGCTAATTTTTGTATTTTAGTAGAGACGGGGTTTTGCCGTGTTGGCCAGGCTGGTTTGGGACACATGACCTCAAGCGATCCTTCCACCTCGGCTTACCAAACTGCTGGGATTACAGGTGTGAGCCACCGCATCCGGCCGCATTTGAAATTATTTAGGAAAATTTAAAGATATGCATCCCTGGTGACCCAGAAATTCCATCCCTCCATGTACACTAAGAGAAGGGACAAGCAAATCAGGAAGTATACTCAATTATCACTAGGTGATACGCTCAGTCCTGAAACTCAGCCAATTAGCAATGGACCCCATGAAAGTCAGCCAAAGTCAGCCAATCAGTGACAGCCCCACCCTTCTACACAACAGCCAATCAGCGAGCAATCCTTCCTGTCGCCGCCATTTTAAAGTTGCACCTCGATAGCAGCCTTACTGCCGTGAGTAGAGGAACATGCTAGAAAGCCCCATGGCCTGCCTCTCCAGCCTCCCGCTTCTCAATGTGTGCCCATCACTGAAGACCTGGCTTCCCAAAACTTTCCCAAAGGTCTGGCTTTGTTCCGGAATATATCGTCTGACAAGTACAGCTCTCCCTCACAAGTAAGCACAAAATTGGCTTTATTTGCATTGAATATCCAGTACAATTTGTGGTAAATTCACGAGTTCTTAGGATTTGTTTATGCATAACGACGTGTAACAGAGCACTGTGAGATGATCAAATTCAATCTTTTCAGTTCTTGGGGTTGCTAGAATCTGTTTTTTGTGTTTATTTAACTCTCCAACTGCTAAAATGTAGGTATAAATTTCGTGATAAATTTTCTGAACAGTAGACATATGTTAACGAGAAAAAAGTCCTTTTGAAGCTCTTTGAGTACTATCCAATGGTTCATTCAATATCAAAAATAGTAGAAAGTCAGATACAAACCAATACAGTCTAGTTAAGTATAAAGGACATACGATTTCCTCAACTCACGCCAAAGAAACTGATAAAATAATAAATTTTTGGCCAGGCGCAGTGGCTCACACCTGTAATCCCAGCATTCTGGGAGGCCGAGGCGGGATCACTTGAGCTCAGGAGTTCCAGACCAGCCTGGTTACCGTAGTGAAACCCTGTCTCTCCAAAATTACAAAAAATTAGCCGGGTGTGGTGGTGCACACCTTTATTCCCAGCTACTTGGGAGGCTGAGGTGGGAGAATTGCTTGAGTGCAGGAGGTTGACGCTGCAGTGAGCCATGATCACGCTGTTGCACTCCAGCCTGGGCAACAGAGCACGATCCTGTCTCTAAATAAATAAATAATTTTTTTTGAAAAGAAAAAGACCTTTAATTAGGCTATTTCGAGTAAAATCCCTTTCAGTTGAGATTTCAGAAAGAACAGAAAATTTTTGCAGAGACTCTTATTAAATTTGGATCTTATGAGAAAAATGTGCTGCTTTTGGTGCTAGAGACTTTGAATTTTATTGTTTTTTTCCAAGAACTGGCATTTGGTTCCATTAATTTTCCCTTCCCCTTTCCCCTTTCGAGTCTCACTCTGTTGCCCAGGCTGGAGTGCAGTGGCACTGTGTTGGCTCACTGCAACCTCCGTCTCCTGCGTTCAAGCAGTTCTCCTGCCTCAGCCTCCTGAGTAGCTGGGACTACAGGCACCCACCACCACACCCAGCTATTTTTATATTTTTAGTAGAGATAGGGTTTCACCATGTTGGCCAGGCTGGTCTCGAACTCCTGACCTCAGGTGATCTGCCCACCTCGGTGTCCCAAAGTGCTGGGATTACAGGTGTGAGCCATGGTGCCCGGCCTCCATTGATTTTCTCTATTGTTTTTGCTTTCAATTTCATTGATTTCTGCTCTTATATTTTTATTTTTTATTGATTTTGAGACAGGATCTGACTCTGCCACCCAGGCTGGTGTGCAGTGACACGATCTTGGTTCACTGCAACCTCCACCTCCCAGGCTCAACTGATCCCCACTGCTCAGCCTCCCTGGTAGCTAGGCTACAGGCACATGCCACCACACCTGGCTAATTTCTTTTTTTTTTTTTTTTTTGAGACGAAGTCTTGCTCTGCCTCCCAGGCTGGAGTGCAGTGGCCCAACCTTAGCTCACTGCAACCTCTGCCTCCCAGGCTCAAGCAATTCTCGTGCCTCAGCCTCTCGAGTAGCTGGGACTACAGGCATGTGCCACCAAACCCGGCTAAATTTTTGTATTTTTTTTTTTTTTGAGATGGAGTCTCACTGTTGTCGAGTCCGGACTGGAGTGCAATGGCGTGATCTCAGCTTCACTGCAACCTTTGCCTCCCAGGTTCCAGCAATTCTCCTGCCTCAGCCTCCTGAGTAGCTGAGATTATAGGTGTCAGTTTTTTGTATTTTTAGTAGAGACGGGTTTTCACCGTGTTGGCCAGGCTGGTCTCCAATGTCTGACCTCTGGTGATTCGCCCACATTGGCCTCCCAAAGTGCTGGGATTACAGGTGTGCACCACAGCGCCCAGCCTGGCCGCCCTTATCTTTATTATTTTATTCCTTCAGGTGTAATTTTTAGACTTTTCTAAATTGGAAATTCAGATAATTGATTTGAGACCTTTCTTTTCTCATGTAAGCATTTTAATGCCATCAATTTTCTTCTGATCACTACTCTAGCTGTATCCCATAGATTTTGATTTGTTGTATTTTCTCATTTTTTTCAATTCACAATAGATCTTTAATTTCCCTTTGGATTTTCTCTTTGGCTCATGGGTTAAAGTGTTTTGTGGCTGGGTGGGGTGGCTCATGCCTGTAATCCTAGCACTTTGGGAGGCTGAGGCAGGTGGATCACCTGAGGTCAAGAGTTTGAGACCAGCCTGGCCAACATGGTGAAACCTTGCCTCTACTAAAAATACAAAAACTAGGCAGACGTGGTGGCAGGCGCCTGTAATCCCAGCTACTGGGGACGCTGAGGCAGGAGAATTGCTTGAACCCAGGAGGCGGAGGTTGCAGTGAGCCGAGATCATGCCACTGCACTCCAGCCTGGGCAACAGAGCAAAAACTCTGTCTCAAAAACAGAAAAAAAAGTGTTTTGTTTAATTTACAAGTATTTTTGGATTTTTCAGATACATTTCTGTTATTGATTTCTAGTTTAATTCCACTATGGTAAAAGAATATATTTTCTGTGATTTCTGAGCTGTTTGTGTATAAGATCTCAGAACACTTTTCAGGGCTGGTTCTCAGGTTATGAGGCCATTCTTTGAGCATTTTTTCCCACTTGCTTTGCCTCCATTAACAGCATGTCCTTTAGGTGGTCTCTCCAGGCAGTACAGGTGGGTCACCTTCATTTTGTTTGTGTCCAGGCCTCTGAATTGTTTTGTGGTCTACGTGGAGTTATGTGGTCTCATGGTGGGCATGGTGGCTCACGCCTGTAATCCCAGTACATTGGAAGGCCCAGGCCAGTGGATTGCTTGAGCCTAGGATTCGAGACCAGCCTGGGCAACATGGTGAAACCCCGTCTCTAGAAAAAAATACAAAAATTAGTCGGGTGTGGTGGCCTGCTTCAGTAGTCCCAGCTACTGGGGAGGTTGAGGTGGGAGGATTGCTTGAGCTGGGGAGGCGGAGGTTGCGGTGAGCTGTGATCACGCCACTGCACCCCAGCCTGGGTGACAGAGTGAGACCCTGCAAAAAGAGTATGTGGTCTCTGTCCAGATTTAATCTATATCCCAGGTGGTGAGGTCTCCGAGCTGTTTTGGAGTCTGCGTCCAGGATATGAGGTATGTAAGGTGTTTGGGATTTGTTTTCCCAGCGTGCAACGTCCCTGAGGTGTTTCGGCCTTTGTGTCCCAGGGTGAGGTCTCTGAAATGTTTGTAGGATTTTGTGACGAGGATGAGACCTATGAAATGACTGGGAATCTATTAAGATATGTTCCATTATTGAGTTCTCTAATTTTGTTTTGTGGTCTGTGTTCAGTGTGAGTTCCCTGAACTGTTTTGGACTCTGTATCCCACGGTGTGAGATCTCTGAGCTCTTTTGTGCTCTGTGTGCAATGATGTGAACTCCCTGAGCTATCTGGGTGTTTCCAGTAATGAGGTCTCATTCTGTTTCACAGCCAGCTGGTACTCTATGGTATAATCGCCTTTAAGCATTTGCCGTTTTCTCCCTTAGTTGTTTGCTCCTTCCATTCTTGTGCACACAGGACTGTGCACGTATGTATGATTATTTCCTTAGAACACATACTTAAAAGTGAAACTGCCACGCCAAAGGAGTCATTTATTCAACAAATCCCCTTTTGAGCACCTACTGTGTGCAGGGCAGTTTCAGGCAGAGACTTTGGGGGGTCTAGAAATACACATATCCCTCCCTACCTTCGTGGTGGTGACATTCCAGTAAGGAGGGGTGTCTGCTTTTTATTTTGATAAATGCTGCCACACAAAGGCAGACTTCCATCAGTGGCCTCGGGAATGAATGCCCATTAATGGGCGGTGGCTCTGCAGCAAGGGTTTGGACGCTTGGGCCTTTGCTCTCAAACGAATCATCAGGGTATGGGGCAGGGACAGTGCTCTGGGGGACGTCGGTTGGGGGAGACAGGGCTGGAACGTGGGCAGGAGGAAGGCATGAAAGAGTCCATTTAGTTCTTTTGCGGTGAACTGAAGATTGATTCACTTGACACTGACATGAAAGAGTCCTTGTCGCACACACAAGGGGAGCGTGAGCGGTGGGAATGAAGGGTTAACGACTAGACTGTGCAGCTCCAGGACCATACCACTACGGTCATGGGAGGTACCACAGGGGAGGGGTCGTGTATTTCGGAAGATACCATTGTACTAGTGGAGACACGAAAGGTCTCCTCATCCCGCGAGTGGATCGGCCTCCACCCTAGACCGAGGAGAGAATGGCTCTGCCTGGACCGACCCCCGCGCCGGGCGGACCCGATCTTCGGCCTAAAGCGTCCACCTGTCTGGAAGCCGCCGCCACCAAGCTTTTATTAATATATCCGTTCCCGCCGGGTTGGCTATACAGATGCGAATCAACTCCGGGGGTGGGGTGAGGAGGAAGGCCGCGGAGCGGCGATTGCTTCCTGGACGAGTTGCGTAGGGCGGGACAAAGTCTTGCCCTGAGCTCTGATTGGTCACCGCGAGACTGCCTACCTAAGCTCTTCCAGGGTACCGAGGTTTTCCGGAATCACTAAGAGGCTACAGGCCGGGTCCTTCGGCTCCGCGTTCCTATTGGCTGCTGTTTCGGCGCAAGCGCTTTGGCTCCTGGGTTGGCGTTCAGGGTTGCCGAGGCAGGGCTTTGGCTACTGGAGATCGTAGGTTCGAATCCCGTCTGGGAAGTTCAACTTGTGCACCTGTAAAAGAAGCTGGCATTATTGGCTTGTACTCAAGGGCTGGCACAGAGTGTGTCGGGTAATCTTTTCCATTTTCTTTTACCTATTCTTTCTTTTTTTAAGCAATGCCTATTGCATCCCATTATATTGATTTCAGGACCCACTCACCGTTCACAACAGCACTAAGAAAAATTCTTCAGGGTCCCTGGCATTTGTCTTTCAGGCTACCTGTAGGTCTGAGTCCAGCAGATAAGATTCAAGGTGATCTCATGATCCTCCTCCAGGCCAGCCCCCATCTCCCAGAAGAGGGTGATTTGGAGGCTTCCCTCAGGACCAGGCCTGACTAGGAGTGTGATGGGGTGGGCTATAAGTGATTAAAAGAGAGATGCATGGTTTCACGCTCTGGGATGCTGAAGAGCTTGTGGCAACTACAAGGAGAATTTTGGAAGGTGGGGGCAAGACTTAAAAGAGTACGCTTTTAAATGATGGGATTTTAAACATCAGACAGGGGAGGTGTTTGGCTGGTGAGGTAGGTAGGTAGTAGGAAGAAAGTGATTCTCAAGTCAAGTCAGCTCATCATAGGGTAGTTATTACACTCTGCAGTTTGGAGGACTGTGTGCAGGATGTGAAGTCTGATTTGTTTTGGAATCTCAGTTCAGGGTATGACTTATAAAAAGACTGTGAAGTCTCTTTGCTGTTTGAAAATCTGTGTCTCAGAGGTTTAGGTGTTTGAGATCTTTGTGGGTCTCTGTCCCAGGGTTGGTTTCTTTTTTCTTTCTTTTTTTTTTGTTTTTTTTTGTTTTTCTTTTCTGTTTTTCTGTTTACGTTGGTCCAGAATGTCCCAAGGTTTCTAAGCTGTTTATGGATCTTTGTCCCCGGATGTGCAGAGTTTTTTTTTCTTTTCTTTTTTTGTGTGTCTTTACTTTTATTTATTTATTTTTGAGACAGGATCTTGCTCTGTCACCCAGGCTGGAGTGCAGTGGTGTGATCTCGGCTCACTGCAGCCTCAACTTGCCAATCTCAGGTGATTCTCTCACCTCAGCCTCCTGAGTAGCTGGGACTACAGACACGTGCCACCACACCCGGCTAACTTTCTTTATTTTTTGTGGAGGTGGGATTTTACTATGTTGCCCAGGCCTTTTTGTATGTTTTTAGGGGCAGGGTCTCTCTCTGTTGCCCAGGCTGGAGTGCAGTGGTGCAATCATGGCTCACTTCAGCCTCGACCTCTGGCTCAAACAATCCTCCCACCTTAGCCTCCTGAGTAGCTGGGACCACAGGTGCGTACCACCACACTTGGCCCGGCTATTTTTTTTTTTTCTTGTAGGCTGGGCACGGTGGCTCACACCTGTAATCCCAGCACTTTGGGAGGCCAAAGTGGGTGGATCCCTTGAGCCCAGGAGTTCGAGACCAGCCTGGCCAACATGGTGAAACCCTATCTCTACAAAAAAAAAAAAATTAGCCGGGTATGGTGACACGTGTCTGTTGTCCCCAGCTACTCAGGAGGTCAAGGCTGCAGTGAACTGTGATCTCACCACAGCACTCCAGCCTGGGCAACAGAGCAAGACCCTGTCCCAAAATAATTTTTTTTGCGTGTGGAGACAGGGTCTCCCTCTGTTTCCTAGGCTGGTCTCAAACTCCTGGGCTCAAATGATACTCCTGACTCAGCCTCTCAAAGTGTTGGGATTACAGATGTGAGCCACCACACTCAGCCTTTTTTTTTTTTTCTTAAAATTGATTTTCATTTTTCTTTTATTGGCATTTCTGTGACTGCTAGAAGGGCTTAACATTGTTTTCTGTGCTTGTTGGCAAGATGTATCTAAGTTTTGTTTTGTTTTGTTTTGAGACAGGGTCTCACTATGTTGCCCAGGCTGAGTACAGTGGCATGCACATGGCTCACTGCAGCCTCGACCTCCTGGGCTCAAGCAGTCCTCCCACCTCAGCCTCCTGATCTTGAGTAGCTGAGACCACAGGCATGTGCCACCACACTCCACTAATTTTTTTATTTTTTGTAAAGACCACGTCTCACCATGTTGCCCAGGCTGGTCACGAACTCCTGGACTCCTGTCTTACCCTCCCAAAGTGCTGGGATTACAGGCATGAGCCACTGCACTTGGCCTTATTTAAGTTTTCTAAATTCCCTTTTACGTCCTGTGATCATTTTTGTTAAAATTTTTATTTTATTTTATTTTTTGGACACAGGGTCTTGCTTTGTCACCCAGGCTGGAGTGTACTGGCGTGATCATGGCTCACTGCAGCATCGACCTCCTGGGCTCAAGCAATCCTCCCACCTCAGCCTCCCAAGTAGCTGGGAATACAGGTGTGTACCACCACCCTTGGCTAATTTTTGTATTTTTGTAGAGAAGGGGTTTCACCATATTGCCCAGGCCGGTCTCCAACTTCTGAGCTCAAGCGATCTACCCACCTCAGCCTCTGAAAGTGCTGGGATTACAGATGTGAGCCACTGCGTCCAGCCTTTAACATTTTTTAAATTTTAAAAGCATTTTAGACTTAAAAAAATTATAAAAATAGTGCAGAGAGTTCTTATATACTCTTTTTCTCCTAATGCTTACTTATATAATCTTAGTACAATTTTTAAAATCAGGAAATGAATGACACGGTTATTTATGAGCTGTTGTTCACCGGTTTGTGTCCAGGGTGTGAAATATCTGAGCTCTTTGGACCCAGAGCTCTCTTGGGTTTTGTGTCTCATGATGTGATGTCTCTGAACATTTGGTATATGTTTTTAGATGCTAGGTCTTTCGTCATCTTGGTAGTCTTTGTCCCAGAGTATGATGTCTTTGACCTGTTAGTAGTCTCTTTAGGCTTGTCTTCTCTGGGCTGTATGGGCTTCCATGTTCAAGGTGTGAGGTTTCTGAGCACTTTGAAGGACTATGTTCAAAGATGTGTATACTGTCAGCTGGTTTTTATTGTCTTCTATCAGAGATAATGAGGTCAATAAAAACTTTTCGGTTCTGTATCCAGGGCAGGGTTCCTCAGCCTTGGGACTGTTGACATTTTGGACCAGAAAATTCTTTGTTATGGAGGGCTGTTCTGTGCATTGTAGGGTCTATTGTATTTGTTTACTAGGGCTGCTGTCATGACAAAGTACCACAATCTGGGTAACTTAAATAGCAGAAATGTATTGTCTCACAATTCTGGAGGCTGGAAGTGTGAGATCAAGATGTTGGCAGGGTTGGTTCCTTTGGGGCCTATGAGGGGAATGTGTGCCCTGCATCTTTCCTAGCTTCTCATGCCTGCTGGCAATCTTTGCTGTTCCCTGGTGTCTGCTGCATCACCCCATCTCTGCTTTCATCTTTACCTTGCATTCTCCCTGTGTGTCTTGTGTCCAAATTTCCGCTTTTTATAAAGACACCAGTGGCGCAGGATTAGGGGCCCACTCTACTCCAGCATGATCTCTAACTTAACTAATTACATCTGCAACAACCCTATTTCCAAATAAGGTCACATTCTGAGGTACTGGGGTTTAGGACTTCAACGTAGGAATTTTGAGGGGACATAATTTCACCCATAAGAGACGTTTAGCATGAGAGAAAAAGGGAGGGAAGAAGGGAGCAGCCTCTGACACCCAGAAGCAGGCCCGGCCCCCATAGGTAGGCCATGTTATTCTCCTAACGGACGTGAACAATCTCACAGAATACCAGCGTCAGGTAAGGTTAGTCTGAGACCATGATAAAATCGACAGAGCTTGGCCGGATGAGGTGGCTCACGCCTGTAATACTAGCACTTTGGGGGGTTGAGGTGGGCCGATCGCTTGAGCTCAGGAGTTCGAGACCAGCCTGGACAACATGGTGAAACCCCGTCTCTACAAAAAATACAAAAATTAGTCGGGCATGGTGGTGGGTGCCTGTAATCCCAGCTACTTGAGGGACTGAGGCCAGAGGATTGCTTGAACCCAGGCATTTGAGGTTGCAGTGAGCCGAGATCATGCCACACTGCACTACAGCCTGGGGATAAAGTGAGAACTTGTCTCAAAAAAATAATAAAATAGGCCGGGTGCAGTGGCTTACGCCTGTAATCCCAGCACTTTGGCAGGCCGAGGCGGGCAGATCACGAGGTCAGGAGATCGAGACCATCCTGGCTAACACGGTGAAACCCCGCCTCTACTAAAAATACAAAAAATTAGCCGAGCGTGGTAGCGGGCACCTGTAGTCCCAGCTACTCGGGAGGCTGAGGCAGGAGAATGGCGTGAACCCGGGAGGCAGAGCTTGCAGTGAGCCAAGATCGCGCCACTGCACTCCAGCCTGGGTGACGGAGCGAGACTGTGTCTCAAAATAAAAATAATAATAATAATAATAATAATAAAATAATAAAATAGAGCACAGCCACTTTATAATGTTGTTTAAGCACAAACAAAAATAAGGATTCACTGTGTTGCCCATAAAATACTAAACATTCTCCTCTCTTGGTTAAAATGAGTGACTGCCACTTCCTTACCAATGACAGCGTTAGCCTCACTCTAGTCTGCCCTCCCTATAGATAAGATTTATTGAAATACCCAATTGTAAAATTGCCCTTGTTTTCTGACAGCATCTAATCTAGAGTGAGCCCCCACTTCCTTAGACCCTACCCCCAAATCACTCAATCAAACCCGACCACCCCACACTTCCCCATGGAGTGCGTTCTCCCTCACTGCAATGAGTAATCATCCCAACTTGTTCCACTACAGGTATGTTCCTGGGTGGGGCGGGGGTCTTTGGCTAAAGGACACTGGCAAGCTGTATCCCTGGCTTCAACTCACAGATGACAGTAGCACGCCCGCAACACATATTTGTGACAGCCAAAATGTCCTTAGATATTGCCAAATGTTCTTTGCGGGGCAGAATCGCCTCTGGTTGAGAACCACTGGTCTGTGGGGTATGAAGCGTTTGAACAATTTAGGGGTCTTTGTCTGAGGTTTATGTTCTCTGAGAGGTGTTTGGGTCTGTGTCTCAGAGTGTGAGGTCTGTGGTCTGTATTACGGTTTCTGTTCCAAGGTTTGAAAGCTCTGAGCTCTTTCGGGGTGCTATATCAGGAATTAGTGACCTTTTCACATACCAAATCCAGACATGAGGTATGTGTGACATCTCCTTTTCCCTCTGCCTGGACCATATGCCAGTTCAGAAAGGCAGTGAGGGTTGGGTGTGGTGGCTCACGCCTATAATCCCAGCATTTGGGAGGCCAAGGTGGGTGGATCACTTGAGGTCAGGAGTTTGAGACCAGCCTGGCCAACATGACAAAACCCCGTCTCTACTAAAAATACAAAAATTAGCCGGGTATGGTGGTGCATGCCTGTAATCCCAACTACTTGGGAGGCTGAGGTTGCAGTGAGCCGAGATCGCACCACTGCACTCCTGGGCGACAGACCAAGACTCTGTCTCCAAAATAAAGAAAAAGAAAAAGAAAGGTGGTGAGAAGTAGGAACCCCACAATTGGTTGTGAACTCCTCCAGTACACATTAGGATCGGGATTCACAGCAATCCCAGCCTCTTTGTCTAGACCAGCAGGCTTCCCTGGGCCACATTGGAAGAATAATTGTCTTGGGCCACACATAAAATAGCTAACACTAACGATAGCTGATGAGCTAAAAAAAAAAAATCGCCAAAACATCTCATAATGTTTTAAGAAAGTTTACGAATTTGTGTTGGGCCACATTCAAAGCCGTCCTGGGCTGCATGTGGCCCATGGGCCTTGGGTTGGACAAGCTTGGCCTAGACCATAAAGTATAAATTACCAACTTCCTTCAGAACCTATCTCGCCCTCTGTTCTGGAGGGCACAGTTTCCCTTGACACTGTTTGTGGAGATTGTGTTGTAGGGAGATGTTTGTTCTGTGTCTCCTGACATCAGCCACTGAGTGGGGACCCCCATCTCTCAGGATGGACGTTGCTCAGATGGATGTTGGAGTCCATCTCCCCTTAGGCTTTGATCACACTGATGATAACCCAGAACACATGGACTTTGGAGCCTGATAGACCCTCTTTCAAAGCCTGGAACCCCCAAGTCCTGGTTGGATGGTAGGAGAGTCTAGCGTTTTGGATCATCTAAACCTTGAGCTGCTGAGGTTTTTACAAGACTGGTAAGAATCGGTAGGACAATGCACAGTCCACACACGCTCTCCTGATTTCAGTCCCTTCCCCCTAATCCCACACCCCTTCTGAAAGTAGAATTCAGGGCTGGGGGAAGGGAAGCAAGCAATCCATATAAATGCCAGGGGCCAGTGTGGGCTTGGGACTGTCTCAGTTGGAACTTAGGAATCATGTGCACATGTTGTTTAATGTAAATGTATGTTGGGTTTAAGAAAGAGTAAACACTCCCCAGAATTGTGTCTTCATCTCTAGTAAATCCACAGTTTTACTTCAGTTGTTCTCTTGAGAACATGCATAATAGATTGTGCACCATGAGGCAAGGATGCACAGTGAGAAAAAACTTTGTTCCTCTTCTGAAAACTGTGCTTATGAGACGGGTTTATACATTTATGTGAGAGGCAGGGTATGAGCTCCAGAGAAAGACTTTAGGGGAGGATGCAGGGCCCCAGTAGCTCAAAGTAGTCTCAAGAGAAATAAAAAATAGTTTGGACTAAATGAAAATCAAAATAAAACTTACCAAATTTGTGGGATGCAGCAAAGCAGTACTTACCTAGAGGGAAATTTAAAAGGCACTTATGGCTTCTGCTGTACTTTTTCTTGGATCACTGACTAGTAGAAGCCAGCCATCATTCGAGGATGCTCAAGCAGCCAAAAGCCGGTAAATTTGGGGGTTATTTTTTATGTGGCAATAGATAACTCATAAGAGGTGTTTCTGAGCTCTTTGATGGTCTGTCTGGAGTTCGAGACTTTGGAGCTTTTTCGTGGTCTGTATCCATGCCATGATGTCTGGGTCTTTTGGGCATTCTATGTTTCGCATTTTTAAGTGACCTTTTGGGGTTCTCTCTCTAGGTTTTTAGATCTCTGAATTATTTGGGAATCTATGTCCCAAAGCATGGGGATTCTGGGCTGTTTTTTTCTGTTCATGTTCAGAACGTGATCAAGTCCAGAATTTGAATTATCTGAGCTCTCTGGCAGTCTGTTCTGGGTATGAGGTCACTGGGGTGTTTGGCAGTCTGTGTCCCAGGTTCACATCCATGCACTCTTTGGAGGACGGTGTATTGTTTCTGTTTATTCTTTGAGGTATATGGATTTCTAAGTCCCAGGAAGAGACATCACCAAGGTGACTGGATTCTGCATCCAGAACACTAGGTGTCAGCTGTTTGGGCCACTGAGTCCCTGGATATGAAGTCTTTAATGTGTTTGAGAACCTGTGTCCCGACTTTGATATTTCTGAGTTTGAGGGCAGAGGGAATCAGTACTCTGCACTGTTTATGAGTATATATCTCAGGATGTAAGGCTCCCAAACTGTTTGTGAGTATCCCTGACATTTATGTCACAGTATATGAGATCTCTGTTCATGGGTGTATATACCAGGGTGTAAGGTATCTGAGCCCTTTGATCGTGTGTGTCCAAAGTTGTGGGGTCTCTAATCTGTTTGAGTCTATATTTCCCAGAATAAGAGATTTCTGATTTTTTTGTGGGTATATATTCCAAGATGTGAGTTCTGTGATCCATTTGGAAGTATATTTGAGGTTTCCGTTCTGTTTGTGGGTATATGTCCAATGGTGTAAGGTTTCCAATGTGCTTGTGAGTATTCATCCCAGGGTATGAGGCCTCTGATCTGCTTGTCATTATACAATGACAAGATGTGAGGTCTCTCTTCATGAATGCATGTCAAGGGTTTGAGGTCTCTGATCTGTTTTTGGTTTTATGTCCCGGAATGTTAGATCTCTGATCTCTTTGTGGGTGTATGTGCCAAGGTGTGAGTCTCAGCTTTTTGTGGCTATATTTCCCTAGATGTTATATTTCTGAGCTTTTCTGGTTGTATTTTTTTAGGGATGTCAGTACTTTAATCTGTTTATTTGGTGTGTGTTGGAGAATATGAGGACTATTCTGTCTGAGGGTGTATGTCCTAGGGCATGAGGTCTCTGCTATGACTGTGGGTGTACATCTCTGGGTATGAGGTCTCCAAAATGTTTGTGGGTATATTTCCCAGGATGTGAGTTCCCTGAGCTCCTAGTGGGTGCATGTAAGGTCTCAGATCTGTTTATCCCTGTATATGTTCCTGTATATGTGAAGTGTCAAGGGTATGAAGTCTCTGATATTTTTGTGGCTATATGTTCCAGGATATGAGGTTTCTAATCTGTTTGGGGGTGGATTGCTCAGAGTGAGTTCTCAAGTATGTTTGTGGTTATATGAGCTAGGATTTAAGTATCTGATCTTTTTGGGTGTGTAAGTCCCATGGTGTGAAGTCTCTGAGCTCTTTGATGGTATATATGCAGAGGTGTGAGATGTCTGATTTGTTTGGTGGTATATTTCCCAGGATGTGAGGTCTCTGATCCATTTGTTGCTGTATACTAGTATGTGATTTTCATTGGTGTATGTCAAAGTCAGTTTGTTGGTGTATTTCTCAGGATATGAGGTCTCTGGTCTGTTTCTGGATGTATGTTCCCAAGTAAGAAGTCTCTGATCCATGTGCCCACATATGTCTCTGTATGTAAGGTCTCTGATCTGTTCATGGATACACTGAGTTTGAGATCTTTCATCTGGTTGCAGGACAGGCAAGCCCCAAAGTTGAGGCTTAGCTCAGGAGGGTTCTTGGCTTTGCCTAGGAAGGAATTCAAGAGTGAGCTGGTGGTGTTAAATAGCAGCTTTTATTGAAGCGGCAGTGTATAGCAGGAGCAGATGTGCTGCTCCTTGCAGAGAAGAGCTACCCATAGGCAGTATGCCCAAAGTAGCAGCTCAGAGGCCGTTCTGCAGTCATATTTATGCCCACCTTTTAGTTACATGCAAATTAAGGGATGGTTTATGCAGAAATTTTAGGTATCTGGGCTATTTCTGCAAGTATGTCCCAGGATGTGAGGTTGAGGTCTCTGACATGTTTGTAGATGTATTTACTAGAATAGAAGATCTCTGACATGTTTGTGGATGTATGTCCCAGTGTGTGAGGTCACTGATCTGATCTGTGTTTGTGCATGTATGTCCCAGGATTTTAGGTCTGTGATGTGTTTGTCATTGTAATTATCAGTATGTGAAGCATCTTTCATGGGTATATGCTAAGAATAGAAGTTCTCTGATATGATTGTGATTGTATGAACCTAGGTATGAGTTCTCTTATCTGTTTGTGGAGTATGTCCCACAGTGAGAGGTTCCTGAGCTGGTTGGGGGTTTATTTACTAGGATATAAGGCTTATGACCTTTTTCTTGTTGTGTGTGAGGTCCGTGGCTATCGTTGTATCATTGTGTATCCTGGTATGTGAGATCTTTTTCATGGGTGCATGTAAAAAATGTAAGGTCTCTGATCTATTTGTGATTATATGTCCCTGCATATTAGGTCTCTGATCAGTTTGTGGATTTAATTCCTACAGTTTGGCATCATCAATCTGTTTGCAGGTGTATGTCCCATGATGTAATGTCTGATCTTTTCGAGGATGTGTGAGGTATTTCATCTATTCCTCAGTGTGTTTCCAAACATGAGGTCTCTCAACTGTGTGACAGTGTATGTTCTGTGATTTGAGGCCCCTATTTTTTTTTTACAGGTTTATTCCCAAGGATATGAACTCTCCTGTCTCTTTTGGGTGGTATGTCACAATTTGAGAGGACTGATTCATTTCTGAGTTGATTTCCCAGTATGTGAAGTCTCTGATCTGTTTGTGGTATATACTGCAGAATTTAATTTTTATTTATTTATTTATTTATTTAAGATGGCGTCTCGCTCTGTCGCCCAGGCTGGAGTGCAGTGGCGCGATCTCGACTCACTGCAGCCTCTGCCTTCTGGGTTCAAGCGATTCTCCTGCCTCAGCCTCCTGTGTAGCTGGGATTACAAGCATGCACCACCATACCCGGCCAATTTTTGTATTGTTAGTAGAGACGGGCATGTTTGTGCATGTTGACCAGGCTGGTCTTGAGCGCCTGATCTCAAGTAATCTTCCTGCCTCAGCCTCCCTTTTAAAATGCTGGGATTACAGGTGTGAGCCACCGCACCCAGCCTTAGTTCTTTATGCATATACATACCAAGCTTTGAGGACTCTCACATGTTTCTATATATGTTCTGGATGTACCTAATATAATCTGTTTAGTTGTGAATGTCCAGCGTGTGGGGTTTCAAAGAGCCCGTAGTGAATGTATATCTTTTGGTCTGAATCCTCTGATCTCTTTGTGGGTACATGTGGGTTCCTGTTCCTGGATATGAGCTCTATGATCTCTTTGTGGGTGTATGTCACAGGTTATGAGATCTATGATCTATTTCTGACTTTTTTTCATAGCATGTCTGGTTTCTGATGTGCTTGTAAGTGTATGTTGCAGAATTTAGGATCCCTGGTCATATATAGTCTCTGATGTGTTTTGGAGTATATCCCATAATATGAGCTCCCTTATCTGTTTGTTGGTGTACATCTCAAGAGTGTGAGGTCTCTGATATCTTTTTTTTTTTTTTTGAGACACAGTCTTGATCTGTCACCCAGGCTGGAGTGCAGTGGCACAATCTCAGCTCACTGCAACCGCCACCTCCCGGATTCTAGTGATTCTCCTGCCTCAGCCTCCCAAGTAGCTGGGACTACAGGTGCCCGCCACCATGCCTGGCTAATTTTTGCATTTTTAGTAGAGGTGGGGTTTCACCATGTTGGCCAGGCTGATCTTCAACTCCTGACCTCAAATGATCCACCCACCTCGGCCTCCCAAAGTGCTGGGATTACAGGCGTGAGCCACCACGCCCGGCCGTCTCTGGTATCTTTATGGGTATATGTTGCCGGGTTTGAGGCCTGTGGTCTCTGTGTGGTTACGTGTCTAAGTTATGAGGTCTCTAATCTGTTTGCTGATGTATATCCCTGATCTTTTTTTTTTGTAGGTGTATGCCTAATGGTGTGAAGATTCTGATCTGTTTTCTGGTAAATGAACCGGGTTGAGATAAGTCAGACATCCTTGAAGGAGTTTTTTCAGAATGCGAGTTCCCTAATGTTTCCGAATACATATCCTAGGATGTGATGTCCCAGGGCTATTTGTGGATATATATCCCAGGTGTGAGTTTTCTCAGCCATTTATGGATATACATCCCAGGTTGGTAGATATCTTAGGCTTTTGGCATTATTTACAAGCATATGAGATTTCTGATTTGTATGCTCATATACATAACAGGTTGCAAGGCGTATTATTTGTTACAGTGTATACATCCAGGGTATGAGGTTTCTGAGCTCTTTGTTGGTGTATGTCTCAGGGTCGAGGCTTTTGATCTGTTTGCAGGTATATGTCCCAGGATCGTAGCTCTCTCATCTCTTTGTGGGTGTGTACCCCAAGATATCAAGTATTTTTAATTATTCTGAGTGTGTATTTGCCAGGATGTGAGATCGCTAACATGTTGTGGGTTCTTGTTGCAGGATTTTAGACCTGATCCATTTTGGTTATATTTCTCAGATGAAGTCTCTGATCTATTTGTGTGTGTATGTTACAGTATGTGAGTTTAAAAAAAAAAACCTCGGCTGGGCATGGCGGCTCACACCTATAATCCGAGCACTTTGGGAGGCTGAGGTAGAAGGATCACTTGAGCCCAGGAGTTTGAGACCAGCCTGGGCAACATAGTGAGACCCCCGTCTGTACAAAAAATAAAAAATTAGCCAGGCTTGGTGGCGCATCTGTAGTCCCAGCTATTGGGGAGGCTAAGGTGAGAGGATCTGCCTGAGCCTGGGAGTTCGAGGCTGCAGTGAGTCTTTATCATGCCACTGCACTCCAGCCTGGGTAACAGAGTGAGACCCTGTCTGAAAAAAAAAAAAAAGTCTCTTTTGCTTGCTTATCAAGGGTATGAGGTCTGTTCTGTTTGTGGGTGTATGTCCCAATTTGTGAGATCCCAGAACTGTTTGTGGGTGTATGTCCCAGAACACGTGTGTGTCTGCTCGCTCTTTAGATGTATGTCTCAAGGTAGGAGGTGTGTGATCACTTTCTAGATGTATAACTCAGGATGAGGTAAGTGAGCTGTTTGTGGTGTGTGTCCCAGCATTTCAGGTCTCTGAGCTTTCTGGAAGTGTGTGAAGTCTCCCATTGTTTGTGCATGTATGTTTTTGTTGTGTTGACTTAAGGCCCCCGAAGATGCCCATGTCCTAATCTTTGGAAACTGTGATGTGACTTTACATGCTAAAAGGTACCTTGCAAACAGCATGGATGGAGCTGGAGGCCATTATCCTAAGTAAAATGACTGAAACAGAAAGTCAAAAACTGCATGTTCTCACTTATAAGTGGGAACTAAACAGTGGGTACACATGGATATACAGAGTAGAATAATAGACACCGGAGACTCCAAAAGATGTGAGGGTGGGAAAGGGGTGAGGGATGAAATACTGCCTATTGTATACAGAGTACATTATTCCGGTGGTAGGTACACTAAAAGCCCAGACTTCACCACTACACAAGATAGCCATGTAACATAACTGTACTTGTACACCTAAATCTATAAAAATTTATATCTAAATATATAAAAATTTAAGTGTTTGCTTCAGCAGCACATATACTAAAATTAGAATGATACACAGAAGATTAGTATGGCGCCTGTGCAAGGATGACATGCAAATTCGTGAAGTGTTCCAGAAAATTTTTTTAAGATTAAATTATTTTAAAAATGTTTATTAAAAACATTTTTGAAAGGCCAGGCGCAGTGGCTCATGCCTGTATTCCCAGCACTTAGGAAGGCTGAGGTGGGCGGATCACTTGAGGTCAGGAGTTCGAGACCAGCCTGGCCAACATGGTGAAACCCTGTCTCTACAAAAAATACAAAAATTAGATGGGCATGGTGGTGCACGCCTATAATCCCAGCCACTCGGGAGGCTGAAGCAGGAGAGAGAATCGCTTGAACCCGGGAAGTGGAGGTTGCAGTGAGCAGAGATGGTGCCACTGCACTCCAACCTGGGTGACAGAGTGAGACTCCATCTCAAAAAAAAAAATTTTTTTTAAAAGGTACCTTGCAGATGTGATTAAATTAAGCATCTTGAGATCGGGAGATTTTCTTGGATTTTCACTGAATATAATGACACAGACTGAGTCAGAGACAGCGATATGATGACACAAGTGTTGGGGGTGTGGGTCCCAGCTCATGAAGTCCTTGCGCTGTTCATGGGAGTATATCCCAGGAGGTGAAATCTCTAATTGTTTGTGCACACCAGTCTGTGGTTGGCTGAATAAAGCATCCCTCAAAGATGTCCAGTGAAAGAGATATGACCAGGGAGCCCTAAATGATGGAAGGGAATGTGATGGTGGAAGCGGAGTCAAAAAGGAGATGCCACAACAGAGGTAGACATCAGAGAGCATTTTGAAGATGAACTGCTGTCCGCTGTGAAGATGGAGAAAGGGGGAAGGGATGAAGGACTGCAGGCAGCTCTAGAACCCAGAAAAGGCAAAGAAACGTGCTCTTCCTTAGAGTCTCCAGAAAGAAGACAGCTCTGTTGACACCTGACTTTAGTACCCTAAGGCCCATTCTTGGGTTTCTGCCCTACACAGATGTAATATAATAAATAAATTTGTGTTTTTCACAGCACTAAGATTGTGGTGATTTGTTACAACAATAAGAAATGAATACTGTGTCCCAGGTGCATGATGTCTCTGTCTGGTTGTTAGTGCAAGATGTGAATCCCCAATCTGTTTGTGAGTGCATGTCTTTTATTTATTTACTTATTTATTTATTTTTGAGATGGAGTCTTGCTCTGTCGCCCAGGTTGGAGTGCAGTGGCACGATATCGGCTCACTGCAACCTCCGCCTCCTGGGTTCAAGTGATTCTTCTGCCTCAGCTTCCCCAGTAGCTGGGATTACAGGCATGTGCCACCACGCCTGGCTAATTTTTGTATTTTTAGTAGAGGACAGGGTTTCACCATGTTGATCAGGCTGGTCTCGAACTCCTGACCTCAGGTGATCCACCTGCCTCGGCCTCCCAAAGTGCTGAGATTACAGGTGTGAGGCACCACGCCCCGCCGAGTGCGTGTCTTATGTGGCAGATCTTTCATCTGTGTGTGGGTGTATGAACCAGGGAGGAGGTCTCTGACCTGTCTGAGGGTGTCTATCCCTCAGTTTGTGTTCTCTGAGGTTTCTGCAGGTAGTCTCAGGATATGAGGTCTCTGACCTGTTTGTGGGTGAATGTCCTAGAATGTGAGGTCTCTTGGCTGATTTGGAGTGTATGTTCCAGTAAGTGAGATCTCTGAGGTAATAATAATATATATAATAACCTATATAATATATAATGTATATGTTCACAATATTTATAATTGTGCATTATAATTATTATATGATATTATATCATATCAATATATTAACATATAAGCATATGTTAAGTATATATTATATATACATAATAGTATATATAATATGTTAACATATTAACATGAACAGATAACTATATAGTATATATTATATTTATATATAATATACCATAATATATTATATATTGTATTATATTGTGTAGTAACAATATATATTATATTATGGTATATTTCACAATATACCATTCACAATAAATATTGTGACTACATTATGCATGGCTTGAGGTCTCTGATATTTTTGTGGGTTTATATCCCAAGGATATGAACTCTGAATTCTCTGTGGGTGTATTCTGAAGATGTCAGGTGTATACTCAGTCTCTGGCTGTTTGTTCTAGAATGTGAGATCTCTTCTTTGATTGTGGGTGTATGTTACAGGTTGAGATCTCTGTTCTGTTTGTGGATGTCTTGGAGTGTGAGGTCTCTGATCTGTTTGTGAGTAATGTATTGCAGGAATTGTGGTCTCTCATCTCCTTGTGGGTGTATTTCTCAGATGAGGCCTCCATTCTGCTTTTGCCTTTATATTGCAGTATTTAAGTTTCTAATCTCCTCATGTGTGTTTGTCAAGGGTGTGAAGTATCTTCTGTTTGTGATTATATGTCCCAGTGTGTGAAGTCCCCACCCTCTTTGTGGGTATATGACACAGAACATGTGCTTCACTTCTTTCTTGGATGCATGTCCAAAGGTGGGAGGAGGTCTCTGATCCCTTTGGAATTATATAACATAGGAGGTGGAGTCTTTGAGTTGCTTATGTGTGGATACCTCAGCAAATGATGTTTTTCATTGCTTGTAGATGTATATCTTAGGTTGGTGGAGTGAAGGTTCCCATCCTTATATCCCTGGAATGTGTGACTGTGACCTTACATGTTAAAGGGTCCTTGCAAATGTGATTAAGTAATCATCTTGAGATGCGGGGACGGTTCTGGATTTCCCAGGTGAGCCCAGTGTAATCACAAGGGTCCTTAGAGGAGAGAGGCTGGACAGTCCGAGTCAGAGAAGCAGATGTGATGCCAGAAGCAGATATCAGAGAGATAGAGATTTGAAGATGAAATGCTCCTAGCTTTGAAGGTGGAGGAAGGGGCCACAAGCCAAGGAACGCAAGCAGCTCTAGAAACTGGAAAAGGCAAGGGCACAGATTCTCCCCTAGAGCCTCCAGGAGTAATGCAGCTCTGCTGACACTGTGATTTTAGCCCTTTGAAACCCATTTTTTTCTTCTGACCTGCAGAAAAGTAAGATAATAAATGTGTGTTGTTTTATGACATTATGATTACGATTTGTTACACATTGATCTCTGTTTATTGGTACACATCCCAGGATGTGAACTCCATGATCTGTTTGTGAGTGTATGTCTGATGGTGGAAGTCTCTGATCTGTGTGCAGTTGTATGAACCACATTGAGAGGTCTCTGAATGTTGAGGGTGTGTGTCCCAGAATCCGTGGTCTCTGAGCTGTTTGTGTGTGCATGTACTAGGATGTGACATCTTTGAGCTGATTTTTGGGAGTACATTCCAGTAGGTGAAGTCTTTGAGATATTTAAGGATTATGTTCCAGGTTGTTACGTCTGTCATCTGTTTGGGGGGTATTTCCTGTGACATGAGGTTTCTGATTTGTTTGGTTACATATGTACCAGGATGTTAGGTTGTTAGGTGTCTGGTCTGTTTAGGTTTATTTGTCTAGGGTGTGAGGTTTCTGAGCTCTTTGTGGATGTATGTCTCAGGATTGAGGCCACTGATCTGCTTACTGGTAAAGAAATGTCCCAGTCCATGAGCTCTCTGATCTGCTCGTGGTTCTGTGTTATGAGATGTCGGGTCTATTTCTGGTGTTTTCCTAACCTGTGAGGTCTCTGACTTCATTGGAGTTGTACATTGAAGGATTTGAGATCTCTGTTTGTGGGTGTGTGTCTCAGGAGTGTATGGTCTGTGCATTGCTTGTGGAGTATATCCCAGGATGTGAACTTTCTGATCAGTTTGTTATATATGACTCAGGGCCTGAGGTTTCTGATCTGTTTGTGGATTGTGTTGCAGAGTTTGATGTCTGTGGTCTCTTTGTGGGTTCATGTACAGGTTGTAAGGCCTCTACTCTGTTTGTGGGTGCATATCCCAGGATTTCAGCTCCCTGACCTGTTTGATGCTGAATGGCACATAATCTGAGGGCTCTGCGCTATTTTTGGTATTTGGGGTCTCTGATCTGTTTGTGGTTACGTGTCCATGTTGTGAGGTCTGTTATCTATTTGTCAGTATATGTGCCAGGATGTGAACTCCCTGATATACACGTAGGGGTGTATCTGATGTGAATTCTGTGATCTGTTTGCAGGAGAATGAACCAGGGTGGAAGGTCTTTAACCTCTTTGAGGGTATGTGTCCCAGAATATGAATTCTCTGGTCTATTTCTGGATTCATGTCCCAGGATGAGTGATCTCTGATCTAGTTGAGTATGTGTGTCCAGGGAAGAAAGTTTGTGAACCCTTTGTGGTTTCAGGTCCCGTGGCCTGAAGCCTCTGATGTTCGTGGATACATGTCCAGGTTGTTATGTCTCTGATCTGTTGGTATATGTCTCAGGATGTTAATTCCCTGATCTGTTTGTGGGTGGTGTCTGATGGTGTGAAATGTCTGATGTGTTCACTGGTGAATGAACCACTGTGTGAAGTCTTTGACCTTTGTTGAGGGTTTTAACATAGGATCTGAATTTTCTGATCTATTTGTAAAAGCATGCCCTATGAGATGTTTGATCTTTGAGCTCTTTATGGATGTACATCCCAGGATGTGAGTTCTCTGAGCTGTTGGGGCATACATGTTCTAATGTTCTAGGTTATCAGACCTCTGAAGTTTTTTTTTAGTTATATTTCCAAGCATATGTGATTTATATGCTGACATATATATTCATATATATATGTAACAATATAGCTGTCCCTCAGTATCTGTGGGTTGGAGGAATTGGTTCCAGGACCCCTGTGGATACTAAAATCCGTGAACACTCAAGTCCCTTATATAAAATGGTATGGTATTTGCATGTAACCTATGTAAATTCTTCTGTATACTTTAGATAATCTCAAGATTTCTTATAATACCTGATACAATGCTACGTAAGTAGTTGTTATACTACATTGTTTTTATTTGTATTATTTTTACTATGTTTTTAAATTATTTTTTTCCTCAGTGTTTTTGATCCAGACTTGGTTGAATCCGAGGGCTGATAGTAGATATAACATATATATATATTGTGTGTGTGTGTGTGTGTATAATATATATACCTGATTTGTTGAGGTGTGTATGTGTCCAAGCTGTGAAGTTATTGAGCTATTTGTGGGTTATTTCCCTTGGTTTGAAAACCTCTGACCTATTTGGGAGTATGTCTCAGAATATAAGCTCTCTGATCTCTTTATGGGTGTATGTTGCAAGATTTCAGGTCTGTGATCTATTTCTGGCTCTTTTCCCTAGCATGTGAGGTCTATGGCTTGATTATGGGTCTGTATTGCAGGATTGAGACCTCTGATTTGTTTATGGGTATCTAGCTCAGGTTGTGAGGTCTCTGATCTGTTTGTGGCTTTATGTCTCAAGATGTCAGGTCTGTATACCTATTCTGCATATATATCCTGCAGGTAAGGTCTCTAGGCTGTTTGTAGTTTCATGTTGCAGGATTCAAGGTCTCTGATCTCTTTTTGGTTGTGTTTCTTACATGAGGTCTGTGATCTGTTTGCTAGTGAATGTCACAGTATGTGAGTGTCTCTTTTGTGTGTATTTGTCAAGGATGTGAGGTCTAATTCAACATGTCCCGGATTGTAAGATACCTAACCTGGTAGTGGGTTTATGTCTGAGAATGTTTCTTTCTGCAGTGTGTGTGTGTGTGTGTGTGTGTGTGTGTGTGTGTGTGTGTGTGTGTATGTCCCAGGTTTGGAGATTTGATCTGTTGGGGGTGCATTTTGCAGCATGTGGGGCCCCTGATATCTTCGTGGGTATATATCCTATCATGTCAGGTCCATGTTTTCTTTGAGTGTGTATGTCCCAGATGGTGAGTTCTCTTATGTGTTTGTGAGTTTAATTCCAAGTGATTGAAGACTCTGAGTATTTTTTGGTATATGTCCCAGAATGTGTCTCTGCTCTTTTTGGATGTCTGTTAGAGAGTGGAGGTGTCTTATCTATTTGGAAGTGTATGACTCAGGATGTAAAGTCTGTGAATTGTTTGTGTGTGTATGTAGGTCTCTGGTAGCTAATGGTACCCCAAAGATGTGCACTTCCTAATCCCTGAAACCTACAATTATGCTAATTTACATGGAAAGGGGGACTTTGCAGAGGTGATTGTGAGGGACTTTGCAGAGGTGACTTTGTGGAAGTTAAGCATCCTGAGATGGGGATGCTTATCCTAGATTAACTGGGCAGGCCCAATGTAATCACAGGTGTCCTTATATGAGGGAGGCGTGAAGGCAAGAGTCAGAGAGGGCTATGTAGTGATGGAAGTACAGAAAAGATGATGGACAACATATACAGAGATCAAAGAGAGCTAGAGATAGATGGATACAAGGAGAGACAGATGGGGGAGGAGGAAGAAAGGGGGGTGGGGAGAGAGACAGAGAGAGAGAGAAAGATTTGAAGGTGAAACAGACCTCTGGCTTTGAAGATGGAGGAAGAGGCCATGAGCTCAGAAATGTAGGCAGCCTACAGAGACTGGATTCTTTGGCCAGGCGTGGTGGCCCACGCCTGTAATCCCAGTACTTTAGGAGGCCAAGGTGGGTGGATCACGAGGTCAGGAGATCAAGACCATCCTGGCCGACATGGTGAAAACCTGTCTCTACTAAAAATACAAAAATTAGCTGGGTGTGGTGGCGCGTGCCTGTAATCCCAGCTACTCGGGAGGCTGAGGCAGTAGAATCGCTTGAATCAGGGAGTCGGAGGTTGCAGTGAGCCAAGATCGCGCCACTGCACTCCAGCCTGGCGACAGAGCAAGACTCTGTCTCAAAAAAAAGAAAGAAAGAAGAAAAAGAAAAAAGAAATTGGATTCTCCCCAAGGAACTCCAGAAAGAAGTCAGCTCTGCCAACACCTTGACTTTTACCCTGTAAGACTCTTTGTCAGAAATGTAAGATCATAAGTTTTTTTTTATTTTTATTTTTTTGAGACAGAGTCTCACTCTGTCACCTAGGTTGGAGTGCAGTGGTGCCATCTTGGCTCACTGCAACCTCTGCCTCCCAGGCTCAAGCGATTTTCGTACCTCAGCCTCCCGAGTAGCTGGGACTACAGGCGCCCGCCACCACTCCCGGCTTATTTTTGTATTTTTAGTAGAGACGAGGTTTTGCCATGTTGGCCAGGCTGGTCTCAAACTCCTCGGCTCAAGGGATCCACCTACCTCAGCCTCCCAAAAGGCTGGGATTACAGGTATGAGCCACCCCCAGCTGAGTGAGATAATAAATTTGCATTGTTTTATGACAAAAAGCTTTTAGTGATTTGTTTCAGCAGCAATAGAAAATCAATAGTGTGTCAGGTTGTGCTGTCTCTATCTGGTTGTCAGGATGTGAACTTCATGATCTATTTGTGAGGGTGTGTGTCTGATAGTGGAGGTCACTGATTTCTGTGCAGGGTCTCTGATCTGATGACCTATTTGGTGGTGTGTGTCCCAGAATTTGTGCTCTCAGCTTTTGTGGAGGAGCGTATGTTCTAGGATGGGACATCTCCAATCTGATTTTGTGTACATGTGCCAGTGTGTGAGTTCTCTGATCTGTTGAGGTGCGTATGTCTAGGGTGTAAGGATTCCAAGCTCTGTGTGAGTATATTTCCTTTTGCTTGAAATTCTTGCCCTGTTTCTGGGTTTATGTCCCAAGATGTGAGACTCCCTGATTTGTCTGTCTCTGTGTCATGGTGTGAAGCCTCTGGTATGTCTGCTGGTGAATGAAGCAGAGAGTGAGGTCTCTCACCTCTTTTTTTTTGTTTGTTTTTGAGATGGAGTCTCACTCTGTTGCCCAGGCTGGAGTGCAGTGGTGCGATCTTGGCTCACTGCAACTGCTGCCGCCCAGGTTCAAGCAATTCTCCTGCCTCAGCCTCCCAAGTAGCTGGGACCACAGGCCCGTGCTACTATGCCTGGATAATTTTTGTATTTTTAGTAGAGATGAGGTTTTGCCATGTTGACCAGGCTGGTCTCGAACTCCTGACCTCAGGTGATCCGCCCACCTTGGCCTCCCAAAGTGCTGGGATTATAGGCGTGAGCTACCGCGCCCAGCCTCTCACCTCTTTGAGAGGGTTCTCTCAGGAAGTGAGTTCTCTGATCTGATTCTGAATGCTTAGCCTAGGATATGAGGTCTTTGATCTGTTTGTGGGTATATATCCCTGGCATGAATTTTCTGAGCTGTTTTGCCAATATTTGTGGGTACTTATGATATGCATATAAAGTTTCTGGTTTGTGTGCTGGTATTTATAGTAGAAGTCAGGTTTTGTTGTGGTACATGTATCCACAATGTGGTTTTGGAGCACTCTGTGGGAGACCTGTGATCTCCTCTTGGGTCTATACCAAAGACAGCAGGTCTCTGTACTTCTTCAGGAGTATTTTCTGCATATGAGGCCTGTGACCTGGTGTTTCATGTCGTGGTATTAGAGGTCTCTGGTATGGTTTCTGGTTGTGTTTCTCAGATAGGTTCTCAGATAGGTCTCTGATCCATTTGTTCGTGTGTGTCATCGTATGTGAGTGTGTCATCTCCTCAGGGTGTTTATAGAGGGTGTGAGTCCCATTCTTTTTGTGGTTTTATGTCCAGTTTGTGAGGTTCCTGACCTGTCTGTGGGTGTCTGTCAATGAATGTGTTTTTTTGTGTTCTTTGTGTCTGTGTCTCAGAGTCAGAGATCTGGTATGTTCGAGGGTGTTTGTCCCAGAATGTGGGGTCCCTGATCTCTTCGCTAGTGTATATCCCAGCGTGTCAGGTTCCGGTTCTCTTTGAGAATGTACTTGGCAGAGTGTGGTTCTCTTATGTCTTTGTGGGTTTAATCCCCAGGGTGTGAGGACTATGAGCATCATTTGGCGTATGCCCCAGAGTGTGTGGCTCTCTGATCTTTTTGGATTGATGTCCAGGAGTGGGAGTTCTCCGATCCCTTTGGAGGTCTATGACTCCAGCTGTGAGATCTGTGAGCAGTTCATGGGTGAAAGTCCCGGGATGTGAGGGTTCTCTTTGTGCATGTATGTTCTGTTTCGTCAGATAATAGATCCCCAAATATGTCCTCACCTCATTCCTGGAGCTTGTTAATATGTTGTCTTATCTGGAAAGGGGGCTTTGCAAATACATATTAGGTAAGCATCCTGAGATGGGGGCAGTTATCCTGGACAATCCAGGTGGGCCCACTGTCATCACAAGAGTCTTTATATGAGGAAGGTAGGACCTTCAGGGTCTGAGAAGACTGTGTGTGTCACATCAGAGAGGACCATGTGACAACAGAAGTAGAGTCACAGAAGGTGATGCGATGACAGAAGCAGAGGTCAGAGAGAAATTTGAAGCCAAAACTGTTGAATCATCTGATCTCTTGGGAGTTATGCTGTAAGATGTCATGTCTACCATCTGTTTCTGGGTGTGTTTTTCAGCACATGAAGTGTGACTGGATTATGGTTGTATACTGCAGGATTTGAAGTCTCTGATTGTTTTTGTATGCTCCAGGATGTGAGAGCTCTGAGCCATTTGTCCATGTACGTTGCTGGAGTGGAGGTCTCTGATCTGTGTGGGTGCATGTCCACGTTGTAAGGTCTCTAATCCTTTTGTCAGTGTATATCCCATGATGTGAGCCCTCTGATCTGTTTGCAGCTATATTCGTAAGATAGTTATCTGTATGTTTCTGGGTATGCGTGTGTGTCGGGGTCTGTTATCTGTATTCTCTTTATGGGTGTGACCTCCCCTAGATGTGAGGTCTCTGATTTGTTTGTCATTGTATGTTCCAGGATGCAAGATTTGTGAATGGTTTGTGGGTGTGTTTTGCAGGATTTTATGTCTGTGATCTATTTGAGGTTGTGTGTCATAGGATGTGAGGTTTCTGATCTTTTTCTGGGCAAATTTCCTAGCATGCGAGGTCTGTGAACATTTTGTCAGTGTCCCAGGCTATGTTATCTCTGATCTCTTCACATGTATTGCCAAGTGTTTAATGTCTCTGATTTGTTTCTTGCTGTTTGTTCCAGGACGTGAAATCTCATACTGTCTGTGGATATGTGTCCCAGGGTGTGTGGTCTCTGATCTGTTTGTGGGTTTGTATATCCCAGTGTTTCATTACTGTCTGTGGATTTATTTCCCAGGATTTTTTAGTGTATTTCCTAGGATGTGCATTTCTCTGGTCTTTCTCAATGTATATCCCACAGTGGACAGTATCTGTTCCCTTTGTGGGTGTATATCCCTTGGTTTATGATCTCTGATCCTTTGTGGGTTTATATTTTAGGATGTGAAGTCTCTATTGTGACTGTGGGTGTGTGTCCCAAGACGTAAATTCTCTGGCCTCTTTTTGGGTTTATGTTCCAGGATGACAGGCTCTATGTGTATTTCTAGCCTGCAAGGTCTATTACTTATTTGTGGGTGTAAGTCCAAGGGTATGAATTCTCTGATCTCTTTGAGGGTCAGCGTACCAGAATGTCAAGTCTAGTTTGGTTATGGGTGTATGTCAAGATGTGAGCTCTCTGATCTCCTTGTGGTTGTATGTCTCAGGATGTGAGGGTTCTGATCTGTTCCTGTATGTTTGTCAACAGTGTGTAATCTCTGATCTGTTTGTGGCTCTGTGTCCCAGGTTGTGAGGTTCTGACCTGTCTTTCTTTCTTTGTCCCAGCATGCGAGATCTCTGAGGTGTTTGGGTTTATGTCCCAGGAATTGAGTCTCTGGTCTCTTTGTGAGTGTGTGCCTCAAGTAATATGTGAGGTCCCTGATGTAGTCTTTGGTTTATTTCCCAAGGTGTGAGTGCTCTGATCTATTCATGGGTATATGTCCTGGCATGTGAAGTGTCTGGTATTTTTATGTGTATATGTCTCAGGGACTGAGTTCTGTGATCTGTTTGTGGGTATAAGGCCCCAGATGTTAGTTCTCTGAAATATTTGTGGGTGTATATCTCAGCTTGTGTGGTTTTTGATCTTTCTGTGAGTATGTCACAGGATGTGAGGTCCCCGTTCTTTTTGGGTGTGTGTTTCCTAGAATTTGGATTTTCTGAGCTGTGTGTGTGTGTGTGTGTGTGTGTGCGCGCGCGCGCGCACATGTCACAGGGTTGAGGTCCCTGGTCTGTTTGTTGGTGTATGTCCAGGATGTGAGTTCTCTGATCTCTTTGGGTGTGTACGTCCCACAATTTGAGGCCTCTGAATTAGTTGATACTCTGCATCCAGCATATTAATTCTCTGAAATATATTTTGGGGTCTATACCCTAAGTCTCAGAAGGATTCTGAATCCTGAATGCGAGGGTTCTGCGCTTTTTCTGGTCTACATTCCAGGGGGGTGAGTTCACTGGGCTGTTTTGCGGACTGTGTTTACCTTGTGAGGTCTCTGAGCTGTTTGTCCACTGGTGTCCTAGGATACGTGGTCCCTGAGCTCTTTTGGTTTCAAAGTCCCTTGACCTGTTTGGGATATATTTTCAGGCGTGAAGTCTCTGTTCCTTTTCAGAGGGCTCAGTCCCGGGGTTTGATATATCTGACTCATTAGGGGTTTGTTCCAGGGTTAAGGTCTCTGAGCTTGTAATGGGTGTGTGTGCGCCAGTGAGTGAGTTTTCTGAGTTGTTTGAAGGTCTATAGGTGTGAAATTTCTTAACTCTCTGGTGGTTCCTGTGCAGAGTATGATGTCTCTGAACTATTTAGCAGTCTCTCTTTTCAGGTGTGAGGTGTTTGTACCCTTGTATGAGAACTCTGATGTATTTGAGTATCACCGCCAAACTGTTTTGAGCCAATGTCCCAACAAATGAGTTATCTGTGATGCCGTGGGTTTTGTCCTAGGGTTGATTTTCCTGAGCAGTTTCAGGATCTGTTTCCAGAGTCTGATGTCTTTGTACTAATAATGTCTTTTTACTGTTTCAAGCCTCTGGAGTGCTTCACCCTCTGTGTCCCAAAGTGTCAGATCTCTGATCTCTGTATTCCTTGGTGTTGAGGTCCCTCAACTGTTATGTTTCCAAGAGTGAGACAGTTCCTGTTGAGGGAGTCTCAGTCCCAGGGTATGAGGTCTGTGACTTATTAGGGGTCTGGTTCTAGGGTTTGGGGTCTCTGAGCAGTTTGGGGTTCTGTTATCAGTTTCTGACGTCTCTCTAGTATTTGGGGGTCTATGCCCGGGTTGTATGTCACTGGGTCACTCGGCTGTTAAGGGGTCTGTATCCTAGGGTGTAAAGTTTGTCAACTCTGAGCATTTTTGCATTGTCTGTCTGCTGTGTGAGGTCTTTGGCATGTTTGTGGGTTTACTTTTCAGGTTGTGAGGTTAACTCTTTGAGGGTTTGTGTCCCATAATATGAGGTGCTTGAGCTGTGCGGGCATACTTAGCCAGGATGTGATATCTCTGAACTGTTTTCATGTCTGTCTCCCAGGTTAGAAGTTCTCTGAGTCATTTGGGAGCCTGTGTCCACAATGTGAGGTCCTAAGCCGTTTTGGGTCTGTGTTCCAGTTATGAAGTGTCTCTACTGTTTGTGGCCAACTTTGCACAAAGGTTTCAAAGCTGTTTGGTGATCTGTGTCCATGACTATCAGCCATCTGAAATCTTTCCGGATAAGGACAAAGGGCAAGTTCCATGAATGGTTTTGAGGACTGAGTCCAGGATGTGATATTCCTTAAGCATTTAGAGGTCTGCGTTTAGAGTGGGAAGACTCCGAACTGTTTGGGGGTCTGAGCCTAGGATATGAGGTTTCTAAGCTGTTTGGGGTCCGTGTCCAGGGGGTGTGATCTCAGTTCCTCAGGGTTTTTGTCATAGGGTGTGAAGTCTTTAAGCTCTATAGAGGGTTTATGTCCACACTTTCAGGTCTGTGGGGCCTCTGAGCTGTTTGGGGATCTGTCTCGGTGTATAAAGGCTGTGAGCTATTTTGGGGAACTCTATGTCCAGTATATGACATCTCTGAACAGGAATCTGTGTCCAGGGTGTGAGCCTCTGAGTAGTTTTCGGGCCTGTGTTCCAGCATAAGTGATTTTAGGGCTCTCTAGCATTGTGTCCGTGGTGCGAGGTCTCTGGGCTGTCTGGTGGTCTGAGAAGAGGTTGTGAGGTCTCTGAACTGTTGGTCCATTTTTGTCCCAGTTTGTGAGTTCTCTGAGAAATTGGTGGATCTTTATCCCTGATTGTGAAGTCTCTGAGTTTCCCGGAGGTCTGTAATCAGATTTCCACGTCTCTGAGCTCTTTGGGTGTGGGGTTACAAAGTGTGAGGTCTCTGAAGTGTTTGGTATTGTCTGTTATCAATAGAATAGAAATATATTGATTACTAGGCTGCCTTGGCTTTGAACTGTTGAGGGGTCTGTGTCAGAAGGCGTGAGGTCATGTTTGAGCTGTAAACAGATTTGTTTCCCAGGTATGAGTCCTGTGAGCAGGGTCTGTTTCCAGGCTGTGAGATCTCTAAGCTCTTGGGGTCTGCTTCAAAGACTTGAGTCTAAGTTGTTTGTGGCACTATATTCACGTGTAAGGTCTCTGGGATGTTTACTTGTCTGTTTTCTAGGGTGTCTCTGAGCAATCTGTGGGTCCCTATACAAGGTATGAGTTTTCAGAACCATTTAAGGATCTGTTTTCAAAGGGCGAGGTATCTCGGGTGTTTGGGCAGTCTGTGTCCAGGGTGTGCCAGCTCAGTTGTTTGGGGGTCTGTCCCAGGATACTAAGTCTCTGAGCGGTTTGGAAGTCAATGATCAGGGTGTGGAGCCTCCAAATAGTTTGGGTAGTGACATCTCAAGTTGTAAGGTCTTTGAGATGGTTGTGCATCTCTGTCATCAAAGGAAAGGTCTCTGATGTGTTTAAGGTCTGAATCCCAGTATATGAGGCAGTATGTGAGGTCTAAGAGCTGTTTAAGGGTCTGTAGCCCATAGTTTTCAGTGAAGCCTGTGTTACTTGCGGTGTGTCCAATTATGAGAGCTCTGAGATATATGTAGGTGTGTATCCCAGGGTATGAGGTTTCTGAGAAGTTTGGGGTCAATATTCAGGGTATATGGTCTATAAGGCCTTATACCCTAGATGCCCTGTGTATGTCCTGGTTACCCTGTGTATGAGGTCTCTGGGCTTTTTGGGATCCTGCCACCTCTGTATGAGGTCTTTGAAATATTTGGGTATCTGTCACGGCACGTGAGGTCCCTGAGCAAAAACAAAGAGCACTGGCTCCCTTTCAGATTGAGAGATGATGAAAATGAGTAAGTATATCTGAAATGTGGTCTTCATTCTCCACTTTATACCCTGGCACCATATAGGTGCTCAATAAATATTTGCAGAAAAAGTTTCCCCAGCACACACAAACTTTTCATTTTGAATGCTGGAGGCAGATTTTGGGTTCAAAGCCTTTAAGAGCAGGGAAGGTCCAGCTAGAATATTATCACATTTTAACCTTTCCATTGATGTATTCCTCTGGTTATTTTTGTTTGCTTATGGCAAGTGATTATGGTTTTTCCATTTAGACAGCAGTGGATTTGGTTTTCTCCCTCCCCACTTTGCTCCACTCCTTCTACCCTCCCCCCCACCCCCCCAGTGCTGTATAGTCCCTGAGGCCTGGGCACTTGGTCAGGCAGGAGGTGGCAGGGTCTCAGCCAGACATTACCAGTCATGGCTGGTCACCACCAATCATGGCCAGTCAAGACTGGTCAAAGCTGGTTATGGCTAGTCTAAGTTGGTCAAAGCTGATCACGGCCAGTCAAGGCCAGTTACCAGAGATCATGGCTGGTCAAGGCCAGAAACCACTGGTCATGGCTGGTCAGGATGGGTCAAAGCCAGTCATGGCCAGTCCAAACTAATCAATTATGGTCACAGCCAGTCACAGCTGGTCCAGGTTAGTCACAGCAGGCCAAGACCAGTCAAGGCTGGTCAAAGCTGGTCAAAACCAATCCATTTCAGTCCCTGCTAGTCCAGGCCAATCCAAGCCAGTCCAGGCTGATCACAGCCAGTTTAAGCAGTCAAAACTGGTCAATCCCAGTCCAAGCCAGTCCTGATTGGTCAAAACGAGTCGAGGCCAGTCACGGCTAGCTACCACCAGTCACAGCCAGTCATGACAAGTCAAAGTCGGCCAACACAGGTCAAGATCGGTCAAGTCCAGTCAAAACCAGTTACGGCCAGTCTAAACCAGTCAATTTAATTGCATTGTTTTGAGACAGGGTTTGGCTCTTTTCTGGAGACAGACAGGCTGGAGTGCAGTGGTGAGATCTCAGCTCACTGCAACCTCCACCTCCCAGGCTCAAGCAATCTTCCCACCTCAGGCTCCTGAGTAGCTGGGACTACAGGTACAGGCACATGCCCCCACACCTGGCCAATTTTTGTATTTTTAGCAGAGACGTGGTTTCACCATGTTGCCCATGCTGGTCTCGAATTCCTGAGCTCAAGCGATCTGCCTGCCTCGGCCTCCCAAAGTGCTGGGATTAAAGATGTGAGCCACCACACCCAGCCTTAAGTGCATTTTAAAGTTTAAGTATAAAACAAACTTATTTTAGGTCAAGATGTTATATAGATGATGGTGTAAGTGATATGCTGTGGGGGCTGAAATTGTGAGGATTAGAGTCAAATGGCTGAGGTTTGAGGAACATGTTCCTGGGCAAACCCAGCTCCCAGCCTCTATCCCCTCAACCCCCACCCACACAAGCACCTCACATCTTGGTTTGTTCAGTCGACAGTTCATTTTATTGATGCCCACTCCAGGCTGCATAGGGTTGAGGGGTGTACAAGAGGAGAACCAGATTCAGTCCATGCCTGGAGGTTAGTCTGGGGGGCCGGCGGGATGGACACACAGACAGACACATAGATCTGGCATCTGATAGCAGGGCATACAGTCTCATGTAGGGGCACTCTGGGCACAGGTAGTCAGGAAGGACTTCCTAGAGAAGTCCTCACAGGGGGTGGGGGAGCAAGGAGCAAGGCAGCCATCAGAACCTTCGCCTTTTGTACATTTGTAGGCAGGTGACTTTTGAGACCAGTGGAACCAGGGTGAGCACAAAGGGCTGGGGTCTGGGAATGGCAGGCAGCAAGGGCTTCCCTCTCGCCTCGTCATCCCATAGTGGGGAAGCCATCTCCCCCACCCCCAATTCTTGGCCTGTACTTTGCCTTCTGCCACATGGGCCCTTTCCTGGCATCCACCTCCGTGGTTTTCAAGGCTTCCCTGAGACAATCCACGTGGACCAGGTGCTCTACCCAGTGCCTGGCACCTCATCACCACCCCATCAATGCACATTCTTGTCCTAAGTGCTATCTACGGACTATCTAGATCTTGGTTCCAGCTCTGAGTGGTGTCAGCGGTCATGACACCCCAGGTCAGGGCCCCTAGCAACCGCAGAGCTCCCAAGAGCCCTAGGTACCTTCACTGCACTGTGAAGGCAGAGCTTGGTCCCAGCCTACCTCCAGGGCTGGCCAGCTCTGCACTGCCTTCCTCTCACTGCTCAGTGGCCCATGGA
Source organism: Homo sapiens (assembly GCF_000001405.40). Lineage (NCBI taxonomy): Eukaryota > Metazoa > Chordata > Mammalia > Primates > Hominidae > Homo > Homo sapiens. The sequence goes on along the minus strand of NC_000023.11, from coordinate 48,708,226 downwards.
CACCCACTTCCCTTCCAGTGGCATGTGGGCATCCACTTCTCAGATATGCAGCCCTGAAGAAGAGACCCTACAGCTCTTAGGGCCAACACTACCCAGCACTGTAAGCACGAGCAGAAACCAGCCTCAGCCCGTAGCCCAGGGACCCCCTTTCTTTCACTAGTACAAAGTTTCTGTGGTTGGGGAACCAGCTTCATGTCGGGCTAGGCACTCTGGCCTCTGATGTCTGCCTGCTCTGGGGTTGCTTCCCCATACCTTTGGGGCAGCAGGGAGGAGGCCTGCAGCAGACCCCTCAATCTCCAGGCAGAAGCAGGTGCAAAAACAAATATATTCTGGGGCTGGGTTGGGACTCACCCCTTGGACCTCCTTAATAGGCCATGAATCCCAACGACAGAGAGTCTTGATGTTGAAAAACTATTTCTGAAGGTGGGTGGGGGTTTGTAAGTGCAACCCACAGATGGGGCTGGGACAGGGAAAGGGGACTCCTGGAGTCGGTCCTCACCACGGCCACAGCCCTGAACGTAGAGCAGGTAGGAGCAGGTGGGGGCAGGTGGAGGCAGGCGAGGCCCTGGCAGTCATTCTCGACAGGAGGGCAGCAGTGGGGGAGGTGCATGTAGCTTCAGGCCCCCTCAGTCAGTCTGGCCTCAGACTTCTAAGGGCTAGAAGAGGTATTTGCGGCAGGACTCAGTCCCACACTTGCATTCAATACGGACCCGCTTCTTAGGGGAGCCAGGGAGCCCAGCCAGGCCAAAGTTGGAGTCCATGCGGGTGCTCTCCATGTCCACGGGGTCCACTGTGGAGTCACAGCCAGGGAGGAGAGGAGGGAAGGAGGCAGGGAGGGAGGGGGAGAAGGAGGGAGGGAGGAAGGTAGGGAAGGAGGCAGGGGACTTGTTAGAAGGCCTGGATGAAGGGTCCCACTACCCTTTATACCATGAGACCAAGGATCTTTGGGGCTGGGAGCAACTCTGGGATTTGAGTTGGGAGATCTTAGGGTTGGTGGTTTGGGGCTAGGGCCAGGGCTCAGCACTGGAGGTTGTTCAGGCCAGGGGTTGAAGAATGCTGGGGGAGGCAGGGAGCCGTCAAGGAACCAGGAGGGTCGTTTTAGGTGTGTGGGGGGGGGCAGGGGCAGGAATAGAGGGCCACCTGGGCATCCAGAGGTACATCTGAACTCTCCTGCCAAAGACCTGCCCTTGAGGGTCTCAGAGGTGGCTAGCTTATCAAGGAGGGGACTGGCTGGAGGCCACAAGGGTGTCCAGAGGCTTGGGATGAAGAAGGCCAAAGGGAGCTAGGAGTGGGGAGGGGCTGGGGGATGAGGGAAACTCAGTCAAGACTGGAGTCAGGAGTTTCTTAACTCTCCAGGAATCTTGGGAGAAGTTGGTATGAATGCCTCAGGGTTAGGGTTCAGGGGCTGGGAATGAGGGGACTCGAGGGGTAGGCAGGGGTCTAGTAGTCCGAATGGGGGACTGGGAGTCAGGAAGAGCATCTTAAAGCTCCCGCTAAAGAATTTTCCTTGGTTCTCTGAGTGACTGGTGTGCCTTTGGGAGGGGTCCTTGTGTCCCAAGTCACAGTGCGCCCCTGCCCCCAGTCCCTTGCCACCCCCACCTTGCATGTTGTAATCAAAGGTGAGCTCCTCGCCTGCCCGGATGGTTCTTGTGGCAAAGAAAGCGATGCGGGGCAGCCGCTCGTCAAGGTTGTCTATGAAGACGTTGTACACCTGCAGGTTGGGGTCACACTGGGCGAGAAAGAACAGTTGGGAGAGTGAGGAGGGGCTCCAGCCTGCCCCTCTCGACCCCTTGCCCGCCTGCCGGGGGTACCCACACTGTGGTTGACAAAGTGGGAGATGTTGCCATAGTAGGCGGCATCCACGGTGTACACGTCCTCCACGTAGTCCAGGTCAAAGAGGTAGGTGGCGCCCTGACGGTCGTAGATCTGGCCCCGCCGCTCTGCCTCCTCTGAGGTAATGATCTAGGGAAAGGGCCATGGGTAAGGGGAGATTGGCCGCGAAGTCTCAGGAAAGCCGGCACTGCTCCTGACTTCTGAAGGACAGGGAGCAGGAGGCACCCCTGCCCGTGGACACACATGGGCAGTGACGCAGAGAGTCTGTCGGCCCTTCCTGAGGAGCTGGGCCTCAGCTGGCAACTGCCTGGCCCGCCTCAGGCCTCTGGCTAGCAGGAGGAGTCCCTGGCGGTGAGTGCAGGCTGGCCTGGCTGCAGGGCCCAACTGGGGCCACGCGAGCACCTCCTGCCGCCACCCAGCAAGAGCTGCCCAAGAACCCCTGGAGCCTCCAGTGCCTTGGGACGGAGCAGGAAGGTGATCAGGAGAGACCAAAGCAAGGGCAAGAAAGAAAGTGACCCAGGGTGCCACAGGGAGAGATACTTACTGATCCAGGCAAGGGAGCCTGAGCCCATGCAGGACCCAGCAGGGAGGGCGTGGAGAGAGGGGAAGAAGAGACCCAGGCCATGGGGAAAGGGGGCAAGGGCCTCAAGACAAGAGAGGTGGAGGCAGAGGCAGAGGGAGGCCCAGGTTCAGAGAGCCAGAAAGAGGCTGAGGCCACACACTTCAGAGACAGCAGCAGAGGAGGAGGAAAGATGAAGGGAGAGCACAGTGAGAGAAGCTCTCCCTCGGCCCAGGGCTGCGCAGTGCCAACTGGTGCTTCAGACGGCAGTGGGTGCCTCCTCCCCAGCTGGTTCCCTACCTGTCCTAGGAAATGGGAAGCTTTGCTGCCATCCTAGCCCCAGCCTGTCCTTGCCTCCCAATCCACGCCAACAAATCTCCGGCCCCATGGCCCCTCTTCCCTGAGGCCAGCAACGGCAGCCTCCTGCCAATCCCCAAGCGTAGCTGACCAGGCCCTTCCCTGGGTAGGGGTCCCACTGTACCTCAGCCAAGAACAGTGCACAGCACACAGGAGACACATGGGGACTGCTGTTTACTTTGATTCTGCTTCCTGGCTTAGCAGCCTGTCCTCTGTCCAAGTGGCGGCCCTCCAGGTAGCTCCAGTACTCCCCCGCCACACTTCTTCCTTCCCCTCCCTTCTCCAGAGACCCCTCTCGGGCTTCCTTCCTTGCTCACCCTCATGTGGGCCGGTGACCATGCCCTTCTGACTTGGGAATCCATCTCCTTAGCTAGGATGGCCACACTGGTGTTCTCCCTGGCTGTCCCCTCAAGGCTGTGTTCCATGCCAAAGGCTGACTAACAATGCCTTGAGGAAACCAAGATTTACCCTGCCTCGGGCCACACTACCCACTGCCCCGTGCTCCAGTTCTGTTCCTTGAGGAACCTGGCTCCCTTGCCAGGGTTTTTATTGAGGCCTTCCTTGTGCCCAGTCCCAGCATGCAGGGCTCACGGTCTGATCAGGGAGACACAGGGACCAGGCCCGGTCCACTCTCAGGGGTCACAGGTGGGTAGGGGATACACAGGAACCAGGATTGGTCCCTGCCCTCAAGGGGTCAAAGTCTGGTCACAGAGAGACAGATTCACACACCCACAGTGTAAGACTGTGATCAGGAAACAGTGCTTAGGGCTTGAGGGGGAATGGAGAAGAGACGGATTCTCTAAAACGAGTTGCAGATCATAAAAGGGCTTTACCACCTGGTGGAAGAGTGGGGACTCTCTCCTAAGGGCCACAACATGAGGGTGGAATATGTCAAGATCAGTCTCCCTTCACCTCCTGGAGAACAGTCTTCCTTGTGGCATCAGCTCAAACAGATGGGACCTCTCTAGGCAGCCTTCCAAGCTTCCCGTTCCTCCCCTACCTCAGAAGCTGGCCACTTGTCTGATCAAGTCCTGGGATCAAAGGGCAGCCTCTCCCAGGCTCACAGGCCTAGTGGGTGGGGTATGAGCCATCTTTTTCACCGTAGGCCCTCCTTGAGCCAGGAGGAGTGCCCACATCCTTCCTAGTCTCCATCTTCATGCCTATTCTGCCACTACCTGCTCTCCCAGTCTCACCAGGAGTGAGTCATACTGCAGGCCCTCCAGGGCACAAACACTTCTTGGTTCCTTCTCATCTTCTTTTCAGTCCCATTCTCTAATGATTGGTCAACCCTGAAAGCTTGGGAACAGATGGGCCTGTCTCTGCTCCCTAACAGCTCTCCAGAATGAATGGAAAAGACAGGCTGTAAGCTGGCAGTTCCGAGAGGGTGCTGACGTGAATGGGAACTAGAAGACTTGGAGTCAGCTGCTGCTCTGCCCCCTCCTGGATATGGGATCCTGAATGTTCTCTCTGTGCCTGTTTCCTCAGCTAAAAAAAAAAAAAAAAAGCTACAGCCTGGCAGGGTACCAGTTTTAGATATTATTTGGGCCTTTATTTTTTTATCCATTGTACTACTTTTGTGATTTTAATCAAGTTATTCTACCTCTCTGGGCCTCAGTTTTCTCATCTGCAGAATGGGAATGACAGTGACAAAATCCCAACCTGACAGGGGCTGTTGTAAAGATCCATACAAGATCATGGACGTGAAAGGTGTTCCTGTTTCTGATAGGAGAGTGAGCAATGTTAGGAGTGGTTATGAGGACCAGTTATAAATGTAAGGCACACCCTTAATTTTATGTGCCCTTTACCAAGAAAGGAAAAACTGCTGTTAATTATAAATGATACACCATGATTTAATTAAGACATCTTCATTTCCGAGATGTTAAAATAGGAAGAAAATGCATGTTTTAGAATGGATAAAATAGGCTGGCATTGTCTCTTGGGTGAGGATGGGAATGTTCTGCAGGAACGTGAAAGTTCTGACCCAATGTGGGAGGCTGCAAAGGAGGGAAGGGCAGCTCCCGTGGAGGGAGCTCTTGGTACAGACTGTCAGTACATGTCCCAGCTGAAGAAGGACAGTAGATAGCATGGTGTGCAGATAGGCCCTTGATTCCGTAACACCCTGGCAGCATCTGGGACGGCACTACAGAATCAAGTAAATTAGAACTGCTGCAACGAAATGTATGACTATTACCCCAAGTAGGATAAATAAAAACTACAAATAGGACCCTATCCGGTCAGGCTGGGTCCTGTAGCCAGATGGGTTACAAAAAAACTTGGTCTTCCAGACATTTTGGATTTGCTGAAGTTTGAACTATGCTGATAACATTTGTATCAAACTTACTGTGTACTGAACACTGTTCAAGTGCTTTTTCCAAGTGCTTGATACATAGTAACTCATTTAATTTTTGTAACAAGCCTGTGAGGTGAGTGCTATTATTGTTCCCATTTTACATAGTAAATGCAGGCACAGAGGTTAGTGATTGCTGATGAGTAGTGGAGCTGGGATTCAGCCTCGGGCAGTCAGGATCCAGAGTCCACCCTCCTAACCATTTGCTATACTGTCTCTTCAGAGGGGAATGCGGGAAGATGAGTTTGGCTCTTTCCGGAGGCCTGTGGCACCATCAGGAGGACCCATGGGTCTGAGGGTGCTGGAGGGCGGTCAGGAAATAGTGCAGCAAGAATGTGTGGAGAGCAGGAAGGGTGAGGACAGGGCTGAGAGGATCCCTGGGAGGATTAAAGACACTGACACTAAGGAAGAGCAGCCAGAAAAGTCTCAGGCCCAGGAGGGTCTGAGGCTGCCCTTGGGGTGTAGTCTTCCTCCTCGACTGTCAGGACCCTGTGTGGTAGACAGTGTTTCCTCCAGATGCCAGTACAGTGAGGCTGAGATACTTCCTGCTCTGTGCAGCCCCTAGGACGGTGGACTGTCTGGGTCCTATGGGGTCTGGACATCTCCTCCAGAGAGTTTGGGTTCCTTCAACCTCTGGACACTTCCTCCAGAGCGTCAGGACATTGAGGGCATGGACACTTCCCCCGATACTGTCAGGGTGCCCTTGGGTGTAGACTAGATCTCCAGGCTGTCCGGATCCCTCTGGGGTGAGGACACTTCTTTTTCCTGTCATGACAACATGGGTGTGAACACTTCCTAAGTCAGACCACCAGGTCCTCTAGAGTGTGGAGAGCACAAGCTCTTCCTCCAGGTCACTGGGGTCACTGTGGGACATGGACTTCCTGCAGATTATCAGGACTCCTTCCCCCGCCCACTGTCAGGAGCCCTCAGGGTGTGGACACCTCCCCACCTCCTCCTTCCAGATGGCCAGGTCCTGTGGCATGTAGACATCTCCTCCAGCAGGCCAGCAGGGTTATCTGGACAGGGTGTGGCTGTCTCCTTGCCCAGACTGTCAGGGTCCTCTGTGGTGTAGATTGTTCTACCCAAGATTGTCTCTGTCCCTGTCAGATGTGACCCTCTGTACAGTTTCTCAGAGTAGGAGCCTCTCCTTGTCATCAGTATCAGTGCTACAGTGTGGACACCCTCATGTGAGTGTTCCTCAGGCCAGTTTCTGTCACTTTCCAACTATATCACACCCCTAAGGGACCTATGGCTATATATAGAGGTATCTGGGGTTGTCACTATGACAGGGCACACTCATGGATTTAAATGGTCAAGGTCCAGGGATGCTAAATGTCCCCCAATGCATGAGACAGTTCTACATAACGAAAAATCATCTCATCCCAAATGCTAACTGCATCCCATCTTAGAATGCGACATTTTTCTGTTGTAGATACTTGCTAGTTATCTAGTTGCTAGTTATGGCTGTGCTTTAGCCTTGTGCAGCTGGGCACATGGCTAAAGCACATCCTGTTGCCTCTCTTGCATGGAGGTAAGGCCAGTGACTCAGTTCCAGCCAGTGGAGCATGGGCAGAAGTGATGGGTGCTGCATCTAGGCCTGGCCCACTAGGATGGGCCCCTTCTATCCCCCACTTGGCCCGCCTGCCAGGCAATGCTGAGGATCTGGTAGTGACTCCAAGGCTTCAAGGCACAGCAAAGGCACAGGAGGGAAAGAGCCTAGGTGTCCCAGTTGCTGTGTGAAAGGATACCCACTCAAACCCCCACAATGGACTGTTCCATGAGCAAGCAAACTTGTAATGTGCAAAGTCACTAAGATGAGGGGGTTGTTTTTACAATGGCTGGCTTGCCTAATACACTCGGCCTTCCCCAGTGTCCTGAAAGTCTAAAGGAGTTAGCCAACCTTTGTCCAAGGCATGTCTCATCCTACTCCAGACTGCGTTCCTTCTGTGCAGACTGGTAAAACAATGCTCCTCAGGCAGATACTGCTTGGTGATAAGATGGGCCCTTGTGAAATGAGAAGAGGAAGTGCCTTTCCAGCTGATGCAGCCCTATGCCAGACCACATGGCCTGTTACAAGGAATGCTAAGGCTGCCTGGATCTCAGCTCCCACTTTTCTTCTTTGCTAAGTACCCTGATAAAGTCAACCCAGTGCAGAAGTATTTTGGTGTTCCTGTAACCACCAGCATGGCCATGCTGGTGTGTACCAGCTTGGAATACTAGCCCCTGCCCAATGTCCCTGTGACACTCAGATCAGTCTCCCAGGCCTTTCCCATAGGGAAAGCAGGGAGTTTCAGACACACAGTGAGGAGAGCCGGGTGCACACTGTGAACACAGGGTGGGAAGAGCTGCACACACACACCGGGTCCCATCTCCCTACCTCTCCCACGTACTCCATGACGAAGCTGTTCTTGCGAATCTTCTCCAGGGTGCGGACGCCCCAGCCACGCCCATCATCCGTGCGGAAGATGCAGAGGTCATATCGGATACCCTTCTGTACCACACGATTTGGGCAGTCATAGCCGCAGCGGCAGCGGGAGTTGCACTCGTAGATGGGCAGCCCGGCTCGAAGCCGCACCTGGCCCTGGTCATTGTAGGCAAACTTGTGCAGTGACGCCCCCGGGCAGCAGCCTCCAGTGGGTGCCCACAGACAGTCCTGGCACTCGCAGCCCACAGCCACCTGGTTGAGGGTGATGCCCTCACCAACACGGTACTCATTGATGTACACGAAGGCCCGCGGAGGGCCGTCCAGGTCCACCTCATTCTCTACAGTGATGCGTCCCAGATGGCTGCGCTTGGCATTGAGCTCCTGCTCCCAGCGACGGAGCGCCCGCCTCTGCTTGGCCTTCTGCACCAGGTAGTTGGCCAAGCTTGGGTCCAGGTGCCGGGGGGTCTTTGACCGGTGGTGCCGCCGGAGCAGCTCCCTTTCTAAGTCCTTGTGGAACTGCTTGAGGATACGCACACACTTGAGATTCTGCCGTGGCTCCCAGGTGCTCTCTGAGTCTGGATATCCACGCCATTTCACCAGGTAATATTCCTGTTCCTGTTGGGGGTGGGTAGGGGGACGGGGGTACCGTAAGTAGTGAGATCTTTGGGCCAGCCTTCATGGGGCTTCCATCCCAAAGCTGATGGATAACACCTACCCCACCCCACCCCTTTTCTGGAATGACTTCATGCGGTGATTAAAAAGCATGGGCTCTAGAGTGAGGATTACTAGGTTCAAATCCTCCTCTCCCCCTTACTGTCTGTCCAAACTGTTCCAACTTTTAATTAATCTCCCAAACCCACTCCTCTCCTTGGTCTTCCCCATCATCAGCTCCCTCCCTTCTAGCTGTTCAGACCGGAACTCCTGGAGTCATCCTTGACTTCTCTTTTGTTCACACTTCCGACACCCACCCTCTGCACATCCCGTTGGCCCCACCTTCAAAATACGTCCAGTGACAAACCATCATCACTGCCACCACCCTGGCTCACCTGGACCCTGACAAGTCCTTGCCTGTTCTAGGCAGCTTACATGTATTATTAACTAACTTAATCCTCACAACCCCACATGAGGTAGATGCTCCTAGTTATCCCTCTTTTACGACAAGGAAAATGAAGTACTGAAGGTTTGGGTAGGTAGCCTGGGGTAACACAACCAGGACTGGAACCCAAGCATGCTGACTCCAGTTTGTTCTCCTAACCATCCTGCCACTCCCCCTTCTGGCAATAACTATCCCCATTTCAGTTGTTAGGGGATTAAATGAGTTTCCGAGAGGAAACGCCTGGCACACTGAAAGTGCTCAATAGCCATTAGCTATTGACATTTCCACTCCAGGGTTCAGCATCTCAATCTCTGCAATTACTTTGTATTCCTAGGGAGATGGGAAGAGATTTATTTGGGAATTCATTCCGGCTCCTGCCCAGAAAGCTACTTAGTTTCCCTATCTGTAACATAGGGATAAAAGGGTCTATTCATCCTGTGTTTTCAGGGTCAAAGGAGAAAATTCCCTTTGGAAACAGATGTGGGCAGTTGGGGACAAGAGGGCAGGACACTAACTTCCTTGTGACCTGTCCCCTCCCAGAGCATGGTCACCCCAGACTCACGCGGATCTTCTTGTAATCGCACAGGTACTCGACTTCAAAGTCATAGAGGTTCCTCTTAGAGATACCGAGGGCAGGGCAGGAGAGCTTGGCCAGGCGGCACAGGTCCTGCAGCTGATTCCAAGAAGACTTGCAACACACGCTGCAGCCTGGATCAAGCGGGGCAGAAAGAACTATTACTGGGCAGCCTGACTAGGCCAGGAGTCAAAGGGGACCCCAAATCCTCCCTGGGACATCCCAAAGACTGACTAAGAGTCAGGGAAATTTAATCCACAGGCCTTCCCCAGTGCTGAGACTGTTCTACAACAGAAATGTGCTTTGAACCCCAATACTCACTGCCCAAAGCTGCCCCTGGAGCAGCAGACCTCTAAGCGGGGTTTGCAACATGAATTGTCCTAAAGGAATCTATTTCCAGAGCTTCAAACTCCATGTCATTCCTAAAACTGCCTGCAAACCTGCTTTGGGTTCAGGACCTGATCACCCCTCTCTCCACTTTGCAAAAGAAAGAGAACAACCCCCCATCTCAGTAGGATGCAGTGCCCCGAGGTGGGGCGGATGGGAGGACAAGATTAAAACCTCCAGGGCACCAAACAAAGGCGTAACTGGAAAGACTGGTCTTTAATCCCTTATCTCAAACTCCTGGGCCAGATGTGTTTTGGAATTCAAAATTTTTTGGATTTTACAAGACTAGTTCTAGGATATCCCATACATCACCTAACACCCCCAGCGTGGCCAGGGGACATCAAGCTATAATCAAATGCATTAACCGTCCTGCAGCAAAAGTATGAATTTCCCACATTAAATAGGAGAAATAGAGATATAAAATAGCCTCACAGAAGAGTTCCACTTTATAATCTACTTTTGCCATAAATGGTGCCAAATTTAAGAAAAGGATTTCAGTTTTCAGGGCTTTTTAGATTTCGGAATTATGAGCAAGAGATTGTGGAATGATACTACATTACAGGAAGGCTCCTTAAATGATCAATCTGGGTGCCTTAAATCCACAAGGTATATTTTTTCACACTGCATTTTGACTTTCTGTCTCATCCATCTTTCTGTGAAGAGTAAAGCTCATCCAAAGGGTTATGCTCTGAATTTATACGCAAAGCGGTACAGATTAGTGACACTGATTCTTTTAAATATACCTGGTATATTTCTGGGACTGCCAAAATTTTGTAAGACACACGGATTTTAAAAAACAGATTTCTTTCTGATTCAAGGCACATTCTTAATCAAAGTACTTTAGAAGCCATTTTATCAAATCATGTCTCAAAACATTCCAAGGGCAGTCAGTCCTCATCCTATATCATCTTTTTAAAATGTTTAATATTTTCTGCCTCCCATTGCAAAAATCACACCTAAACTTTAGATGTCAACCTAAAAACGTACAAGAGCTTTTCAAAATTATTTCGTGTGCAAGCCCTACCCCCCCTACTTAGGCAAGACCAAGTGGAGACTGAGCCCGCCTGTGCCCACGCTTTCCTCTCCCTACAGCCTGTCCTCGCAAACCCCTTCCTTCACTTGCATTTGAAACCCCACTTAAGTGGTCCCAATTAACACCCTCCAGCTGCTGGCTCCGGAACTGGCCACAGGTGGACTCTCCTGAACCCCTCAGAGGTCCTCCCACTTGTGGAACCCATCCTCCCTGCGGCTTTCGTCACATAGAGGGGCCCCCCAACATAACTGAGTCACCCCTCTTTCCCTGCACATGGGGGAGTCCAGCTGTCCTATTAGGAAGGCCCCATTTCTCTCTTCTGGGAGATCCTCTATTCCAAACCCTTCCCCCATCACGCCGAGAGGCGATACTTTCCCCCAGAAGAGTTCTCAGTCCCCGCACTCTGAAGGGGGGGTCTGTCCCCCTTATCTTCCCTCCCCTTCCGGCGTCTCGCGTGGACACCGAATGGGTAACGGTCACCAGGGGCCGATTTTCCCGCGCGCGGGCGCGGCCTCCTCGACAAGCCCCCGCGCGTGCGCGCGCCGGTCCGGCCGCGATCTGCAGCGCGCGCCCCCCTCCTGCGTCCCCACTTAGCCCCAGGCCCGCTGCGTTCCGAGGCGCGCGCCCCCTCCCCTGAGCCCCGCCCAGCCCCGCGCACCAGGCCCGCGCTCCCCGAGCCTCATCCTTTCCGCGCCGAGCTTCCGGCTCCCGGCGCCGGGGCCTCGGACGCCGGGGCCCCGAGCCGGCAACGCCACCCCTCCAGCCCACCCGGCCCGGCCAGCGGGCCCGCGCCTCTGCCTCCACTGCTTCACCTTTTAAATTTTCCGCCATCTTTCCCCACGGCTAACGACATTCGGGCCTAGCCGGCCTCGCGAGAAGAGCGCTCGCGCGGGCGTGGCCGGGAACGCGCAGCCTATTGGCCGCGGCTCCCGACTCGCAGCACCCGCGCGGACCAACCGGAGAGCCGTGACCGAACCCCTCCCTGCCGCCCGGCTCGGTCCCGGAGGCGGGTGCTCGCCGCGCTTTCCCAGAGTGCGTCTGGGCGGCGGCGGCAGCGGGAGCGACAGCGGCGGTAGCTAAAGTTGCCAGAGGCCCTGCCCGTGCGCTGGTCTGTCTGTCACACTGCTAGCCAATCACGTTATCAGCCAGTCGCAGTGGTTCCTCAGTCCTGTCATACTCCCTGTTATCACCGTCAGTCAGCCCGTCATCTCATTTTAACCCCAAGCAGGCCGGGGCTCCCAGGTGGACTAGTGCCGTATCCAACTGCTCAGGCGGTCGCCCCAGACAGGTGCCTAGTCAGACTCCCGGCCCCCATCCACACTGCTGGGCAGTCAATACTGGCTTCCATTTGTGCCCTGGCCAGCGGCGACTCCCTGGAGGCAGGCAGACAGCACTGTTAGCCAGCCTGCCTTATCATTCCCTAAGACCATCCTGTCCTCACGTTGTCAGCAGATCAATCAGTCCTCCTCTCCACCCACCATAGCCCTGGGACCAGCTGCGATTCTCCCTGGCTAAATCCTCTCATAGACTGCAGCATCCAGCCATGCCCCCAGGCGGGCTGTGATTAGGTCGGGACAAGCTGTCACTGTCAGCATCTAATACAGCCCTGTCGGGCACTATCAGTTGGTCACTGTCTTTCCCTCAGATTACTTCTCATTCACACCACGATCAGTCACAACATCCAGCTAGGCCCTCAAAGCAAATAGTCACAGCAACTAGAGGTAGGATTAAGCCTCCACACCACCTGTCAGTGGGTCAGCCAGTCTGTCATTTCTCAGGCGACTCATCCCCACCATTGGTCAAGTCAGTCTCCTCTGATGCGTTGAAGCTGAGATTCTATCAGGGCAGACAGTCCGTAACCACGTACAGCCATCGAGTCAGACAGCTATGCCGATTTTGCTCCTGGCCAGCTGGCCTGTGACTCGTTCAATCCGCCCCTCATCACATCGTCAGTCATTCTCAGCATCCGACTGACCGCACCGTCTGTCAGGTGATCAGTCAGTCAGAGCACCCAGCCAGGCCCTCCAGCATGCTGTGATTCGAGCAGCGTGGATAGTTGATCACCAGATACAGCTGCCTAGCAAGCAGCCACGGGTCTGTTGATCAGTTAGCCTGAAGTTTCCCCAGGTGGCCCTCCTTTACACGGTGCCAGACAGTATAACATCTAGACATTCCCCCGCCAGCTGTGATTCCTGACAATAGTCATTCACAACATCCGGCCACCCAGGCAGGCAGTAGCACCACGGGCCATCAGTCAGCCAGCCTGCAAGGTCCTCAGGAGGCTGCCTGTCTTTTCCACTGTCAGGCTACCAGCCCCAGCCAGTCCTAGGCAGGCTGTCATTCAGTTAGATGTTCAGGAAACTGCGCTGTCACGTCCTCAAGTTGCGCCTTCTCCCTGTCACTCCATGAGTTCTGTAGTCAACCAAACAGTTATACAGTTAACCAAACGGATATTCTGTCTGCCTGCCAGTCCAGCTGTGAGCTCATTAAGAAGTGACTGGCTGGTCTGAGGTTCCGTCAGCCCCAGCTTGCCCTGAGGGGACAGACAGGAGCGAAGGTCCCACCATGCATCCCCTTCCCTCCCTTACTCCTTCTCGAGCAGAGTCAGGTGCTCATCCTCATGTACCCCCAGTCTCCTCGGGCAGCAGGGCTCTCCCACTCCCGGGTGTCCAGGAGACCTGTCCAACCCACAAGAGTGATTTAAGACAGGACCTCTGCCTGTCTGGATCTGAGAGGGAGACAAAAGGGTCTGTCGCCAGTAGTGCCCCCAAACACTATAAAGTAGTGGGCAAAAGTCTGGATTCTGGAGCCTGACTACCTGGACTCATATCCAGGCTCTGCCATTTACTAAATTACTTGATCTTAGGCAGTTTCTTAAACTGGTCTGTAAAACCTGCAGTAAGTGACCTTGGGGTGGGTGTCTCCTGCTCATCTGGAAAGTGAATCATTCTGGACTAGCACTTTTTCAGGAGACCTCAAAAGTTAAGAGGCCATCTTATTGCTACCGTGTCCCACTCCCAGCCAGTTGTCTGTTCATTCAGCATTAATTTAATGATTACTGCGTTGCCCAGTGCCGGAGCCAATATAAGGTTTTATTCACAGGTTTGACCTATTGTAATGTAAACCTCAGATTGGAGTGTAACACAAATACAGAAGGGTACACAGACCAGGGGTGAACACTGTAATGAGTTTTCACAAGCAGACCTACATGTGGAACCAGAATGCAGGCTGAGCAACCATTAAGCCAGATCTCAGAAGCATTTAATTGTTTCATATAAATTTATTGGGTACAAATATAATATTTTTTTTTTGAGACAGAGTCTCACTCTGTCACCCAGGCTGGAGTGCAGTGGCGTGATTTCGGTTCACTGCAACCTCTGCCTCCCGGGTTCAAGCGATTTTCCTGCCTCTGCCTCCTGAGTAGGTGGGATTACAGGCGTGTGCCACCACACCTGGCTAATTTTTGTATTTTTAGTAGAGATGATGGGGTTTCACCACGTTGGCCAGGCAGGTCTCAAACTCCTGGCCTCCAGTGATCCACCTGCCTTGGTCTCCCAAAGTGCTCGGATTACAGACATGAGCCACCATGCCAGGCCACAAGTGTAATTTTGTTACACAGATACATTGTGTAGTGGTGAAGTCAGGCATTTTACTGTATCCATCATCTGAATAATGTACATTGGCCTCCCAAAGTGCTAGGATTACAGGCATGAGCCACAGCGCCAGGCCACAAGTGTAATTTTTTTACATGGATACGTTGTGTAGTGGTGAAGTCAGGCATTTTACTGTATCCATCAACTGAATAATGTGCATTGGCCTCCCAAAGTGCTGGGATTGCAGGCATGAGCCACAGTGCCAGGCCACAAGTGTAATTTTGTTACACGGATACATTGTGTAGTGGTGAAGTCAGGCATTTTACTGTATCCATAGCCTGAATAATGCACATTGTACTCGTTAAGTAATTTCCTCATCATCTACTTCCTTCCCACCTCCCCACCCTTCCAAGTTTCTGTTGTTTATAATTCCACATGCTATGTCCATGTGTACACATTATTTAGCTCCCACTTACAAGTGAAAAGATTCAGTATTTGTCTTTCTGTTTCTGAGTTGTTTCACTCAAATTAATGGCCTTCAGTTTCATTCATGTTGCTGCAAAAGACATGATTTCATTGTTTTTTATGGCCGAATAGTATTCCATTGTGTATACCACATTTTTTTTTTGAGACGGAGTCTCGCTCTGTTGCCCAGGCTGGAGTGTAGTAGCGTGATCTCAGCTCACCACAACTCTGCCTCTCGGGTTCAAGCAATTCCCCTGTCTCAGCCTCCTGAGTAGCTGGGACTACAGGCATGTGCCACCACGCCCGGCTAATTTTTTGTATTTTTAGTAGAGATGAGGTTTCACCATGTTAGCCAGGATGGTCTCTATTTCTTGACTTCATGATCCGCCCATCTCGGCCTCCCGAAGTGCTGGGATTACAGGCGTGAGCCACCGCGCCCGGCCAACCAGAACACTGGATTTCTAAGATTTCTGTGGGGGACTGGGAGTAGGGATAAATGATGCTGATGGATCCTTCCTAGACTCAGTGCCCATCTGGGGACCTGGTCAGGGTGGGGTGGGGAGTGGTGTTGCGGTGTAAAGAATAATGAATTAAAGGAAACCTGAGACTCCCTCCTTCTCTAGCTTGGGGGAGTTCCCCTTTCCACCTAGAAATTCTTCCGTTGCTCTTGCAGACTGAAGAAGCCTGCCCTCTCTGGAGTCTCCCTCACCTTTATCTTCCTCCCCACTACCTTTCTCTTTTTCTCCTCCTCTAAAGGTAGGATGTCTGAGATCTCGAATTCACCAGATTTCAGAAATCGGAAGGGGCAGGGAGCTCAATTCTAGGCTTTGCTGTGCAACAGTTTCTAATTATGCCCTTGGAAATAGCTGTAAACGCCAAGGACGCTTTTGAGTTACTCCTTTGTTTCTGGGAGAGCAAGTCCTGAGGAGGCAGAGAGGTGACTCAGTGGGATCCCCGTTGGAAATCAGTTACCTCCATTGTATAGATGCGGAAACCAAAGCTCAGAGGTGAGGCATCTTTCCCGGGTTCTAGAGCAGATCTGTCTGATAATTAAGTCTTTGCCTTTTCCATTGCAATTGGCCAGTGCTTGATTTGAACTGGGAACTGGGCAGAGCCAAATTTTAAAAATGAGAGGGGGATCCTGCCCATCAAGATCCTGGTGTGTGAGTTGTTATGGGCATGGAGAATGGGGAGGTCTGCTCATTGAGTATGCTGCTCTTAATCTAGTATTGTGTTGATTGAATGATTTTTTTTTTTTGAGACGGAGTCTCGCTCTGTTGCCCAGGCTAGAGTGCAGTGGCACGATCTCAGCTCACTGCAACCTCTGCCTCCCGGGTTCAAGCAGTTCTCCTGCCTCAGCCCCCATTAGGAGCTGGGATTACAGGTGTGCACCACCATACCCAGCTAATTTTTGTATTTTTTAGTAGAGACAGGGTTTCACCATGTTGCCCAGGCTGGTCTCGAACTCCTGACCTCAGGTGATCCGCCCACCTCGGCCTCCCAAAGTGCTGGAATTACAGGCATGAGCCACTGCACCCAGCCGATTGAATTATTTTTTTAAAAAATAATTAAATGCATGACATCTGGCCTCATGCCAAGCCTTTTCTCACCTCAGGGCCTTTGCACTGGCTGCTCCCTCAGCCTGGAACCCCTTTTCCCCAAATATTAACTGGGCCGACATTTCTCTCTCTTTAGGTCCAGCACCACCATCACCTACTCCAAGTGACCATCCCTGACTGCTCCATCTGAATGTTGTTTCATCTGTATCTCTGCCTTACCACTCCACAGCATTTATCATGATCTGCAGCTATCTTTTATTTCTATTTGATTTCTTGTTTCTTGTCTGTCTCTTCCCCTAGAATGTGGATTTCACCCCCTAAGGGCAGGAATTCTTGTCTGTTTTTTTTCCCACTTCTTGATTCCTAGCCCCTAAAATAGTACCTGACAATAAATGTTGAAAGACAGAGGGGCAGAAGGAAACAAAGAAATACAGGCTAAATGACTGAGGGAATAAATGAATGAATGAATATATACATGTAAGGCTAAATAAATAAAATGGGATAAATGAATAAAAGGGACTTTGGGGGAAAGGGACCCCATTCCCACATTTGGAATGTAAACAGACTGAGATTTATAGAGAGACAGAAAGACAATTCTTTTATTTTTCTTTAAAAATCCTTGAGTGAAGAGAACTGAGAATTTTTGTATAAAAAGGGCCTTGGGATTGTTGGGTGAGTGTGAGGACCAGGCAGGGATAACAGCATTGGAGGGGTTGGTGGGGAAGAAATGGGGGGTTGGGGGCCTGGAAGAGGAGAGTGGAGGGTGGGCACAGAGCAGGTGGAGGGGGAGCCATGTCCTGCGGGGAGGAGCACAGGGCAGCAAGTAACTCAGCCACTCAGTCATCCCATTCATCATCTTCATCTTCATCGCCAGCCTGGTCCTCCCCTTCGTCTGGAGGGAAAGAGAAAGATAAGATGCCCTGGGAGGTTGGTGGGGGGCTTCATAGGGCCTGGGAGGTGAGGACTGGACCCTGGGGTTCTGAGGTCTCATGCTAGAGGAGGGCAAGTTAGAGTTTCCATTTGGGACAAGAAAGGGATTATAGTTGGGGTCTGAGTTCTAGTTGGAGTTGAAGTTTATGCTGTCAAAAATGTGGTTAGTCGAGATATTGTCAAACAAAGGGTTAATGTTAACCTATTTATCACATAATAGGGTGAATTTAAATAATATTAGCAAAGGTGTGATAATATATTATTGCTTCCTGTCTGGTTAACGCTAATATTTTTGACACATAATGGGGTTAATGACAATAACATCAAAATTAGCTGGGCGTAGTGGCGTGCCTGTAGTCCCAGCTACTCGGAAGGCTGAGGCAGGAGAATCGCTTGAACCCAGGAGGCAGAGTCTGCAGTTAGCCAAGATCGCGCCACTGCACTCCAGCCTGGGTGACAGAGCAAGACTCCGTCTCAAAAGAAAAAAAAAATCATTGTCGAAAGATGAAGTTCCTATAGTAGGTTGATACTAATATTTGCATCATATAATGGATTAGTGACAGTATTGCTGACAGATTAAGAGAGTAATAGTAACATTATTATAAAAAGATTAGGTTAACAGCCAGGCCTGGTGGCTCATGCCTGTAATCCCAGCACTCTGGGAGGCTGAGGCGGGGCAGATCGCTTGAGCCCTGGAGTTGCAGAGCAGCCTGGGCAACATGAGAGTAGTGAGAGCTTGGTAGTGAGAGCTCATCACTACCAAAAAAACACCAAAAATTAGCCAGGTATGGTGGCACACGCCTGTAGTCCCAGCTACTTTGGGAGCTGAGGCGGGAGGATCGCTTGAGCCTGGGAGGTTGAGGCTGCACTGAGCCATGATTGCACCACTGTACTCCAGCCTGGGACACAGAGCGAGACCCTGTTTCAAAAAAATTTTTTAAAAGATTAGATTAGGTTACGTCATAATGAATTAATGTAAATCTGTTAATACATGGAATTAAAATTAATATTGTCAACAATAGTGTTCTTCATAATATTGTCATCACATAATGGGTTAATTTTTTTTTTTTTTGAGATAGGATCTCTGTCACCCAGGCTGGAGTGCAGTGGCACAATCATGGATCACTGCTGCCTTGACCTCCCAGGGTCAAGCAATCCTCCCACCTCAGCCTCCCAAGTAGCTGGGACCACAGGCACACACCACTATGCTTGACTACTTTTTTTGAATTTAGTTTTTATGGAAACGAGGTCTCACTATATTGCCCAGGCTGGTCTCGAACTCCTGGGCTCAAGTGATCCTCCTGCCTTAGCCTCCCAAAGTTCCTGGATTACAGGCATGAGCCACCGCGCCGGCCAGCTGATGTTAATAGTACTGAACATGTGGGAATGACATTAATATTGTGGACACACCCTGGCATTAATGTTAATATTACTGTCAAAGTTGGAGTTAATTATATTATTGTCACATAATGACTTAATGTTAACATTGTCAAAAACGAGGCTGACACAAGATTCATGTTAATGCTGTCAAACAGATGGGGCTGATGTCACTATTGGTGGTGACTGCTGGGATTGTTTTGAGGCCAGTGCTAGCCCTGGGAGCCAGGTTTGAGGCCCCGGCAGGATCAGCTCACCGGAGGAGTGGATGGCTCTGCTTCTCTTCTGCATCACGTGCATCAGGGCCCCCACCAGTCCCTCTGAGCTCTGAGGTGGTGGCTGCAGCGCTGAGCTCTCTGGGGCCCCAGGGGTCTGCAGCAGGCAGGGATCAGCACAGAGGGCTTAGGGCCTGGGAAAGGAGCATTTCTCCCCGCCCCTCCATCAATATTTTCTCTCCCACACACTCCAGTCCCCTTCAAGGCTTCCCACCAACCTTTCAACCCTATCACTGAATCCCTAAGGCCTGGCACTCTCCTCAGTCCTGGCCTCAGCCCCCCAGTATCCTGACTTAGACGGGACACCCCAGAGTCCTAGACCCCCAATCCTCCATCCTGCCTGTCCTCACCTTGTTCAGCTGAATTCCCTGCCGGATTTGATCCAAAAGCGCTCCCCGACCCCCACCAGGGGCCAGGCCCCCGGCAGGCACCAGAGCAGGAGGGAGTGGGGGAGGGGCTGGTCCATTCCCGGAGCTGGGCGGCGGTGGCGGTGGTGGCGGTGGTGGTGGCATGGGTGGCCCACCAGCTCCAGGGGGTGGAGGGGGCAGTGGTCCAGAACGTCCAGTAGCTGGAGGGGGTGGTGGTGGAGGGCCCCCTCGGCCTGGGGGTGGGGGTCCCCGGGGTGTTGGTGGGGGTGGGGCAATCCCCAAAGGTACAGGGGGCAGTGGACCAGAACGACCCTTGTTACCCCCCACAATAGGGGGCCGGGGGAGCTGGTTCCCTCCTCGAGATGGCGGTGGGGGCGGCGGAAGTGGCTCTGTGGAGGGGGTATAACACATAGCTGTAACTCTCATTGATTTCTTCTGAGCCTCAGTTTTGCTCATTTGTAAAATGGGTACCCCCACTGACCAACTCCTGACTGAAGCAGTATAGGTGCTCCCATAAGGACTGAGTGACTTAGTGCGTATCTTAGCTATGAGCTGCTTGGGCTAGAGAAGGGAGCGTATGGAAGCAGGGTCTCACCCTGGCGCCTCATCTCCTGCCGCACAGCCTCCAGCCCACCCTGGTCCTCAATGAAGTCGTAGATAAGTTTAGAGGTCTCGGCGTCGGTGAGCTGGGCCTCGCTGATTCCTGCCCTGGAGAACAGACTCCGCAGATCTGGGTCGAGGTTGTTCACCTGCCCAGGAGGAAAAAGGCCAGGGGCAGGAGTAGAGGAATAAGGCGAGGAGACAAGCGACATGGATTGTCGTTGGGTCCATCCCAGCAAGGGATCTGAGAGGGGTGTGGGAAGGGCACGATCTGGGGGTGGGGTCTCAGCAGTGGTCTTTGGAAGGGTGGGTGGAAGTTTAGTGGAGTCCAAGAGACTCTGAAGTTACTCACGTCAAATCCATTCTGGGGGTCCCACCCCACGTGGCTGACATGCCTGGGAGAGGTGAAGAGACTCCAGTGAATCCTCACTGCCCTTCCTTCCCTCCCTTCATAGTGAAACCCTCTTGCCCTCTCCTGCCCAAAGAGACTCTGAGGGGCCAGAATTAATGAATGAGACTGAATGAGTGAATGAGTATAGGCAGGAGTTATGGAATTAGAAGGGCTCCATAGTTTGTGGTGCTGATCCATCCACCCATCCCTCTTTCCCCATCTATCCCATGCATTTGTCCACCTATTCATTCACATTCATCTGTTGGACTACTGATCTGTCCATACATCTGTCTCTGCAACTATCTGCCCACATATGTCTGTTCACCCATTTGTCCACCAGTCTGTCCTCACACACACTTGTCCATCCACCCATCCACCTACCCATGTGCCCACCTTTCCATCTATCCATCCACTCATTTTTCTACCCATGCAACCACACACTTCTGTTCACTTATCCATTGAACTGTCCATTCATCCACGTATCTGTCCACCTGTCCATCCCCATCCACCTTGTCTGTGAGCCAATCAGCCTGCATATCAATCTGTCCACACACCTATCCACTCACCCATCTATCTATCCACGCACCTCCCATCAACCCATCCACCCATAAACTTGTCCATCCAACCACTTATCCATTCATTCTTCAACCCATTCATTCATCCATTCATTTATCCATCCATCCACCCATCCACTCACCCACCTACCCACCAGCCCTTCTCATCCATCATCTACCTCATCTATCTATCCATTTGTTCACCTGCCCACCCACCTGCTCTCCTAACAGCCCACCCAGAGTGGGCCCAGGGTGAGGCAAGTAAGGTGCCTAGGGTGCAAAATTTAAGTGAGTCACTCACTCTGAGAGTCAGGAATTACAGTTGCATGCCTCTGAGAGTGAGTGCCTCCTTAAATTTTGTACCCTTGGTGCCTTATTTACCTCTCCCTAGACCCAGCCCTGCACCTACCTATCCAACCACCCATTTACCCACTCAGCCACCCAGCCATCTGCCCATCTGCCCATCCTTCCATTCACTCAGCTGTCCACTTGTTCATGTGCCCCTCTGCCCCCAGGAATCTGTGGGTCCACTGGGGAGTGGCTCTCACTTGAATCCACTGGGTGCACCAATATCAGCTTTGCTGATCTTCTTCTTCCCTGAGCGTTTCTTATCAGCTGGGCTAGGTCCAGGTGCTGGGAGCCCACGGTATCGTGAACTCGTGATGTCAGGGTTCTGGATGTCCACTGTCGCCAGCCCCAGGGAGAGCGGACCCACTGGAGGGCCTGTGGGGAAAATAGGGTGGTTGGCTCATTGACCCACTTACCAACCAACCAAAGCACAGGGGCAAGAAACGGAAGCCTTGAGGGAAATCTGTGTGTGTGTTGGATGGTCATGGAGGTAGTGGGTGAAGGGTTCAAGTAGGGTCTATGGAGAAGTGGGTGGATCCCACAAACCATTCATACATTCACTGATTCATTCATGTTTTCATTCCCTCATGCTTTATCATTCACTGGCTCATTGACTAATGAATTTGTTAAAATATTCATTTACTCATTTATTCATTCAATCATGCTTTCTTCACTGACTGAAACTTGTCATTTAGTCATTTATTCACTGTTCATTCATTCACTCATTGATTAATTTACTCAGTCATCCATCTACCTTTTCATTCATTTATCCACATACCCATTCACCTATGCATCTATCTACTTAGACTTTCATCCTCCCATCAATTCATCCCTCTACTCAGCCATCTACCGCCAATCCATCCACCCATCCATCAGTCCACACATCCATGCACCTGCTCGTCCATCCACATACCTATCAATCTACCTATCCATTCACCCACTTACGCACCCATCCAACTCCTCATTCCTCCATCCACTCTTACCCATCCATCCAGAGACACAGGGAAGAATCAGCACGCACCTCCTTGGTCTCCACCTGGATGCAGGGGCAGGGGTGGGAGCCCTCCTCTTCTCTCTGGGAAGATGGAATGTGTAGAGAGTTATCACAGCCCTGCCACAGGTTCCTGGGCTAGCCCCTTATTACCCCTACTTGCACTAGAGGACTCACCTTCATTGGCTGGTGTTGGTGGTGGGGGTAGCTGGCGTCTGTCTGTGGATAGATGGATTGGGAGCCAGGACCATGAGAGGGGACTTTTCTAGTTCCCCAGGCTTGCACTCACCTCTGCCCAACTTCCTTTCCTCCCCTGTGGCCTCCTCACCTCCACTTTGCCTCTGATTCCTTTTTTGTATCTTCTCCTGCACGAGGGCCCGGAAGGCCTGGGCCTCGTCCTCGTCTGCAAAGTTCAGCCCCGCTTGGCAGTCCTGCACATACCTTGGGGTCAGCCGCCTCCCAGGTCCCCCGCAACTTTCCCATCTCCTCTCCACACCCCAAGTGAGGCCCGAGGGCTGGTTGATCACTTACATCTCCAGCGAAGGTGTGGAAGAAGGGGGTGGGGGTGGAGTAGACAAGCTGTGAGTACAGCTCCTGTTCCCAGAGCAGCCGACCAGCCTGGAGAGGTGTAGGGTGGGAGGCACAGTGGCACTGAGGCACGCCGGGGGTGGCAGGCTTTTGTTAGCTGGGCAGGGAGCAGGGTGTCTGGATTTGGGAGCCTCATAGTCTGGTTTGGAGATTTTCAGCTCAGCACCAGAGAGTTGGTGTCTAAGGGTGTGGATTGTGGGGTATAGTCTGGGAGCCATACACTTTTGTGAGAGGTTTGGATTTGGGGTTTGGGGCCCTAGATCTGGGACTTGGGGGCTTGAATTTCATAATTTAGGACTCTAGTCTTAGGAAGTTGAGGCTCATTCACAGATTCAATCCATGCCCTCCCCCACCACCCCAGCCCCAATTCATGACAGGTAGGATTCTAGTATTTGGGGGTTGGAGTTGAGATTTGAAGTTCAGACACATAGACTTGGGAGTTTCGCGGGGAGTCCAGCTAAAGTAAGTGCAATTTGGGGTTTGTGGAGAGAGTTATGGTTTAGGAGTTTGGTGGATATTTGATAGCCTTGGGATCTGGAAGTTATGCTGGGTCCATCTTTATGGGTTTAAAAGGATGAATTTGGGGCTTAAACCTAGAAAGTTCAGGTCAGGGGATTGTGGAAAAGACTTTTTGCTTAAGAACTACCTCGGTATTTGAGTGTTCAGGAATTTTAATATGGGAACTCTGGGGTCTGTGCTGTGGATTTAGAAGGACAGATTTGGAGTTCAAGGATCAATGGAATATTCAACTTTGGGGTTTGTTGAACAGATTTATGACTTAGGAGCTTGGCAAACATCTGGGGTTCAGGAGTTTTGATGAGAGATTCCTGGGATGCAAAATGTTGAGTTTAGAATAGATTTGAGGTTCAGGTACAAATACAGTGCTCATTTATTGGAATTTGTGGAAAAGATTAGGCTTAGGCAGCAGACTAATACTGGGGGCTTTAGAGATCTTGATACGGAGACTGGGGCCAGTCATTGCAGACTTAGAAAGGCAAGTCAGAGTTTGCCATCTGGATGAGTCTTTGGTTCTGGGGCTCAGGGATTCACTGATCAGGTCTGAGGTCTTGAAGCTATGGACACATATGGACACAGATCTGGGTTTGCGGGTTGAGAACTGGCTTGCAAGTCCAGTCGGGGGTGGGGGGGTCACCTGAAGGCCGTAAAGGCGGATGAAGTAGGACTTCTGGGGGTTATCCTTCACGAAGCACACAGCCCCACAATGCTCCTTGGTCCAGTGCTCAGCTCCAGGGGGCAGCGCCAGGTACAGCTGAACAACTGCAGTGGCCAGCGTCTGGGAGAGGAAAGCAGGGGTCAGTGGAGTCTGGTCAGGGGTAGCCACAAGGTCTTGGAGCCAGACCTGGTCCTTCCTGCCTCATGACAGTCATGGGCCCAAAGGAAGAGCTGCAGCCAGAGGGAAGGCAAGTAGACATTGAGATCTTCCTGGGAAGGGTGGATTATGACGGGAAATTCTAGGAGAGGAGATGATGGAGAGGGAAAGGAGGAGCGGGAGGAGGGGAAGAGAGAGAAGGAGGAGAGGAAGAGGAAGAAACGGTGGGGACGGGGCGGGGGCAGGAGATCCCCAGCTCACCAAGCATTTTCGTCCAAGCATCTCAAAGAGTCGCTGGTTCTCGTGGTCCTGGAGGAGGGTGGAGGGTATGTTCTGCTGAACCGCTGGTGCTCCTCGGCCCCCGGGCCTTCCTCCCATTGGGCCCCCACTCATGGTGCTTTCTGCCCTTGTCTTCTCTGGCGAGGCTCTGGGTGCAGGGTAAGAAGAGGAACTTCCGCAATGAGCAGCAAGGGAACAGGAAATGCAAAAAACCACAAGGGACAAGGGAAACAAGTCCTCCAGGGGCCCCTTGGTGGGCCTGGCCTCCTCGTTAGGCTGAGCTTGGGCCCTCCGCCATCAGATTGGAACCCTCCTCCACTTGACTGCTTAGACCCACCTTTTGGATCAGCTTGGGTCCTCCTCCCCCTTTCTTACTCTCTGGGGCCCATCTCCTTCTGACTGGCTCAGACCCTCCTCCCTCTGGCTGGCAGCGAGAGCTTAGCACATCTGTGTGCAGGGCTCCCTGTGGCAAGGAGTAGTCATGGGCCTGGGTGGCCTCCTTTCTAAAGCACCTAGGTAGCCTGAGGCTGAGGCCCGAGGTCCCTAGTCCGGAAGGGTTACTACAGTAAAACTTTTCCTTTTGGCTGGGGACAATAGCTCACACCTGTAATCCCAGCACTTTGGGAGGCCGAGACGAGTGGATCACTTGAGGTCAGGAGTTCAAGACGAGCCTGGGCAACATGGCAAAACCCCATTTCCACTAAAAAATACAAAAATTAGCCAGGCATGGTGGCACACACCTGTAGTCCTAGCTGCTCAGGAGGCTGAGGCAGGAGAATCGCTTGAACCCAGGAGGCGGAGGTTGCAGTGAGCTGAGACTGCACCACTGCACTCCAGCCTGGATGATGACAGAGCAAGACCCTTGTCTCAAAAACAGCAACAACAACAACACAACAAAAACCCTTTTCCTTTTAATTACAGAGCGAGCCCCTGTGATCCACGCCTATCGTGAGTGCTTAGACACTGCCAATGACGCATATGCCTCTGGTCCACTTCCCCATCCCTTACCCTTGCCTCCCCGCAGCTCCCAAATTACTTTCTGCTTGTCATACTTTTTTTTTTCTTTTTTTTTTTGAGATGGAGTCTC
Source organism: Homo sapiens (assembly GCF_000001405.40). Lineage (NCBI taxonomy): Eukaryota > Metazoa > Chordata > Mammalia > Primates > Hominidae > Homo > Homo sapiens. The sequence continues at coordinate 48,682,880 of NC_000023.11, read as the reverse complement.
ACTCTGTCGCCAGGCTGGAGTGCGGTGGCACGATCTCGGCTCACTGCAACCTTTGCCTCCCGGGTTCAAGTGACTCTCCTGCCTCAGCCTCCCAAGTAGCTGGGACTACAGGCACACGCCACCACGCCCAGCTAATTTTTTTGTATTTTTAGTAGAGACAGGGTTTCACCATGTTGGCCAGGATGGTCTCGATTTCTCGACCTCGTGATCCACCTGCCTCGGCCTCCCAAAGTATTAGAATTACAGGCGTGAGCCACCGTGCCCAGCCCATCCCTTTTTTAAAGAAAGGAACTTTATATCATATATGAATGCCTGAACAACATCTTGTTTAGTTTTCATTGCACTTGAAGTTTGTAAAAGCACATAATCTTCAAAGGCTTGCTTTCTCCCCACTGGACATCCTAGTTTTATCTTAACACTCACATAGCACTTAACGTGTGTGCCAGTCACTGTTCTGACCCCTTTGCCCGGAGTGCGAGCCAGGCAGGCCAGGTGTGAGTGCATGGTCTCGTCCCTCCACGCCTTCACTCTTGGCTGTTGCTGTGATTCCTGTTTGCCTATAGTGGTAGCTGTTCATTTATTTCCACTGCCATACAGCATTCCATGGTGTGCATGTGCAGCCTGGGTGTCCATATTCTCCTGTAACAGCCCTTTGGGCTGCTTCTGGTTCTTGCTGTTGGGAGCAACACTGCAGTGTTCACTCCCGCACACATCTCCTGGTCCACATAGGCATGCAGACTCTCAGACGGGAATCTGAGGGCTGTAGGGTTTGCATGTCTCTAACTTCTCCAGATGATGCCAGACTATTTCCACAAGTGAATGCTAGCTCAGTCCCCGGCCTCCCCAGGCCTCAGTTTCCCCATGTATGAGGTAGGCCATTTGGAGACTTGAAGCTCTCAGATACAGGAACAGCAGTTTGGGGGAGCTGAGCAGGTCTGGGGTGTGACTGACATTCCCAGGTACCTGAAGGAGGAACGGCACATCTCCAGTTGGGACCTGCAGTCCTTCCTGGAAACTTCCATGGCTTCCCACACGTGCAGGTTCAAAGCCTCTCTCCTGAACCTAGGTTCAGAACCCCTTCTGCAGTGGCAGTTCCAACCTCCCTCCCGTGTCCCCACTCACAGCTAAGCTTCGGGCCTGGAGCACCTCCAACCTGCTGATCAGGGCAAGCCCCGATGTGGCCTTCAAGGCCATTGCACGTGTTCATTGTGACACTGCTCACTGAGCAGTCAGTGTGTGCTAGGCGTATCTCCAGCATTTGGACAGATGACACTAAATGGGTATTGAAGCATTGAATGAAGGTTCAGTAATGATATCCAATTTGATTCAGTGGTTCCAGAGGCTTTTCTAAGTGCTTTCCATTTATTAACTCATTTCACATTCACAGATGACCCCACAAAGTAAGCACTACTGGCCGGGTGCGGTGGCTTACGCCTGTAATCCCAGCACTTTGGGAGGCCGAGGCAGCCAGATCACGAGGTCAGGAGTTCGAGACCAGCCTGACCAACATGATGAAACCCCGTCTCTACTAAAAATACAAAAATTACCCTGGTGTGGTGGTGCACACCTGTAATCCCAGCTACTCAGGAGGCTGAGGCAGGAGAATCACTTGAACCTGGGAGGCGGAGGTTGCAGTGAGCCGAGATCGTGCCATTGCACTTCAGCCTGGGTGACAAGAGCAAGACTCCATCTCAAAAAAAAACACAAAAAACGTAAGCACTACTGTTACCCCATTGTACTGACTGGGAAGCTGAGGCCCAGAGGAGCTTGGGTGCCTTGCCCGAGGTCACACAGCTTGTGAGTGGTGGAGCTGAGGAAAATTATGAGAGAAATTGTTGTTCCCAAGCTGTGAGGTGCCACATGGAGGCCAAGATAAAATTCTTCTGCTCCTTTGTGTCTTTTATTCTCCACCTTTCTACTTCTTTCTCGGCCTCCAGAACTGTCCCCTTGAATAGGGGATGCTAAGCCTCTGATATATTTGCTGGTTGTTGGTGTTGTTGTTGTTGTTTTTAATGTGAAAGCAAGTTTATTAAGAAAGTAAAGGAATAAAGAATGGCTACTCCATAGGCAGAGCAGCAGCTTGGGCTGCTGGACTAAGGATACTTACAGTTATTTCTTAATTATATGCTAAACAAGGGGTGGATTATTCATGAGTTTTCCAGGAAAGGGGTGGGCAATTCCGGGAACTGAAGGTTCTTCCCCTTTTTAGACCATGTGGGGTGACTTCTTGATGTTGCCATGGCACTGTCATGGCGCTGGTGGAAGTGTCTCTTAGCATGCTAGTGCATCATAATTAGTGTATAATGAGCAGTTAGGAAGACCAGAGGTTACTTTCATTGCTGTCTTGGTTTTGGTGGCTTTTAGCCAGCTTCTTTACTGCAACCTGTTTTATCAGCAAGATCTTTGTGACCTGTATCTTGTGCTGACCTCCTATCTCATCCTGTGACTTAGAATGCCTAACCTCCTGGGAGTAGCCCAGGAGCAGCCCAGTAGGTCTCAGCCTTATTTTACCCAGCCCCTATTCAAGATAGAATCACTCTGGTTCAAACGCCTCTGACATATTTGCCCTTCCCTTTTACAAGGAAACCCTTAATCCTAACGGTTTAGAGGGAGGAAGATTCATCTTCTGTAACTTCTTCAGGAGGAATAGGGGCGATGATATTCCTGCCTATTAGGGTCTCTTGTATTCAGGGTAGAAGGGAGCTCAGTCATAACTGAGCCACTCATAACTGAGCTCCAACAAAAGGTGTTGTCCATCCCTCTTGTTTCTTCTGAGGAGCCGTCACAGGTCACTGATTGGTTCACAGGAATAAGCAGGGTCAGTCCAAAGTTGGCCAATCAGTGCTGCAGTCTTTTTCCTTTGGGTCGAGGGTCTCCTCAGTATCATCCCTTCGTGGTTCACCAGGAAGATGTTACCGGAAAGGGGTCCTGATCCAGACCCAAGAGAGGGTTTTTGGATCTCACACAAGAAAGAATTCGGAGCAAGTCCATAGAATAAAGTGAAAGCAAATGTATTAAGAAAGTAAAGGAATAAAAAATGACTACTCCATAGGCAGAGCAGCTGCTGGTTGTTTTATTTAACTATTTATTTATTTTTGAGACAAAGTCTCACTCTGCTGCCTAGGCTGAAGTGCAGTGGTGCAATCACGGCTCAATACAGCCTCGACCTCCTGGGCTCAAGGGATCCTCCTGCCTTAGCCTCTCAAGTAGCTGGGACTACAGGTGTGCACCACCATGCCTCGCTAATTATCATATTTTTTGTAGAGATGGGGTCTCACTATGTTGCCCAGCCTGGTCTGAATCTCCTGGGCTCAAGCATTCTGCCCTCCTCCACCTCCCAAAGTGCTGGGATTACAGGTGTGAGCCACAACAGCCTTGCTGGTTGTGCTGGTTGTTTTATAAATTAACATTTAAAGGTGGATATTTCGTTACCAAGGTATGAGAATGAATTTTTTAAAGTTGTATATTTCCTGTTCTTATTTCTAAGTAGCAGACAAGTGTAAAATGTATATTTTTCTCTAAAAAACAAAACAAAACAAAACAAAAAAACCTGAAGCAGGCTGGGCGTGGTGGCTCACCCCTGTAATCCAGCATTTTGGGAGGCCAAGATAGGTGGATCGCTTGAGCCCAGGAGTTTGAGACCAGCCTGGGCAACATAGCAAAACCCCATCTCTACAAAAAGTTTTTTAAAAATTAGCTGGGTGTGGTGGCATATGCCTGTAGTCGGGGAGGCTGAGGCGGGATGATTGCTTGAGCCTAGGAAATCGAGGCTGCAGTGAGCTGTGATTGCCTCAGTGCACTCTAGCCTGGGCAACAGAACAAGACGTCGGCTCTTGAAAAAAAAAAAAGAAAGAAAAACTTAAAGCACATTTTTGTTATTTTAGTCCCTAATAGAATGAGTTTTCCCATTATAGACTATAGTGATTTACTAATCATTTTAGTATCACTTTTCATATTCATATTTTTTGATTACTCCATTGACTGGCATCAATAATTTGGAGCTGGTTTATTACGTTTATATGTATCCACAAACTCTTTTTAAAAAAAATTTAAATTTTTTTCACTCCGTTCTTCTAGTCTGATGTTCTCATCAACTCTTGCTGTTCTGCACTGGATGCCAGTACTTGGTGAGGTGATGACCTCAAAGATAATTTGCTCTCCTGGGCCTTCAAATAGACTCAAAAACAAAAACAGGAACTTTAATCCAGCTTTTCTGGTTGCTCTCAGCAGGAGAGTTGGTCTAATGCAAGCCAGTTCACACAGCAGAAGTGTTAATTTACTTCACAGTAATACAGCAAACACCAGGAACCCCCAAGAACCAGGATGGACCCCATCACCTTCCCCTCCAACCCCTAGGGGCACCAGATGAATCACCTCCTGTTTATATCTTGTTCTTATTTTGCTTCTTGTTGGGAAGATATTGACTACAAGGTCCTGATCACCACACCCCAAGCCCAGAGTAGGTAATAAGACATGGGGGGTGTCTTCCACACCTGGGCCACCACTGACTGAATCCATGCAGGAGACCTAGGCATGGGGAGGGTCCAACTGCTGTCCTTTAAAACCAAACTGAGGCCAAGATGGCAAAATTTACGTTGCTGTATCTTCCTCCTCCCCTCACCGTACTATCTTCATGGTCCTCCGTATCCCTGACTGAGGGTTGCTTCCTGGGACAGGCCTGACCTAAGGAAATATCATTTCCCAACCCTCAGACCCAATGCTCCCTTTTAATAAGAAACATTTTTGGAGGCCTCCTTTTACTATCCTGAAATGACATTCACATTCATGTACATTACAAGTCTTGCTGGTGTGGGACAGCCCCCCAGCACCAGACCTCTGCCCATTCAATGCCAAAGCACCCTCAAGGAGGAATTCCCAAAACACACCCCGAGGGCAGGCAGGAACAGGACCCTTGTCTGTCTGGTTCAGTGCGGTATCCCCACCACCTAGCACAAGACCCTGAATGCACTAAGTAAATAATTGCAGTCTGGATAGCTATGCTGTGATTTACTGCCCTCTTCCAACAAGGCTTCCCTCTCCTCTGTTCACTGCCCCTGCGTGGGGAGCCAGGGAAGAAAAACGACTCAGGGTGCGCAGGGGCCAGCTCCCTTGCACAGAGAGTTCTACACAGTTCACTGACGCTGTGGGCAAATGGATGCTTCAGGGGCCCTCTGTCCTGCCGGGGGCGGAATGAGGACAGGGTGAGCACAGAAAGCAGAGACATCTGTAGAGTCAATGACGCAGTGGTCAGAACACAGAGTCCAGAGTGCACAGCCTGACCCTTGCCCTGGCCCTGGCGCTTCTCAGCTGTGTGCCTTCTGGTAACCTCTACAGGGCCTCAGGTCTCTCATCCAGAACGCGAAGATGATAATAGTAGTTAAGGTTGTTGTGAAGATGCAGTGAGATGATTTGTGTAAAGTGATCAGGAGAGCTTGGCACGTGTTATAATTATTCATTACTGTTGCCGTTTCTATGAAATAGCTGAGTAACTTGGATCAATGAACTATCATCCCTGACGCCTAGATTCCCCCCTCCCTCAAGCGCCTCCTCACCTTCCTCCCTCAGGCTTCCAGGTTCCACCACCATTGGTGGATGGTCAGGAAGCCAGTATGCGCGACCTCCCTTTTCTTTCCCCTGCTGCAAAGCCCATCTCAGAGTTCCCTTCTGTGGGGCTCAGCCAGACACCCCCAGGGCTGGGACAGGCTCCTGGAGCCCTCCCCGCCAACCAGAGACCCCGCCCTACTCCCCGCACCTGCACAGGAAAACCCTGGCCCAGTCAGGCCCCACCAGGACCAACCAGGGAACCAGAAGTCTCCTCCCAGTCCCTACCTTGCCCTCACCCTCAGCCACCACCAACTCCCTCTGGGCGGGCGCGCCCTACCTTCCTGCGCCTCAGTCTTTGTGAGCCCAGGAGTGCCCACTCCCCAATGTGTGTGCCCCTGTGGGTGTCCAGAGCCTTGTCTGTGTGACCCTAGGGGTGTCTACAGCCCTGTGGGTGGACCCGGCAACCTGCACTCTCCAGCGTGTGCGACCCTTGGAGCCCGCAGCCCGCAATGGCTGGGCATGGACGCGCGCACGGAAGCGTCCACCCGGGGCCGCACCACTGGGGAGGGGCGGCCAACCCGGGCGCACCGTTTTGTGTTGTGGGAGGAAGGCGCCCCCTTCCCCGCGCGGGGCCGGGTCGGCCAGTCCTGGTCCCGTCCTACCGGCTCCCCTCGCCCCGGGCGGCCGTTGGCCTCTCTCCTGCCCACCGCGTTGCCCTCTCCTCCTTTGACTTAGTCTTGACCCGGCCCTCCCGCACACGAGCTGGCAATTGGCTCAGGGCCGGGGGGGAGGGGGTGTGGGGGGCTGTGAGCTCTGATTGGTCGATGACTGAAGTCGGGTCCCTGTGCTTCTCGGTAGCGGCCCGGGCCCGCCTCCGTCCCTGCGCGCCGGGCTCCCATTGGTCGCCGCTCTGGAGCATGCGCAGTGGGTGCCAGTCCAGAGCCCGGGCTCCGGGAAAGCCGTGCTTTTGCGGTTCCGGTTGCTGGTTCTCACACCGCTGCGTCGTGTGGGGTTGTTGGCCCGAGAAGGGGCAGGACAGGGTGCGCGCTGGCGGAGGTTAGTGAGGTCACATACCGGGCCTTGGCGCCTGGTGCACTGGGCGCCTCCACCGCAACCTTCGTAGCAAACCCAGCGGGGTTCTCTGCCTGGGCACCATGGTTCTTGCGTTCATTTACTGTCCAGTTTCTCATTCCGAAAAGTGTGGCTGTGAGTTTGATCTGCAGGAGTAGGACGGGCACAGGGGGTGTCTGGTCCTCCTCGCACCATAAATCGCAGAGCGAGCCCCCTGTGGTCTCTGGATATAGTATACCAAAGTTAGATTAATTGTACTCCTTATCACAGGCCGGTCTAACGTTCGCAGCAGTGAAAAAGCCCTACGTGCCAGGGCCTTTGGCGAAGCGTGTGTAAGGGAATAAACACTTTCCTCAGTTTTCCAGGCGCAAACGGATGGTTTTGGAGCATTAAGGTCTGGTCGGCTGGGGCAGGATGGCTGCGTTGACACGTCTTATTTACCACATCGTAGGTGAGGTAGCCACTTACCTCTTTACAGATTGAAATTTTTACATTTCATGTTTATGTAAGTTGAAATAGAAGTATATATTACAAGCATTATGAAAGTATGTAACAAGGCTGGGCGCGGAGGCTGACGCCTGTAATCCCAGCACTTTGGGAGGCCGAGGTGGGCAGATCACTTGAAGCCAGGAGTTCGAGACCAGCCTGGCCAACATGGTGAAACCCCGTCTCTACTAAAAATACGAAAATTAGCCGGGCATGGTGGTGCACGCCTGTAGTCCCAGCTACTCGGGAGGCGGAGGCAGGAGAATCATTTGAACGCGGGTTGCGAAGGTTGCAGTGAGCCGAGATTGCGCCACTGCACTCCAGCCTGGGTGACACAGCAAGACTATGTCTCACAAATAAATGAATAAAATATGTAACAGTATGTATAAATGTATGATTTATAGGGATGGAGCAGAGGGGACCCAATTCATTGCCCTGGGGTAAGTCACATGATGAAGGGAAGGGGGACTGTTGATTTTTTAACTTGGTGCCCAAAATGTTAGGAAGACTGACCCCTAAGGCATCTGCCTTCACCAACTGGGACAAATTTCCCTTAATTAGCTTGGAAACTCAAAGAGCCCAGTGCTGCCTCCACTGCTGAAAACACACACTGATCTTTGTATCAGGTCTTGTCCCGAGGAAGATCGTGTGCAGAGGATTAGAGAGCTGGGTACAACACATCAAAGGTTCAGATAAAGTGTGAGCATTTAGTCATCATTGAATGTTTCTGAGGGTGGCTGGCCTTGTAACATGCATACTTCACTTTAGTACCTCTGCGCAGGCGCCGTAGGAGGTGAGAGGTGCATTGTTTTTCTTTGGGATCTTGCCCTAATGGTTGTAATATGGTATAGTCAAACAGAATAAACTATATAACCTCTTTTAGAGAAACACAAACAAAAGTAATACAATTAAAGAAGGCAAGAGGGAAGAAAAGAAAATCTTTAGCTTATGAATAAAAGAAAAAGCCTATTTGAATAGAATAAAATGCTAAAAAGAATCCCACATTCCAATAAATATAGCTTGCCTTATAAATCAGTAGCCATTTAAATAGTAAGGATTTTATCACCATCATCAACCCCATTTTAGACCTTTATTATGGCAACTTGAAGAGAAAGAGTTTTTTTGGTGGGGGTTGGTGGGGGGAGGAGACTAAGTTTGGCAACTTAGGGAAAAATGCAGTATGTGTGTTTATAATCTTATGATCAATTGAGTTTTCAGAAGATTAGGTGATAAATATGTACATATACGTAGTGTTAGCATAGCATGTGTGAGTGATGTAAGTTGCTCATGGAAGCTTTAAAAAGTTATTAACTGGCTGGGCGCAGTGGCTCACGCCTGTAATCCCAGCACTTTGGGAGGCCAGGGTGGGCGAATCACCTGAGGGCAGGAGTTGAAGACCAGCCTGGCCAAGATGGTGAAACTCCGTCTCTACTAAAAATACAAAAATTAGCCAGGCATGGTGGCGAGCACCTGTAATTCCAGGTACTTGGGAGGCTGAGGCAGGAGAATTGCTTGAACCCGGGAGGCGGAGTTTGCAGTGAGCAGAGATTGCGCCATTGCACTCTAGCCTGGGCAACAAGAGTGAAACTCTGGGTCGGGCGCAGTGGCTCACGCCTATAATCCCAGCATTTTGGGAGGCTGAGGTGGGCAGATCACCCGAGGTCAGGAATTTGAGACCAGCCTGGCCAACATGGCGAAACCCTGTCTCTACTAAAAATTAAAAAATTAGCCGGGCATGTAATCCCAGCTACTGGAGAGGCTAAGGCAGGAGAATCGCTTGAACCTGGGAGGCGGAGGTTACAGTGAGCCAAGATTTCTCTGAATACTTACTTGTAGTATCCCTGAACAACCTACTGTAGGTTTAGGTTTCACAAAGAGTAAAAACAGATGCCAGCCTATAGGGCAGTTAGTAGCCATAGAGGTCCAGCCAGCTTTTGGACCACTTTCTTCATCCCAAAGATTTTATTTTCCCAGAAGAAACCATGTACTGAAATCAAAGCAAGTAAATGGAGTAAAACATCTTGTGTATCACTAGATGCATTTGGGGTAGATTGTTTGCAAAGGGGGTGCTATGGACTGAATTGTGTCTCCCCTCCCTTAATTCATATATTGAAGATCTAACCCCAGATGTGACTGTATTTGAGATAGGGCCTTTAGGGAGGTAATTCAGGTTAAATGAGGTCATAAAAGGAGGGTCCTAATCCAATAGGACTGGTGTCCTTATAAGAAGAGACGTGATGGACGCTCATGCACGGGGAAAAGACCATGTGAGGCCACACAGCAAGAAGGCAGCCGTTTGAAAGCTAAGGAGAGAGGCCTCACCAGAAACCAACCCTGATGACACAACAGCCTTTCTTGTCTTAGAAATTGTGGTGATAACTACTGGAAATTCAAAAAAGTTTTTTAAAGCAATTATGAACTTTCACCAAGTAAGTGTCTCTACAAGGTATACTGTGGGCAAGTGATGGTATACAATTTGAATGCCTAATTAGTGTGAATAACCAATGTGAAGGTGCTAATTTTTTTTTTTTTTTTTTTGAGACGGAGTCTCGTTCTGTCGCCCAGGCTGGAGTGTAGTGGCATGATCTCGATTTACTGCAACCTCTGCCTCCTGGGTTCAAGCGTTCTCCTCCCTCAGCCTGCCAAGTAGCTGGGATTACAGATGGACACCACCATGCCCAGCTAATTTTTGTATTTTTAGTAGAGATGGGGTTTCACCGTGTTGGCCAGGCTGGTCTCGAACTCCTGACCTCAGGTGATCCACCCACCTTGGCCTCCCAAAGTGCTGGGATTACAGGCATAAGCCACTGCGCCCAGCCCTTCTTTTTTTTTTGAGACAGAGTTTCACTTTTGTTGCCCAGGTTGGAGTACAATGGCGCGATCTCAGCTCACTGCAACCTCCGTGTCCCAGGTTCAAGCAATTCTCCTGCCTCAGTCTCCTGAGTGGCTGGGATGACAGGCACCCGCCACCATGCCCACCTAATTTTTTATATTTTTAGAAGAGACAGGGTTTCATCATGTTGGCCAGGCTGGTCTTAAACTCCTGACCTCAGGTGATCCGCCCACCTCAGCCTCCCAAAGTGGTGGCATTACAGGCATGAGCCACCACGCCCAGTCAAAAATCACCTGTTTTGATATGTTTGCTCAGTCTATTACAAAATTCTTTCTATTGCCAAAGAGTAGTTGGAATTTTCAGTTGGTCTCAAAACCAAACCCATAATGTTAAATTGTAATCTCCATCAGGAACTTGTTGGCACTAAGTGGCTGGAAATCTCTCCTCATACAAAGAAGTATCATTTTTGCTGAAGATTTTCAAAAACATTCTCTAGTACAGTATTATTATATTGCTGGGCACCATGGCTCATGCTTGTAAGCCCAGTGCTTTGGGAGGCAAGGCAAGATAATCACTTGAGGCCAGGAGTTTGAGGCTAGCCTGGGCAACATAGCAAGACCCTGTGTCCACTAAAAAAAAAAAAAATTGGCGGGGTGCGGTGGCACATGCCTGTAGTCCCAGCTACTTGGGAGGCTGTGGTAGGAGTATTCCTTGAGCCCAGGAGTTGGAGGTTGCAGTGAACTATCATTGCACCACTGCATTCTAGCCTGGGTGACAGCAAGACCCCGTCTCTCTTTTTATTTTTTTTTGAGATGGAGTCTCGCTCTGTTGCCCAGGCTGGAGTACAGTGGCATGATCTCAGCTCACTGCAACCTCCGCCTGCCAGGTTCAAGCGATTCTTCTGCCTCAGCCTCCCGAGTAGCTGAGACTACAGGTGTGTGACACTACGCCTGGGTAATTTTTGTATTTTTAGTAGAAACAGGGTTTCACCATGTTAGCCAGGATGATCTTGATCTCCTGACCTCGTGATTCACCCACCTCAGCCTCCCAAAGTGCTGGGGTTACAGGCGTGAGCCACTGTGCCCAGCCAACCCCATCTCTTAAAAAAAAAAAAATACAGGCCAGGTGCGATGGCTTATGCCTGTAATCTCAGCATTTTGGGAGGCTGAAGCAGGAGGATCGCTTGAGCCCAGGAGTTTGAGAGCAGCCTGGGCAACATGGGAAGACCCCCATCTCTACAAAGTATAAATTAAAAAATAATTAGCTGGGCATCGTGGTGCATGCCTGTGGTCCCAGCTACTCAGGAGGCTGAGGTGGAAGGATCATGTTAGTCTGGGAGTTCGAGGCTGCTGTGAGTCATGATTGTGTCCCTGGAGTCTAGCCTGGGCAGCCAAGCAAGACCCTGTCTCAAAAACAAAAACCCTGGCTTGGCGCGGTGGCTCACACCTGTAATCCCAGCACTTTGGGAGGCCAAGGCGGACAGATCACGAGGTCAGGAGATGGAGACCAGCCTGGCTAACATGGTGAAACCCCATCTCTACTAAAAATACAAAAATTATCCAGGTGTGGCTGGGCGTGGTGGCTCACGCCCGTAATCCCAGCACTTTGGGAGGCCGAAGCGGGCAGATCACGAGGTCAGGAGATTGAGACCATCCTGGCTAACACGGTGAAACCCCATATCTACTAAAAATACAAAAAATTAGCCGGGTGTGGTGGCGGGCGCCTGTAGTCCCAGCTACTCGGGAGGCTGAGGCAGGAGAATGGTGTGAACCTGGGAGGCGGAGCTTGCAGTGAGCCGAGATTGTGAAACTGCACTCCAGCCTGGGTGACAGAGCGAGACTCCATCTCAAAAAAAAAATTAGCCAGGTGTGGTGGTGTGCGCCGGTAATCCCAGCTACTTAGGAGGCTGAGGCAGGAGAATTGCTTGAACCCGGGAGGCAGAGGTTGCAGTGAGCCAAGATTGTGCCACCGCACTCCAGCCTAGGCTACAGAGTAAGACTCCATCTCAAAAAAAAAAAAAAAGGCGTACATCTTAATATTGCTTTGTAATATAAATTTTCAATTTTTGATCTTCAGTTTCCTAGAAGGAATTCCCTGCAGCTAAGTGGACATTTGTCATTCAGGAAAATGATGTCACGATAATTCTTCTAAACTTTCACTGAAATAGGAAACTGAAATACATCTCCACTTTGCAGGGGGAAAGCTGAACCACAGAGTTAAGAGATGTCCAGGAACCCATCTAATGAGCTGGAAAGGCTCTTGACAGTTACACAATCTTTATATGGCCGTTGTTCGGACAAACAGATGTGTGTACATTATATGCATACACACACAGACACGTGTGTTCCTATGGATCATGGAGCCATGTCAGGGTTCTCAAAGAGAGAAGTCTAATATGATGGAGTGATTTGGTAGCCGACACACCCATCCTTGATATCCAATTATTCTGCTAAAATAATTCAATGAGGTTATTATTACACAAGAATTCAGGATTGGACTTAGGAGAGAAACACTTATGAACGTTATACAATGTATTAGATCTATCTAATCAAAATTCACTCATTCAACAAAATTTTTTTTTCTTTTTTTGTTAGAGACGGGGTCTCACTCTGTCGCCCAGGTTGGAGAAAAAACAATTTTGAATGCCAAGTATGTGGCACGGTGTTCAGCCCTGTGGTGAACAACATGGGCAGAGCTGCTGTCCTCACAGAGCCATGATCTAGAAGGAAGATGCCCAGGTCACCAGGCAGCTATTGATTACTTGGCTCCAAAATAACAAATTTAGGATCAATTACATTACCTGATTTTATTCTGAAGATATTGCTACAGCATTATGTCTTTGAAAACACAGTTTACTGTTTGCAAACTCAGCTAACTCACCAAAAATGTCGGATTTCTCAGTCTCAATAACTTGTTTCTCTTTTTGGCAGAGCTGAGCATTTCCCTGCTTGAGAAGGTGTGATCTGCTCACTTCCATACAGAGAAATTCAGGATCCTAAACTTGAAATCTGCCCTCTTAGAACATGAAGCTGCTAGCTTAGAACATGGCTGCTGACATGGCTCATGTCTGTAATCCCAGCACTTTGGGAGGCCGAGGCAGGAGGCTCACTTGAGCCCAGGAGTTCAAGAGCAGCCCGGGCAACATAGTGAGACCTTGTCTCTATTTTCAATAAAAATTTTTAAAAGGAAGATGAAGCTGCTAATGGTGGCAGGAGCTGAGTATGATGTGAGAAGAGCACCATCAGCAGCCCCTTCCCCAGGCTTCAGGTAGAGATTTCTTTAGTGTGTTCTCGCATCCACACACTGGAACTTTCAGGCTCAATTTCCCTTTTGGTCTATATAATTTGCAAAACAAAATTTTTTGGCATCTGATGGCCTGGCGTGTGCAGTAACTACCTATTGGTTTGCTCAGCTGTCATCACTAGCTGAACACTTGAGGCCTTCTTAGTCTACTCTCAGCTTGAGAGCCAAGGTGAATAGGATCTCAAAATGGATCTTTGGCAAAACACAAGAGATCTACCTGGCTTTAATACAGGGTGTCATGCTGAGGGATTGCTGAGGCGCCCCTATGCCATCAGATGTCCATTGAGCATCTACTATATGCCAGGCACTTGGCCCACATGATCTCATTTAACCCTCACAACGGATGCACGAGGAAGCTCCTTTTCTTTTTCTTTTTCTTTTTCTTTTCTTTCTTTTTTTTTTTTTTTGACACGGAGTCTCACACTGTCGCCCAGGCTGGAGTGCAGTGGCGCGATCTCGGCTCACTGTAAACTCCGCCTCCTGGGTTCAAGCAGTTCTCCTGCCTCAGCCTCCTGAGTAGCTGGGATTACAGGCACCCGGCACTATGCCCAGCTAAGTTTTTGTATTTTTAGTAGAGACAGGGTTTCACCATGTTAGCCAGGCTGGTCTCGAACTCCTCACCTCCTGATCTGCCCGCCTCGGCCTCCCAAAGTGCTGGGATTAAAGGCATGAGCTGCTGCGCCCGGCCGAGGCAGCTCCTTTTATCCCCATTTTAGTAATGGGAATCTGAGAGAATTTTTGTGACTTGTTTGCTCAAAGCCACACGGCCAGCTGAAATAAAGCTGAACTGTTTCCTCAGATATCCGGCCCCCAGCTCCCACATCCCCTCACCCCATTCATATGTCAAACTCCTGTTCAGCCTTCAGATGTTAGCTGAGACCTCACTTTCCCCAGGACTCCTTCCCTGACACCCTGGGTTCAAGTTCTGTGCCTCTCCTGTGTGTTCCCAGGGCCCCCTGGACTTACTTGTCACATTTACTATAAACCCATATATCCCTTCTCTGTAATTGCTAAGTGGGCAAGAGACTTCCCGGCCTTATTTCAGTTTCAGGCGTGTATAGACATTTAAGAAATCGCTGGTGGCCAGACGCCGTGGCTCACGTCTATAATCCCAACACTTTGGGAGGCCAGGCAGGCGGATCACATGAGCCCAGGAGTTCAAGACCAGCCTGGGCAACATAGCGAGACCTCGTCTCTACTGAAAATGAAAAAATTAGCCAGGCATAGCGTTGTGTGCCTGTGGTCCCAGCTACTCGGGAGGCTGAGGTGGGGGGATTGCTTGAGCCCGGGAGGTCAAGGTTGCAGTGAGTCATGATTGCACCACTGCACTTCAGCCTGGGTGACAGAGTGAGACCCTGTCTCAAAAAAAAAAATGCTGTTGGATGAGTGAGTAAATGAACGAATGAACATGTGAATGAGGTACTCCAAAAGTTTCAACAAACCTTCAGCCTCCCTTAACACTCATTTGCCTCCTTACATGGGTCCAGGCCCCATGCTGAGCCCGGGATGTAATACAAAAGTGAATGTGCCTGACCTTGTGGGTTCAGGTCCAGAGCCTGACCCCAGAAAACAACTGATGGTCATGCAGTGTGCCCTGGGCTGGAGGAGAGGTGAGCCATGCTCAAGGAATTGAGAGAGGGCAGTGCTATTATCTGAATGTCTGTGTCCCTCCAGAAGTAGTACCTTGAAACCTTATTCCCAATATAATCATATTAGGAGGTGGGGCCTTGAATGATGATTAGTGAGTGACATCAGTGAGAAGAGGACCCAGAGAGTTCCCTTGCCCCTTCCACTATGTGAGGACACAACGAGGAGGCACCAACTGTGACCCAGAAAGTGGCCCTCACCAGACACTGAATCTGCGGCACTTCAATTGTGGATTTCCCAGGCTCCGGAACTGTTTCTCAAGTTCTGTCATTTATGAGCTAGTCAGCCTATCATATTTTGTTTTGGCAGCCCAAATGGCCTAAGAGGAAGGAGGGAGGGCAGCTGAAGGAAGGGAAGTGAACTGATGTCATTCGAGAAGGAGGCAACTAAAGTTTGGTTAGTCTAAATTAATTTCCCAATTCAAACATGAGAATGATCACTTTGGTGGTGTTTTTTTTTTGTTTTGTTTTGGTTTTTTTGACAGAGTCTCACTCTCTCGCCCAGGCTGGGTGCAGTGGTGTGATCTTGAATCACTGCAACCTCTGCCTCCTGGGTTCAAGCAATTCTCCTGCCTCAGTCTCCCTAGTAGCTGGAACTACAGGCACGCACCACCACACCCAGCTAATTTTTTTTTTTTTTTGTATTTTTAGTGGAGATGGGGTTTCGCCATGTTGGCCAGGTTGGTCTCGAACTCCTAACCTCAAGTGATCCTCTGGCCTTGGCCTCCCAAAGTGCTGGGATTACAGGTGTGAGCCATTGCGCCTGGCCGAGAACAATCACTTTAATTTAAGTTGTGAAATGGAGACTCTGGCCTGACACCTTTATAGTCAGGTGCTGATGAGTAGGCTAAATATGAACTACTTTGATCTGTGAAGTGATTAATTACAAGTGGCTATTACTACAAGTGACTTACTACTTCCCACATGGCTCTGCTAGTCCCCTCTTTGTTATTTATTTTTATTTTTTTTAGACAGGGTCTTGCTCTGTCACCCAGGCTGGCGTGCAGTGTTGTGATAGCCTACTGTAGTCTCAGACTCCTGGGCTCAAGTGATCCTCTCACCTCAGCTTCCCAAGTAGCCGTGACTACAGGTGTGTGCCACCATGCCCAGCTAATTTCTAAAAAATTTTTTGTAAAGGTGGTGTCTCGCTATATTGCCCAGTCTGGTAGTCCTCTCTTTGGACAGTACAGGGCTGAGCTCCCTGAAGAGGCAGGAAGCAGTTGGAGGACAGGAACAGTGACTCATATTTGTGTTCCCTCCACAGTGCCTGGGGAAACCAGGCCAAAAGATAGAGCAAAGTGAGGCTGGGCACAGTGGCTCGCACCTGTAATCCCAGCACTTTGGGAAGCCAAGGAGGGGGGCAGATCATCTGAGGCCAGGAGTTCGAGACCAGCCTGCCCAACATGGTGAAACCCTGTCTCTACTAAAAATACAAAAATTAGCCGGGCTTGGTGGTGCACACCTATAGTCCCAGCTACTTGGGGGACTGAGGCAGGAAAATCACTTGAACCTGGGAGGCAGAGGCTGCAGTGAGCCGAGATCGTGCCACTGCACTCCAGCCTGGGTGACAGAACAAGGCTATGTCTCAAAAAAAAAAAAAAAGAGCAAAGTGTATCATATGGGTGTGCTAATGGCTGTTTCCTTATAAATGTCTATGGCAACCTGTTTGTCTTGCAGACCCTTAATTCAGAAGAGTTTTCTGCTCTAATCATTTAGGATTTTACTCTTACAGGCACCAACAGTTTGTCTCTGCCCAAGGCACAGATTAACTTCAGCCTGAGCCAAAACAGCTCTGCTCTTAGTCACTGACTGGGCAGCCAGCTGGGTGAGCTGGGAGGATGACCGTCTAGAGGGAGTAGAATTAGAACTTTGATGAAAGGTTTCTGTTTCAGGATTTTAGGAAAGTATGCCGCTTAATTCTTTATGTTCTCTTTGCAATCCTGAAAGGAAAAGGACTATTCTATTTTTTTGGTTGTTTGTTTTTGTTTTGTTTTGTTTTGTTTTTAGATGGAGTCTTGCTCTGTCACCCAGGCTGGAGTGCAGTGACATGATCTCAGCTCACTGCAACCTCCGCCTCCCGGGTTCAAGTGTTTCTCCTGCCTCAGCCTCCCGAGTAGCTGGGATTACAGGCACCTGCCATCATGCCCGGCTAATTTTTGTATTTTTAATAGAGACGGGGTTTCACCATGTTGGCCAGGCTGGTCTCGAACTCCTGACCTCAGGTGATCCGCCTGCCTCTGACTCCCAAAGTGCTGGGATTGCAGGCATGAGCCACCACGCCCAGCCTACCATCCTATGTTTTTATCTCGCTTTTTCTTCTGTAATAAATTGTTTTTTTACCCTTTGCTGATAAGAATAGATAATATCACATCTTTTAATTTAGGAAAATAAAAGCAATTTTGGCACATTGCTTCAACAGTGCAACTCGAGATCTGAATTAGAAGGAAAAAGGAGAGAATTCCCTTTTGATCATTTTTAATAAAATTCTTAAGATATGTAGATATAGGTATAGATTGATAGGTATTTACTGTCTGTAATTGTTCTAAAATACCTAGGGTAAGGCTGGATGTGGTGGCTCACACTTGTAATGCCAGCCAGAGAATCGCTTGAACCCAGGAGGTGGAGGTTGCAGTGAGCTGAGACCGTGCCATTGCACTCCAGCCTGGGCAACAAGGGTGAAACTCCATCTCAAAAAAAAAAAAAAAAAAGATCCAGGGTAGTATATACAGGCTGCTGACCATTATGTGTATGAAATACAAGAATATAAGAAAAGGTATGCATATTAAATGTAAAAATATATACATAATAAACATAGGCCTGGCACGGTGGCTCACACTTGTAATCCCAGCACTTTAGGAGGCCGAGGCTGGCAGATCACTTGAGGCCAGGAGTTCGAGACCAGCCTGGCCAACATGGCAAAACCCCATCTCCACTAAAAATACAAAAATTAGCCGGGCATGTTAATCCCAGTTACTCAGGAAGCTGAGGTAGGAGGATCACTGAGCCCAGGAGGTCGAGGCTGCAATGAGCCATGATCAGGTCACTACACTCCTGGGTGATAGCACAAGACCCTGTCTCTAAAAATACAAATTATGAGCAGCTGAGGAGAACAGGAAAATAAAAAAATTAAAAATTAAAATTAAAAATGAAAAGAATTAAGCATAAGAGAATGTAAGGTTTAGAAGATAATCTAAGACTGTAATAGGTTTTATGTTCATTTTGTTTATCATTGGCAGGGATTTGCTTTTTATCTGCAAAGGTTGTCTGTGTAAGTCTGTGTATATGCATAATATACTATTTGTGAATGCAGTTTCCATGAGCAGGCACAAAATTACAGAGAGATTTAGTACAGGGAAAAGCCAGACTTCAGCAGCCCATTCATGAAGATCTAGTAATGTAGATGTTCTCACATCCTCCTTCCCTCTCAGATATGAGCCACTGCTGTTCAGAGGATTTCATATGAGGTTCATTCACATAGAAACTGCAATGATTCTTTGATTGTGTTTTTGTCTTAGTATAAAAAAAAAGGATTTTCAGCATGATTTGATGTTGGATGGCAGGCCATTGCTTAGAGGCTCCAGGCCTAATTCACCATCCCCTGTACCATGGTTGAATTAGAGTCTATGTGTGGCATTGATTTTGAGAACGGGAGATACTCATTTGAGAGGTAGTACTTTCAGGTGCTTTATGAATACTATCACACAATGGACTGAGTGAAATCTTCATGATAAAGCAAAGTTTTAGTGGTGGGGACTTTTTGAAGAACCCAGAACACTGAAATTGGAATGAGCATCAGATTTACAAGAATGGAGGTCATAAAGATGATGACCTACTGTGTGCCATGCCCTCTTAAACCTTATTAACAATCTGAAAAGCTCATATGCAAGGCAGGCATTGTTAGCTTAGATTTACAAGTGAGGCCTATAATCCCAGCACTTCGGGAGGCCGAGGTGGGTGGATCACTTGAGGCCAGGAGTTCGAGATCAGCCTGGCCAATATGGCAAAACCTCATCTCTACTAAAAATACAAAAATTAGCCAGGCGTGGTGGCACATGCCTATAGTCCCAGTTACTTGGGAGGCTGAGACATGAGAATCGCTTGAGCCTGGGAAGTGGAGGTTACAGTGAACCGAGATCATGCCACTGCACTCCAGCCTGGGCAACAGAGCAAGACTCTGTCAAGAAAAAAAAAGAAAAAAAAAAAGAAGGAAGGAGGGAGGGAGGGAGGAAGGGGAAGAAAACAAAAAAGATTTACAAGTGAGAAGACTGAGCTCAGGGATTACATAACCTGCCCAAGGCAAGAGACAGCCACGTTTGGCTGATTGTAGAGTCTGTGCCACCTTTGCCTCTCCATATGATAAAAAAAGTTGTCACAGAAAAAAAAAATCTTTGTATTAGCCATGTATTGATGTGTAACAAATTACCTAGAATTTAGCAGCTTAAAACAACAGACATTTATTATCTCATAGTTTCTGTGAGTCAGGAATCTAGTCACAGATTAGCTAGGTTCTCTGTCTCTGGATCTCTCATGAAGTTGGAATCAAGGTGGCAGCCGGGGCTGTGGTCTCATCTGAAAGCCTGATGGGTAATGGATCCACTTCCAAGCTGACTCATGTGGTTGTTGGCAGGTTTCAGTTGCTTGAGGGTTGCTGGACTGAAGGCCTCACTTTCTTGCTATAGAGGCCTCTCCATAGGGCAGCTCACACTGTGGCAGCTGGCTTCATCAGAGGGAGCAAAGAAGAGGGCAAGAGATAGTGACAGAGAGAGAGAACTAGCACATCAGAAGTCACAATCTTTTGGAGCCTAATCATAGAAGTGACATCCTACATCCTATCACTTTTGCCATATTCTGTTCATTAGAAGCTGGTCACTAGGTTCAGCCCACACTCAAGTGCAGGGATTTCCACATGGGTGTAAATATCAGAAGGCAGAAATCATTGGGGCCATGTCAGAAGCTGCCTATCACAGGACTCTTCTTGGCTCTGCTTTTAAAGAACTTGATTCACTGTGTCTTTATTCTTTTTTTTTTTTTTTGAAACGGACTCTTGCTCTGTCACTGAGGCTGGAGTGCAGTGGCGAAATCTTGGCTTACTGCAAGCTCCACCTCCCAGGTTCATGCCATTCTCCTGCCTCAGCCTCCCAAGTAGCTGGGACTACAGGCATCTGTCACCATGCCTGGCTAATTTTTTTGTATTTTTAGTAGAGACGGGGTTTCACCATGCTAGCCAGGATGGTCTTAATCTCCTGACCTCGTGATCCACCTGCCTCGGCCTCCCAAAGTGCTGGGATTACAGGCGTGAGCCACTGCGCCTGGCCTTTATTCTTTTAAGAGTAGGTAGATAATACATATACTGATGAACTGGAGACAATACATTTTTTTTTTTTTTGAGACGGAGTCTCGCTCTGTCGCCCAGGCTGGAGTGCAGTGGCACGATCTCGGCTCACTGCAAGCTCCGCCTCCCAGGTTCACGCCATTCTCCTGCCTCAGCCTCCTAAGTAGCTGGGACTACAGGCGCCCACCACCATGCTTGGCTAATTTTTTTTATATTTAGTAGAGACGGGGTTTCACCGTGTTAGCCAGGGTGGTCTCGATCTCCTGACCTTGTGATCCACCTGCCTCGGCCTCCCAAAGTGCTGGGATTACAGGCATGAGCCACCATGTCCGGCTGAGACAATACATTTTTAAAGATATATTTTTTGGATATTGGTTTGTGTGTTTATGTGTGTATATATATTTATATATATATATATATATTTTTTTTTTTAAAGAAATGGGGTCTCATTATGTTGCCTAGGCTGGCCTCGAAATCCTGGGCTCAAGAAATCCTGCCAGCTTAGCCTCCCAAGTAGCTGGGACTACAGGTGTGTGCCACTATAGCTGGCTTAATATATTTTTAATATTTATCTATGTATGTAAATTTATAGAAACATAAGTATTTATTTTTTATTTGTTTCACTCTGTTATCCAGGCTGGAGTGCAGTGCTGCAATCCTAGCTCACTATAGCCTCAAATTCCTGGGCTCAAGGGATCCTCCCACCTCAACCTCCCAAGTAGTTAGGACTACAGGCATGTGCCACCACACCTGGCTCATTGAAAAAAAAATTTTGTATAGATGGGATCTCTCTATGTTACCCAGTTTGATCTTAAACTCCTGGCCTCAAACGATCCTCCCAACTCAGCCTTCAAAGTCACTGGGATTACAGGTGTGAGCCACTGTGCCTGGCTCTTAAATTTATAATTTAGAACATATATTTAAAAATTAATGGAGGCCCTGCTGGTTAGGCATGTTGATACTGGAAGCATGAGATTCAGGAACTTTAAAAATTAATGGAAACCACTAAATGAGGAGAAATACCATCTATAACTTCAGAACCAGCAAAGGAAAAAATAAAATGTGTAATGGGGCAATTTCAAAAACTTTATCCATCTAACATATAATGGGAAAAGATGAGGGGGAACGGGGTAGTAAACAGCAAACATAAGATGGTAGAAATAAGTTCCAATACATAAGTAATCAAAATAAATATAAATGATTACATGCCTGTTGAAAACAGAGGTTATCAGATTGGATTTGTTGTTGTTGTTGTTAATTCAACTACAGACCTGTGACAGGAAACACGCTTAGAATAAAACCACAAAGAAAGGTTGAAAATAGAGGGATGGAAAAAGATACACCAAGCAAATATGAACCAAAAGAGAGTTGGACCACATAAACAACTGCCTAGTAGACCTTTCCATTTTTATGTGCTTTGACACCTCAAACTCAGTGTGCCCACAGAGAACTCATCATGTCACAGAGAGGAATGTCAGTGAACAAGTGCGGACCAAAGCCAGACTGGAGTAGGATAAGAGAGAGAAGGATATATGGCTAGGCACAGTGGCTCATGCCTATAATCCCAGTACTTTGGGAGGCCGAGGTAGGAAGATTGCTTGAGCCCAGGAATTTGAGATCAACCTGGGCAACATAGTGAAACCCCATCTCTGCAAAAAATACAAAAATTAACCAGGCACTGTGGCACATGCCTGTAGTCCCAGCTACTCAGGAGGCTGAGGTGAGAAGATCACTTGAGCCCTGGGAGGTGGAGGTTTCAGTGACCCATGATCTTGCCACTGCATTCCAGCCTGGGTGACAGAGTGAGACCCTATCTCAGAGAGAGAGAGACAGAGAGAGAGAGAGAGAGAGAGAAGTGTGGAGTCCATGAGGGAGGATGACTCTATTTAAGGTACTGACGTCCAGGAGAAGAGAACATGAATAGTGCTAAAGAAAGAGGTTTCCTCTCCCTCTCCCTCTCCCTCTCCCTCTCCCTCTCCCTCTCCCTCTCGGTCTCCCTCTCCCTCTCCCTCTCGGTCTCCCTCTCCCTCTCCCTCTCGGTCTCCCTCTCCCTCTCGGTCTCCCTCTCCCTCTCAGTCTCCCTCTCCCTCTCGGTCTCCCTCTCTTTCCACGGTCTCCCTCTCATGTCGAGCCGAAGCTGGACTGTGCTGCTGCCATCTCGGCTCACTGCAACCTCCCTGCCTGATTCTCCTGCCTCAGCCTGCCCAGTGCCTGCGATTGCAGGCGCGCGCCGCCACGCCTGACTGGTTTTCGTATTTTTTTGGTGGAGACGGGGTTTCGCTGTGTTGGCCGGGCTGGTCTCCAGCTCCTAACCGCGAGTGATCCGTCAGCCTCGGCCTCCCGAGGTGCCGGGATTGCAGATGGAGTCTCGTTAACTCAGTGCTCAATGGTGCCCAGGCTGGAGTGCAGTGGCGTGATCTCGGCTCGCTACAACCTCCACCTCCCAGCCGCCTGCCTTGGCCCCCCAAAGTGCCGAGATTCCAGCCTCTGCCCGGCCGCCACCCCGTCTGGGAAGTGAGGAGCGTCTCTGCCTGGCCGCCCATCGTCTGGGATGTGAGGAGCCTCTCCGCCTGGCTGCCCAGTCTGGAAAGTGAGGAGCGTCTCTGCCCGGCCGCCTTCCCACCTAGGAAGTGAGGAGTGCCTCTTCCCGGCCGCCATCCCATCTAGGAAGTGAGGAGCGTCTCTGCCCGGCCGCCCATTGTCTGAGATGGGGGGAGCGCCTCTTCCCCGCCGCCCTGTCTGGGATGTGAGGAGCGCCTCGGCCCGGCCACGACCCCGTCTGGGAGGTGAGGAGCGTCTCTGTCCGGCCGCCCCGTCTGAGAATTGAGGAGACCCTCCGCCTGGCAACCGCCCCGTCTGAGAAGTGAGGAGCCCCTCCGCCCGGCAGCCGCCCAGTCTGAGAAGTGAGGAGCCTCTCCGCCCGGCAGCCACCCCGTCTGGGAAGTGAGGAGCGTCTCCGCCCGGCAGCCACCCCGTCCGGGAGGGAGGTGGGGGGGTCAGCCCCCCGCCCGGCCAGCCGTCCCGTCCGGGAGGGAGGTGGGGGGTCAGCCCCCCGCCCGGCCAGCCGTCCCGTCCGGGAGGGAGGTGGGGGGTCAGCCCCCCGCCCGGCCAGCCGCCCTGTCCGGGAGGTGAGGGGCGCCTCTGCCCGGCCGCCCCTACTGGGAAGTGAGGAGCCCCTCTGCCCGGCCAGCCGCCCCATCCGGGAGGGAGGTGGCCGGGAAGGAGGTGGGGGGGTCAGCCCCCCGCCCGGCCAGCCGCCCCGTCCGGGAGGGAGGTGTGGGGGTCAGCCCCCCGCCCGGCCAGCCGCCCCGTCCGGGAGGGAGGTGGGGGAGTCAGCCCCCCGCCCGGCCAGCCGCCCCGTCCGGGAGGTGAGGGGCGCCTCTGCCCGGCCGCCCCTACTGGGAAGTGAGGAGCCCCTCTGCCCGGCCACCACCCCGTCTGGGAGGTGTACCCAACAGCTCATTGAGAACGGGCCATGATGACAATGGCGGTTTTGTGGAATAGAAAAGGGGGAAAGGTGGGGAAAAGATTGAGAAATCGGATGGTTGCTGTGTCTGTGTAGAAAGAAGTAGACATGGGAGACTTTTCATTTTGTTCTGTACTAAGAAAAATTCTTCTGCCTTGGGATCCTGTTGATCTGTGACCTTACCCCCCAACCCTGTGCTCTCTGAAACATGTGCTGTGTCCACTCAGGGTTAAATGGATTAAGGGCGGTGCAAGATGTGCTTTGTTAAACAGATGCTTGAAGGCAGCATGCTCCTTAAGAGTCATCACCACTCCCTAATCTCAAGTACCCAGGGACACAAATACTCTGCCTAGGAAAACCAGAAAAAAAAAAAAAAAAAAAGAGGTTTTAGTACAGCTTTGGGTATACTGGAAGCAGTTTTATTTGCAGAAGGTAAAAGGCTGTGCAATAGACTGAATGTTTGTGTCTCCCCAAACATGTTGATATCCTAACCCCTAATGTGATAGTATTAGAAGGTGGGACCTTTGGGAGGTGATTAAGTCATGACAGTGGAGCCCTCATGAATGGGATTGGTGCCCTTATGAAAGGGACCCCAGGCTGGGCGCAGTGGCACACGCCTGTAATCCCAGCACTGTGGGAGGCCGAAGCAGGTGGATCACCTGAGGCCAGAAGTTCAAGACCAGCCTGGCCAACATGGCGAAACCCTGTCTCTACTAAAAATACAAAAATTAGCTGGGCATAGTGGTGTTTGCCTGTAATCCCAGCTACTCAGGAGGCTGAGGCAGGAGAATCGCTTGAACCCAGGAGGCGGAGGTTGCAGTGAATGGAGATGGTGCCACTGCAGTCCAGCCTGGACGACAGAGTGAGACTCTGTCTCAGAAAAATATAAATACATAAATAAATAAATAAAAGGGACCCCAGAGAGTTCTTTCCACAATGTGAGGATACAATGAAAATTTAGCTGTCAGCAACCCTAAACAGCATCCCTACCAGAACCTGACCATGCTGGAACCGTAATGTCAGACTTCCAACCAGAACTGTTAAGAGAGAAATTTCTGTTGTTTATAAGCCACCCAGTCTATGGCACTTTGTTATACCAGTCAGAACTGACTAAGACAGAAATTGGTACTGAGAAGTGAGGGGTGCTATGTAACGAATACCTAAAAATGTGGAAGTGGCCTTGTAATTGTAATGACTAGAGGCTGGAAGAGTGCCATGGTTTGAATGTTCCCTCCAAAACTCATGTTGACCTTTAATTGCCATTGTAACAGTATTGAGAGGTGGGGTCTTTAAGAAGACATTAGGTCATGGGGCTGTCACCTTCATGAATGGACTAATGCTGTTATTGTGGGAGTGGCTTTGTTATAAAAGTGAGCTGTCTCTCGCATGCACCCTCTTGCCATTCTGTCTACCCATGATGGGATGATGCAGCATGAAGGCCTCATCTGATGCTAGCACCATGCTCTTAGACTTCCCAGCCTCCAGAACTGTGAGCTTGTTAAGCTTCTTTTTAAAATTATTTTTATTTTTTATTTTTTTGAGACAGAATCTCACTCTGTCACCCAGGCTGGAGTGCAGTGGCACGATCTCTGCTCACTGCAACCTCTGCCTCCCAGGTTCAAGCAATACTCCTGCCTCAGCCTCCCGACTAGCTGGGATTACACGCATTCATCACCAGGCCCAGCTAATTTTTGTATTTTTAGTAGAGATGGTGTTTCACCATGTTAGTCAGGCTGGTCTCAAACTCCTGACCTCAAGTGATCCACCCACCTTGGCCTCCCAAAGTGCTGGGATTATAGGTGTGAGCCACTGCACCTGGCTGAGCTTCTTTTCTTTATAAATTACCTGGTCTGTGGTATTCTGTTATAGCAACAGAAAACAGACTAAGACATAAATTTGGGTGCATGCGCTAGAAAAATCCTATATTGCCACCAGGTGCGGTGGCTCACACCTGTAATCCCAGCACTTTGGGAGGCCGAGGTGGATGGATTATGAGGTCAGGAGTTTGAGACCAACTTGACCACCACGGTGAAACCCCATCTCCACTAAAAATACAAAAAAAAAAAAAAAAATTAGCCGGGCGTGGTGGCGCACACCTGTAATCTCAGCTACTCAGGAGGCTGAGGCAGGAGAATTGCTTGAACCAGGGAGGTGGAGGTTGCAGTGAGCCAAGATTGCGCCACTGCACTCCAGCCTGGGCAACAGAGCAAGACTCCATCTAAAAAAAAGAAAAAGGAAAAAAAGAAAAATCCTATATTGCCATTGAATGGACCTTTAAAGGTGATTCTGATGAGCAGTCAGAAAGAAATGAGGAGAGCTGTAGAGAAAGCTTCTGCTTTCTTAAAGAATACATAAGTAATCATGAACAGATTGGTGGTAGAAATATGGGTGGTTAAAGGCTGTTCTGATGTGGTCTCAGGTAGAAATGAGGAACGTGTTATTGGACAGTGGAGAAAAGGTGATCCTTGTTATAAAGTAGCAAAGAACCTGGCTGAATTGTGTTTACGTTTTAGTGTTTTGTAGAGGGTAGGACTTGTGAACAGTGAAATGGAGATTTAGCTGAGGAGATCTCTAAGCAAAGTGTTGAAAGGAGAGGCTTGGTTCCTCCTGACTGCTTATAGTCAAATTTGAGAAGAGAGATATGAATTGAAAACAGAATTGTTATGCAAAAAGGAACCAGAACTTAAACTTACCCAAGCTATGAGGGTGACATTGCTCCCTCAGTGGGTCTGGAAAATTCTCAGCCTGTCCCTGTCCATATTACAAAACATGACAAAGCATGTTTGGAAGAGAACACTAAGGATCTGCTGGACTATTTGACAAGGAGATTACTGTGAATGTGAACTGTGGACTTCATTAACCATCTCAACAAAACAGCAATAGCGATGGGATTGTACTGGAAATGGCACTGCTGACTGGGACTAAAGGAAACAGAGAAAATGGGACAAAATGGCTGGGCACAGTGGCTCATGCCTGTAATCCCAACACTTTGGGATGCTGAGGCGGGTGGATCACCTGAGATCAGGAGTTCAAGACCAGCCTCACCAACATGGTGAAACCCTGTCTCTACTGAAAATACAAAAATTAGCCGGGTGCGGTGGTGCACGCCTGTAATCCCAGCTACTTGGGAGGCTGAGGCAGGAGAATCACTTGAACCCAGGAGGCGGAGGTTGCAGTGAGCTGAGATTGCACCACTGCACTCCAGCCTGGGTGCTGGGCAACAGAGGGAGACTCTGTCTCAAAAAAAAAAAAGAAAAAGAAAAAAAGAAAATGGGACAAAATGAAGGAAGATGATTAAACTTCTTAGATCCTATAGGACCAAACCATAGAACTATTCGGCTGTGAACACACACTGTTCTTCAAGATAAGGGAAGAAGAACCCTGAAGGTGATTCAGAGACCGTCCAGGTCACCAGTCCCATCAGAGGCCCAGAGTACATGGGCTTAGGGCATAGGACTACCTGCACCTCCATTTCTTTTTTTTTTTTTTTTTTGAGACAGAGTCTCGCTCTGTCATCCAGGCTGGAGTGCAGTGGCACAATCTTGGCTCACTGCAAACTCCGCCTCCCAGGTTCATGCCATTCTCCCACCTCAGCCTCCCAAGTAGCTGGGACTACAGGCGCCCACCACCACGCCCAGCTAATTTTTTGTATTTTTAGTAGAGACGGGGTTTCACCCTGTTAGCCAGGATGGTCTCGATCTCCTGACCTTGTGACTGGCCTGTCCTGGCCTCCCAAAGTGCTGGGATTACAGGTGTGAGCCACCACTCCCAGCCTCCACCTCCATTTCAAAGGGTGAGACCAATGCCCAGTAGAGCGGTGGGGATGGAGGCTCCCAGCAGAGCCCTGAGGCTACAACTCCTGCCCTGACAACCACAGCATGAGCAGTGAGTGCTGCCAAACTGTTGTTACCGGGCCGGGGGGTGGGGGTCCTTGCTTCCAGAGCTCCCAAGATGGTGGTGGGCTGCTTCCAAGATGGTGGCAAGCCTCGGGTTCTCTGACCTGGGGTTCTTGGCCTCACGGATTCCAAGGAATGGAGTCTTGGGCCATGCGTGAGTGTTATAGCTCTATTAAAAGCCGTGGGTCACGGAAGAGAACCGTGGAACCCAGTGACTAGTGTTCAGCTCGATTAGGACAAACACAGGCACTTAGCCATGCAGGAACAATGGCAAGCCTTTAGCCCGATCGGGAGCAGCAGTGGACGGCTTGCTGGATCAGGAGCACAGCGGACACCCTGCCGGATCTGGAGGGATGGAAGTCAATGGCGGGTCTGCGACGGCGGCAAACAGCAGTGGTGGACTGCAAGTGAAAGCTCAGCTCGAGCCGTAACAAACACGGACCAGAAGAGAGTGCAGCTGCAAGATTTAATAGAGTGAAAACAGAGCTCCCATACAAAGGGAGGAGACCCAAAGAGGGTAGCCGTTGCGGGCTCGAATGCCTGGGTTTATATCCCTATCATTGTCCCTCCCGCTGTGCTCTCAGGTGATAGATGATTAGCTATTTCTTTACCTCCTGTTTTTGCCTAATTAGCATTTTAGTGAGCTCTCTTTACTCCCTGATTGGTCGGGTGTGAGCTAAGTTGCAAGCCCCGTGTTTAAAGGTGGATTGCGGTCACCTTCCCACCTAGGCTTAGGGATTCTTAGTCAGCCTAGGAAATCCAGCTAGTCCTGTCTCTCACTGTGAGGGTGACATTGCCCCCTCAGTGGGTCTGGCATGAGGGACTGACACCCCAGTAGGTCTGGAGGCAAAGCTTCAAGCCAAAGAGGATTACCTGAGTCTCAAGATCTCACAGAACTTCCCTTGCTAGGTTTTGGACTTGCTTGGGACTTGTCACCCCGTCCTCCTTCCCTGTTTCTCCCTTTTGGAATGGGAATGTTTATAGACCCTCTTTGTGTCCCATCATTGTATTTTGGAAGCAAATACTTTGGTTTCTTTTAAGCAGCTGAAGAGGAATTTTGCTTCAGGGTGAGTTTCACCCATACCTGATTTAGATGATCTTTAGATGAGACTTTTGGCTTTAGACTTTAGAGTTCATACTGGAATGAGTTAAGATTTGGGGGGATGTTTGGATGGAATTGAATGTAGTTTGCATGTGAGAAGCACATGAATTGTCGGGGGCAGGCAGGTGTTGGAAGGCAATGGACTGAATGTTTGTGTTTTCCTGTCTTAGTCCAGTTTCTGTTGCTTATAACAGAATACCTGAAACTGGGTAATTTTAAAGGAAATGAATTTCTTTCTTACAGTTGTGGGGGCTGAGAAGTCTAAGGTCAAGGGGCTGCATCTGGTGGGGGACTTTTTGCTGGTGAGGACTCTGAAGAGTCCTGAGACAGTGCAGGGTATCACTTGGCAAGGGGCTGAGCGTGCTAGCTCAGATCCCTCCTCCTCCCTCCTGTTCCTCTTCTTCCTTTCTTTCTTTTTTTTTTTTTTTTGAGACAGAGTCTTGCTTTGTTGCCCAGGCTGGAGTGCAGTGGTGTGATCTCAGTTCACTGCAGCCTCCACCTCCTGGGTTCAAGAGATTCTCCTGCCTCAGCCACCCGAGTAGCTGGGATTACAGGCATGTGGCACCATGCCTGGCTAATTTTTGTATTTTTAGTAGAGATGGGGGTTTTGCCATGTTGCCCAGGCTGGTCTCGAACTCCCGACCTCAAGTGATCTGCCCACCTCAGCCTCCCAAGGTGCTGGGATTATAGGCATGAGCTACTGTGCCTGGCCTTAAAATACTTTCTAAAATGCTTAGATATTAGAGCTGCAAGGGCCCCTAGAGATCATCTGTGTCAGGGAGGACAAACCCTTTCTCTCACATCTTTATTCCTCACAACCCATGCTCAGGGCAGACATTGATATTTTGACTCAACCTGAAGATTTTTCTCATCCCTCACTTGGGACAGCTATTAAGCAGCCACCAGAGTTAGCACCTGGGGTTAGATTGTTTTAAAATATAACCAAGAATCTTTAAAAATTGAGGTATGGTGAGCCCAGCAGATCACAAGGCAACTGCCATTGAAAAGATAGTTTGTTACTCACAGTTCTCAAGAGGAGGGGGCTTGCCAAGCCATGGCCATGCAAGGGCCACATGGGAGGCACCAGGGTCAGTCAGGAGTCAGGAGTGAGGAGAAAGCATGGGCCCAGAGCCTTTATTGTAGGTTTTATGGGAAGGAATGGATGAGACAGGATTGGCAAGCTGAGAAACCTTAGGACTGGATAGTTTGAATGATTTTGGTGGGCTACAGGGTGGCCCCTAGTTGTTCAGTACCTGGCCCTGGAGGGGGAATATTGGCTGGTGTGTGAGAGTTAGAAAAAGGAGGTGGTTTGGGTATGGTCTCATGATTGTTGGTTTGCATATCAAAAGCATGCTCAGAGTCAAGTTCTGTAGGAATTAGTTAGCCCTGGGAGGGACAGTCTCTCCAAGATTAGCAAGGCCCCAAGATGTCAAAGCATCATGAAATACAGAAAATTAAAAAACACGATTAATGTGCATATCCATCCCCAGCCCTGATAACTGTAACACCTTCATAACAAAAGTGGAAACCTGGGCCGGGCGTGGTAGCTCACGCCTGTAATCCCAGCACTTTGGGAGTCCCAGGCAGGCTGATCACCTTAGGTCAGGAGTTCGAGACCATCCTGGCCAACATGGTGAAACCCCATCTCTACTAAAAAAAAAAAAAAAATTAGCTGGGCCTGGTGGTGCATGCCTGTAATTCCAGCTACTCAGGAGGCTGAGGCAGGAGAATCGTTTGAACCCAGGAGGCAGAGATTGCAGTGAGCCGAGATCACGCCATTGCACTCCAGCCTGGATGACAGAGCAAGACTCTTATCTCAAAAAACAAAACAAAACCAAGTGGAAGCCTGAAACAGATGAATAAAGTGATTTGTACAAAGTGAGGCAGCCAGTTAGTGTCAGAGACCTCTAAGTGTCTCAACTCAGTCCATCTCTTTGTCACTTTTTCCATAGCAAGCTAGCTCCTTCTCCTGCTCCATCTCACTAATTGCTAGTAGATCAATTTTCTTAGGTTGGTATGTCATTCTGTGCATAATGCACAGAAATCGCCTTGCAAAAGCCAAAGTAGCTTTGATGTGACTTCTAAAACGAAACTGCTGCTGCTCAGTGGAGAATGATCTTAAAAGGCTGCCAAGGCATGCCCTTCATGTCAGAAATGTCTACCATTGCTTTTCATGCATGTCTCTGCCACTGTGCAAACTATATCTTTTGTTCTAATCAAATAATTTAATAATAAATATTGCAGAAACTGTTTTAAATCTCTTATACTAATTATATTAATTGACCTAATTTTCACAGCAACCCTATGAGTACGGGTTTATCTCCATCTTGTTTTATTTAATTTGGAGACAGAGTCTCACTCTCTCGCCCAGGCTGGAGTGCAATGGCACGATCTCCACTCACTGCAGCCTCCTCCTCCTGGGCCCAAGCGATCTTCCCACCTCAGTCCCCCAAGTAGCTGAGACTACAGGTGTGCACCACCACACTCAGCTAATTTTTGTATTTTTTGTAGAGACGGGATTTTGCCGTGTTGCCCAGGCTGGTCTTGAACTCCTGACCTCAAGCAATCCACCCACCTCTGCCTCTCAGAGTGCTGGGATTACAGGCATGAGCCACCACGCCCAGCTCATATACCCATTTTAAAGATGAGGAAAGTGCAGCACAGAGACATTCAGTAACTGGCACAGCTAATAAGTGGCAGAACTGGAATTCAAATCCAAGCTAACTCCAGAGTCCCCCTCTTTACCACCACACACTGCCAACAGAAATGTTGTTCTGACTGCAAAGAAATTGCTCACTTTTTAATTTAAGAAAAAAGGATGATCAAGAGAATGAGATGATAGCCAGGTGTGGTAGTGTGCACCTGTAATCCCAGCTACTTGGAGGTTGAGGCAGGAGAATTGCTTGAACCCAGGAGGCAGAGGTTGCAGTGAGCCGAGATTGCACCACTGCACTCCAGCCTGGGTGACAGAGTGAGACTCCGTTCCCCCCTCCCCACAAACGTGAATGAAATGACAAGCCACAATATTTGCAAAAGAGGTGTCTGATAAATGACTATTATCCAAAATTGCAAAGAGCTCTTAAAACTCAACGGTAAGAAAATGAACAACCTGATTAAAAAATGGGCAAAAGACCTGAATAGACACCTCACCAAAGAAGGTGGACAGATGGCAAATAAGCATATGAAGATGCCCAACATCATATGTCATTAGAGACTTGCAAATTAAAACAACAGTTAGGCTGGGCGCAGTGGCTCATGCCTGTCATCCCAGCACTTTGGGAGACCAAGGCGGGCGGATCACCTGAGGTCAGGAGTTCAAGACCAGCCTGACCAACATGGAGAAACCCCGTCTCTACTAAAAATACAAAATTAGCTGGGCGTGGTGGCACATGCCTGTAATCCCAGCTACTAGGGAGGCTGAGGCAGGAGAATTGCTTGAACCTGGGAGGCGGAAGTTGCGGTGAGTCAAGATCGCGCCATTGCACTCCAGCCTGGGCAACGAGAGTGAAACCCTGTCTCAAAATTAAAAAAATAAAAAATAAAATAAAACAACAGTGAGATGCCACTACACACCTATTAGAATGGTGAAAACAACACACTGACAACACCAAATGCTGTCGAGGATGTGGAGCAACAGAAACTCTCATTCATGAGAATGCAAAATGGCACAGCCACTTTGGAAGACAGTTTGGCGGCTTCTTACAAAACTAAACATACTCTTACTATACCATCCAGTAATTGCATTCCTTGATATTTACCCAAATGACTTGAAAACTTATGTCCCCACGTAAATCTACACACAGGAATGTTTATAGCAGCTTTATTCATAATTGCAAAAACATGGAAGCAACCAAAATGTCCTTTGGTAGGTGAGTGGATAAATAAACTGGTACATCCAGATAGTGGAATATTATGCAGTGAGAAAAAGAACTGAGCTACCAAGCCATAAAAAGACATGGAAGAGGCCAGGCGCGGTGGCTCATGCCTGTAATCCTAGCACTTTGGGAAGCGGAGGCAGGTGGATCACTTGAGGTC
Organism: Homo sapiens; assembly: GCF_000001405.40. Classification (NCBI taxonomy): domain Eukaryota; kingdom Metazoa; phylum Chordata; class Mammalia; order Primates; family Hominidae; genus Homo; species Homo sapiens. The sequence goes on along the minus strand of NC_000023.11, from coordinate 48,650,166 downwards.
AGGAGTTTGAGACCAGCCTGGCCAACATGGTGAAACCCCATCTCTACTAAAAATGAGCTGGGCGTGGTGGCACACGCCTGTAATCCCAGCTACTCAGGAAGCTGAGGCAGGAGAATCACTTGAACCCGGGAGGCGGAGGTTGCAGAGAGCCGAGATCGCGCCACTGCACTCCAGCCTGGGTGACAGAGCGAGACTCTGTCTCAGAAAAAAAAAAAAAAATGGAGGAAACTTAAATGCATATTACTAAGTGATAGGTTTGGCTGTGTCCCCACCCAAATCTCATCTTGAATTATAGCTCCCATAATTCCCACGCGTTGTGGGAGAGACCCAGTGGGAGATAACTGAATCATGGGGGGCAGTTTCCCTCATATTGTTCTCATGGTAGTGAATAAGTCTCACAAAATCTGATGGTTTCATAAGGGGAAAACCCTTTTGCTTGGTCCACATTCTCTTTTATCTGCCACCATGTAAAACATGCCTTTTACCTTCCACCATTATTGTGAGGCCTCCCCAGCCACGTGGAACTGTGACTCCGTTAAACCTCTTTATAAATTACCCAGTCTTGGGTATGTCTTTATAAGCAGCATGAGAACAGACTGATATACTAAGTGAAAGAAGCCAATCTGAAAAGGCTACATACTGTATGATTCCAACTATATGACATTCCGGAAAAGGCAAAACTAAGGAGGCAGTAAAAAGATTAGTGGTTTACAGGAGTTGAGGGGAAGGAGAGATGAATAAGTGGAGCACAGAGGATTTTTAGGGCAGTGAAACTACTCTGCATGATACTGCAATGATGGATATGTGTCCTTGTATCTTTGTCAAAACCCATAAAATATACAACACGAGTGAGTCATAATGTAAACTATGGACTTTGGGTGATGATGATGCGTCAATTGCAGGTTCATCAATTGCAACAACTGTACAGCTCTGGTTAGGGGTGGTGATAGTGACAGAGGTTGTGGGTGTGTAGGGGCAGGAGTTATCTGGGAAATTTCTGCACTTTCTGCTCAATTTTGCCATGAACCTAAAACTGCTCTAAAAAATAAAGTCTTAAAAAAAGATGAAATTTTAAAACAATGATTCCAAAGTCATTTTGGGCATGTTGGCATCCTGAGATTATAAACAAGATTATGATTATAAACGAGGTCATGGTTATGATCAGAGGAAACTATGTGCTTTGTAGCAAACTGTTTCCTTGAAAAATTTCTGAACTGTACATTTGTAAGCATCAAGCTGAATGGATACAGTATGAAAACACTGTCCACCAGCTCTTTCCAAATGTAGAGCAGTTAATGGGTAAAAAGGAAGCCACTACTCTTTGTCTTCATCCATTTCCGAGAGAGAAGAGCAATACTTAAATTGTCTTTGATGCTATTTGTTTGACACCATTAATTCTTGTCATGCAATGTTTTTCTCTTTCATTTCTCAGCATGGGAAAAAAGGTGGAACAAAGAGAACCCCAGGCCTGGCCCTGTGAGTCTTCTTGGCCTTCTGTTAAATCACTGGCTTTCTAATTGGGCGACAGCTGGGGAGGATCCCTGCTGCTCCCCAGGGTTTCCTGAGGCCGCACGCAGCCTTTCCCCCCAACCTTGTAAGGGAGAGGAAATGGCATGGATCTGTCCAAGCTCTCTAACCAGAAACTGCATCTGTTAGCTCATGTCAGAGTGACCTAAAAGTTGCCTCTTGGCAACGCTTGGGCGATAGAAGAGACTCCTGCTGCCACCCTCAGGGTAAAATGAATAACTGAATTAGATACTTGAAATCAGAAGGGAAAACATATCGGGATCTTGTTGACAATTCATCCCTTCTATCCATTCCTTTATTTTATTTTTATTTTTAATCTTTTTATTTATTAATTTTGTACTTGGTTTAGCTCATGATTTCATTATTTTATTTTTTGGGGGACAGGCTTTCATTCTGTCACCCAGGCTGGAGTGCAGTGGCATGATCTCAGCTCACTGCAGCCTCGACCTCCTTGGCTCAGGCAATCCTCCCACCTCAGCCTCCTAAGTAGCTGGGACCACAGGCATGAGCCACCACGCCCAGATAATTTTTTTTATTTTTGGTAGTGACGAGGTCTCCCTATGTTGCCCAGCGTGGTCTTGAACTCCTGGAATCAGGCGATCCTTCCACTTCAGCCTCCCAAGTAGCTGAGACTACAGGTGTGAGCCACCACATGTGGCTAATTTTTGTATTTTTAGTAGAGACGGAATCTCACAATGTTGCCCAGGCTACATCTTGAACCCCTGGGCTCAAGCAATTCGCCTGCCCCGGCCTCCCAAAGTGCTGGGATTACAGGCATGAGCCACCATGCCTGGCCTCTATCAATTCCTTTACTAACAATTGACGTACGTTTGGAATCTTCCCTATAGAAATAGCATGCATTGTAGGCACTTCATCAGCCACCAACTTCTACTGCCTTCACTTGGTTGTAGTTCCCAATGATTCCAAAGACATGAGAGATTGTTTTTCAAAAAATATGTATTAAATACCTGTTGCACATGGCAGCTTGCCAGGTAATGTGTAAGGATAATGAAACCTGCCTGGCCTCTCCTCTCCAGAAATGTATCATTGCAGAGGGGCACAGGGATGAAAAGACATCTATTTGGCCAAACCCAATGTGTATTAGTGTTAAATAAAAACACTCAAAAACATTTTAAAAAGAAGAGCACAGGTGCAAGAAAAAGCAGAGTCAGAATGAACCAATACAGAGGTGGAAAGCTACTTCCCTTTAACATATTCCAGCCACAGACGCATACATTTTGGGAACAGGGTTAAGAAAGGGTAGAAAGCAAAAGAATGGGGCCAGGTGAGGTGGCTCACACCTGTAATCCTAGCACTTTGGGAAAAACAGTGTGAAACCCCGTCTCTACTAAAAATACAAAAATTGGCCGGGCGCAGAGGCTCACATCTGTAATCCCAGCACTTCGGGAGGCCGAGGTGGGTGGATCACCTGAGGTCAGGAGTTCAAGACCAGCCTGGCCAACATGGTAAAACCCCGTCTCTACTAAAAATACAAAAATTAGCCAGGCACGGTGGTGGGTGCCTGTAATCCCAGCTACTTGGGAGGCTGAGGCAGGAGAATTGCTTGAACCTGGGAGGCAGAGGTTGCAGTGAGCCAAGATCGCACCACTGCACTCCAGCCTGGACAACAAAGCAAGACTCGGTCTCAGAAAATAAATAAATAAATAAATAAATATACAAAAATCAGCCAGTCGTGGTGGCACACGCCTGTAATCTCAGCTACTCAGGAGGCTGAGGCAGGAGAATTGCTTGAACCTGGGAGGCAGAGGTTGCAGTGAGCCAAGATCACACCACTGCACTCCAGCCTGGGTGACAGAACCAGACTCCTCAACTCTAAAAAAAATAATATAATAATAATAATAATAATAATAATAAAGAAAGCAAAGAATAGGGCCTCTAGAGAACAAAATTTTGGCAGAAGTGGTTGGGATTAAATCCTATGTGGTTAAACAAAGCCCCATTAGCCAAGGGTCTAAGCTTTTCTACATTGTATTCTTTCTGTCATCATCATCATCACTTTTTTTTTCTTGAGACGGAGTCTCACTCTGTTGCCCAGGCTGGAGTGCAGTGGTGCGATCTCGGCTCACTGCAACCTCTGCCTCCCAGGTTCAAGTGATTCTCCTGCCTCAGCCTTCCAAGTAGCTGGAATTACAGGCACATGCCACCATGCCTGGCTAATTTTTTGTATTTTTAGTAGAGACAGGGTTTCACCATGCTGGCCAGGCTGGTCTTGAACTCCTGACCTCAGGTGATCCACCCACCTCGGCCTCCCAAAGTGCTGGGGTTAGAGGCGCGAGCTACTGTGCCTGGCCTCATCATCACTTTTTAAACTGTTAAAGAACATCTACTTCCGGCAGTTACCACCTGGATAATATGTCCCTTTGGTCACCTCTGGTTCTAATTCCACTGTCCCCAGAATTCTTGTTCTTTTCTCTGTTTCTCTGTGTTTATAGGGCCAAGGGAGAAAGATGACAAGCTGACAAGCCCGGGCCACACAGCAGAAAATATAACAAAGTCAAACAGAGGACATCCACTTTCTTAGAAGTCCCCTTACCTCCCAGCAGCTGAAGATTCCTGCTGCCCACAGAACCCCCAGGCTTACCTCTCCCTCCCCATTTCTTCCTCACTCCATTCCTGAAAGATTGCCTCTGGCTGTCTGCTTCAGGCAATGCCCGGCGCAAGACCCAAGTTAGAATTCTTATCTTTTTTCATTTTGTTCTTTTAGAAGATCCTCCCTTCTGCAAAGGTTGCCACTTTTTTGAGACAATAGGGAGAATATTGGTGACGTCATTATAAATTATTAAGATATGATATTTATATTTTGAAATTGTAAGAAAATTAGGCAGGGCATGGTGGCTCATTGCCTATAATCCCAGCACTTTTGGAGGCCAAGTTGGGAGGATGGCTTGAGGCTAGGAGTTCGAGACCAGCCTGGCGAACATGGCGAAATCCTGTCTTTACGAAAAAAGAAAAAGAAAAAGAAAAATTAGCTGGGTGTGGTGGTGCATGTCTGTATTCCCAGCTACTTGGGAGCCTGAGATGGGAGGATAGCTGGAGGCCGGGAGGTCAAGGCTGTAGTGAGCTATGATCACACCACTGCACGCCAGCCTGGGTGACAGAGCAACACCCCGTCACTGAAAGAAAAGAAAAAATAAATTGTAAGAAAATTAATACATGATATGGATACTACCTCCCCCCCCAAAAAAAACCTAGCTGTAAACATATGTGTGTATGCATGGTGCATGGGAGAGGGGCAGAGTGTTGCCACCTTTCAATTTTGCCGAGTTAGGACATTAAACAAACTAACAAAGCCTCACTGTCTAACTATTTTATGAAATAACAAACATGATTTTATCGTTAAAAAGGAAAGCAGGGACACCCCATCCTCTACAGCTTCAGAGGAGAAAGAATGGATTTTTAACGTTCTCACCACACAAAAATGATAAATTGGTGAGGTATTGGGTGTGTTAATTAGCTTGACTCTCTATAATGTGTACATAAATCAAAACATCATGTTGTACTGCCTGAATAAACAAAATAATTATAAATTTTAAAAAAATCGTAGACTGGGCACAGTAGCTCATGCCTGTAGACCCAGCACTTTGGGTGGCTGACGCGGGAGGACTGCTTGTGCCCAAGAGGTCAGGGCTGCAGTGAGCTGTGATCACGCCACTGCCCTCCAGCCTGGATTACAGAGTGAGACCCAGTCTCAAAAATAATATATAATAATAAAAAGGGCCGGGCGCCGGTGGCTCATGCCTGTAATCCCGGCACTTTGGGAGGCCAAGACAGGCAGATCACCTGAGGTCAGGAGTTCGAGACCATCCTGGCCAATATGGTGAAACCCCGTCTCTACTAAAAATACAAAAATTAGCCTGCTGTGGTGGCACACACCTGTAATCCCACCTACTCAGGAGGTGGAGGCAAGAGAATTGCTTGAACCCAGGAGGCAGAGGTTGCAGTGAGCCGAGATGACACCACTGCACTCCAGCCTCGGCGACAGAGCGAGACTCTGTCTCAATAAGTAGGAGAAGGAGAAGGGGAGGAAGGGGAGCAAGGGGAGGAAGAAGAATGGCTGTGCAGATGTCAAGCAGGAGAGTGAGAAGGAAGGAGACTTCCAGCTTTCCAGCATCTGCTGAGGGGATAAGGAAATCAGCTTGGGATACTGGTAGACTTTGGCAGACCTTTGGAAGGAGTTGGGAATTTCTTCCCCGGGACAAACAAAAGATGTTTATGATGGTGTTAAGGCCCATCAGCACTTGTGCTCCATCACTTCTTGGTGTAAGAATTGGTGTGGCTGGCCGGGCGCAATATCCATTGAACAGCAACTCCCCATTTCCCCATCCTCTCAGCCCCTGGCAACCACCATCCTAGTGTTTTGTTTCTATGAGTTTGACTACTCTGGATACCCCATATAAGTGGAATCATGCCATAGTCATACAACAAGTGATGATGTTTCTGTCAATGACAGACCACATATATGACAGTTGTCCCATAAGATTATAATACAGTTGAAAAATTCCTATCATCTGGCCAGATTATAGGCTCACGCCTATAATCCCAGCACTTTGGGAGGCCAAGGTGGGTGGATGACTTGAGGTCAGGAGTTCAAAACCAGCCTGGCCAACATAGCGAAACCCCATCTCTACTAAAAATACAAAAATTACCCGACTGTGGTGGCACATGCCTTTAATCCCAGCTACTCAGGAGGCTGAGGCAGGGAGAATCGCTTGAACCCAGGAGGCAGAGGTTGCGGTGAGCCAAGATTGCACCACTGCACTCTAGCCTGGGCAACAGAGTGAGACTCTGTCTCAAAAAAAAAAAATTCCTATCATCTAACCATAGCACAACACATTACTCACGTGTTTGTGGTGATGCTGGTGTAAACCTTCTGTGCTGCCAGTCCTATAAAAGTACTGTAGCGAGGCACGGTGGCAGGCATCTGTAATCCCAGCAACTCAGGAGGCTGAGGTGGGAGGATCACTTGAGCCCAGGAGATTGAGGCTTCAGTGAGCTAGGATTGGGCCACTGCACTCCAGTCTGTCGATAGAGTGAGACCTTGTTTCCAATAAAATAATAAAATAAGAGTAGAATAGAATAGAATAAAATAAAATAAAAATACTGAATCACATATACAGTTATGTATAGTACATAATATTTGATGATAATAAACAACTGTTACTGGTTTATGTGTTTACTATGCCATAGTTTTAATCATTATTTTAGAGTGTACTCTTATGTACACAAAAAGGTTAACTGTAAAACACCCTTAGGCAGATCTTCAGAAAACATTCTAGAAGAAGGCATTGTTACAGGAGATGACAGCTCCATGCCTGTCATTGCTCCTGAAGACCTTCCAGTGGGAAAAGATACAGAGGTGGAAGACAGTGATGTTGATGATCCTGACCCTGTGTAGGCCTAGGCTAACGTGTGTGTTTGTCTCAGTTTTAACTAAAAAGTTCAAAATGTTAAAATATATATATAGTATATATATATTTATCTCTCTATAGCATATATATACTATATATATAGCATATCTCTATATAGCATATATATACTATATATAGCATATATATACTATATATAGCATATCTCTATATAGCATATATATACTATATATAGCATGCCTCTATATAGCATATATACTATATATAGCATACCTATATATAGCATATATATATACTAGATATATAGCTATATATATATATATATATATATAGAGAGAGAGAGAGAGAGAGAGAGAGAGAGAGAGAGTGAAGACAGGGTATCACTCTTTCACCCAGGCTGGAGTGCAGTGGTGCAATCTCAGCTCACTGTAGCCTCAATCTCCCCGGCTCAAGCAGTCCTCCCACCTCAGTCTCCCTAGTAGCTGGGACTACAGGTGTGCACCACCATGCCCAGCGAATTTTTTGTAGGGATGGGGTTTCACCATGTTGCCCAGGCTGGTCTCAAACTCCTGGGCTCAAGCAATATGTAAAATATTTTTAAAAATAGAAAAAACTTATACAATAAGGATATAAAGAAAGAAAATATTTTTGTACAACTATACAATGTCTTTAATTTTAGACCAAGTGTTATTACAAAAGAGTAAAAAAGTTTTTTAAAAACTAAAAAGTCCATAAAGTTACAGTAAACAAAGGTTAATTTATTATCGAAGAAAGAAAATTTTTTAAATTTCTTTTTCTCTCTTTTTTTAATTTTAATTTTTTGAATGGTACTGCTCCTTGAGAAGCAGGGCTAACTCATAGGTAGTGTGCCCAGAGTCAGCCAAGAAAAATATTTTAAATGAGCCGGGTGCAGTGGCTCACACCTGTAATCCCAGCGCTTTGGGAGGCCGAAGCGGACGGATCGCTTGAGGTCACGAGTTAGAGACCAGCCTGGCCAACATGGTGAAACCCCGTCTCTACTAAAAATACAAACATTAGCCAGACATGGTGTCGGGTGCCTGTAATCCCAGCTACTCAGGAGGCTGAGGCAGGAGAATCGCTTGAACCCTGGAGGCGAAGGTTGCAGTGAGCCCAGATCGTGCCACCTCACTCCAGCCTGGGAGACAGAGTGAGATTCTGTCTCAAAAAAAAAAAAAAAAAAAATAGGAAGAATTTTTTTTTTTTTGAAACGAAGTTTCACTCTTGTTGCCCAGGCTGGAGTGCAATGGTGTGATCTCAGCTCACCACAACCTCTGCCTCCTAGGTTCAAGCGACTCTCCTGCCTCAGCCTCCCAAGTAGTTGGGATTACAGGTATGTGTCACCTCACTCAGCTAATTTTGTATTTTTAGTAGAGACAGGGATTCTCCATGTTGGTCAGGCTGGTCTCGAACTCCTGACCTCAGGTGATCCGCCTGCCTCGGCCTCCCAAAGCGCTGGGATTACAGGCGTGAGCCACCTCACCTGGCCCAAAAAAGAAAAATATTTTAAATAAATGTAGTGTAGCCTAAGTGTACAGAATTTATAAAGTCCATGGTAGTGTACAGGAATGTCCTAGGCCTTCCCATTCACTCACCACTCACACACTGACTCACCCATAGCAACTTCCAGTCCTGCAAGCTCTACTCATGGTTAATGCCCTATGCAGGTGTCCCATTTTTATAGGTTCAGGTCTTAACATTTAAATCCATTTATTTAAAAATAAATGTAGGCCGGGCGCAGTGGCTCACGCCTGTAATCCCAGCACTTTCGGAGGCCGAGGTGGGAGGATTACCTAAGGTCGGTAGTTCGAGACCAGCCTGACCAACATGGAGAAACCCTGTCTCTACTAAAAATACAAAAAATTAGCCAGGCGTGGTGGCGCATGCCTGTAATCCCAGCTACTCGGGAGGCTGAGGCAGGAGAATCGCTTGAACCTGGGAGGCAGAGGTTGCAGTGAGCCGGGATCACGCCATTGCATTCCAGCCTAGGCGACAGAGTGAGAATCTGTCTCAAAAAAATAAATAAATAATAAAATAAAATAAAATGTATTTATTTACATTTATTTAAAAATAAATTTCTTTATTAAAATAATGGAATAATTAAAATAAATTCCAAATTATTTTTGTGTGTAGTGTAAGATAAGGGTCCATTTCATTATTTTGCATGTGGATATCAAATTTTTCCTATACCATTTGTTGAAGAGATTATCCTTTTCCTCTTGTGTATTCAGAGCACCTTTGTCAAAGATTAGTTGGCCATATATGTGAGGTTTATTTCTGGGCTCTTGATTCTGTTTCATTGGTTTCTATGTCTGTCTGTTTTTATGCCAGTAGCATACTGTTTTAATTACTGAAGCCTTGTAATAGATTTTGAAATCAGAAAGTGTGATGACTCTTTTGTTCTTCTTTCTCAAGATTGTTTTGGCTGTGAGGCCTTTTGTAGTTCCATATGGATTTTTGGATTTTTTTCTATTTCTGTAGAAAATGTCATTGAGATTTTGACAGGGATTGCATTGAATCTGTAGACTGCTTTGGGTAGTATAGACGTTTTAACTATATTAAGTCTAACAATCCACAAGCCCAGGATGTCTTTCTGTTCATTGGTATTGTCTTCAATTTCTTTAATTAATGTTACATAGTTTTCAGTGTACATGTCTTTCACGTCTGGTTAAATTTATTCCTAAGTATTTTATTCTTTTTGATGCTATTGTAAATGGAATTATTTTCTTAATTTCCCTTCCAGATAGTTCATTGTTAGTGTATAGAAATGCAACTGACTTTTTTTTTCGAGACAGAGTTTCACTCTTGTTGCCCAGGCTGGAGTGCAATGGTGCAATCTCGGCTCACTGCAACCTCCACCTCCCGGGTTCAAGCGATTCTCCTGGCTCAGCCTCCTGAGGAGCTGGGATTACAGGCACTCAGCACCAAGCCCAGCTAATATTTTATATTTTTAGTAGAGACGGGGTTTCGCCATATGGTCCAGGCTGGTCTCGAGCTCCTGACCTCAGGTGATCCACCCACCTCTGTCTCCCAAAGTGCTGGGATTACAGGTGTGAGCCACCGTGCCCGGCACAACTGATTTTTTAATGTTGATTTTGTATCCTGCAACTTTACTGAATTTGTTTATTAGTTCTCACAGTTATTTTGTGGAGTGTTTAGAGTTTTCTAGATATAAGATTCTATCATCTGTAAACAGGTAGTTTTTTTTCTTTCTGATTTGGTTGCCATTTATTTATTTATTTATTTATTTATTTATTTAGGAGATGAAGTCTCGCTCTGTTGCCCAGGCTGGAGTTGCACCCTCTGCCTCCCGGGTTCAAGCAATTCTCTCACCTCAGCCTCCTGAGTAGCTGGGTCTATAGGCGTGTGGCACCACGCCTGGCTAAGTTTTTGTATTTTTAGTAGAGACGGGGTTTCATCATGTTGACCAGGCTGGTCTTGGAACTCCTGACCTCAAGTGATCAGCCTGCCTCAGCCTCCCAAAGTGCTGGGATTATAGGCGTGAGCCACTGCACTTGGCCTGTTGCCTTTTATTTCTTTTTTTTTCTTTTTTATTTATTTATTTATTTATTTATTGAGATGGAGTCTGGAGTCACCCAGGCTGGAGTGCAGTGGCATGATCTCGGCTCACTGCAAGCTCCGCCTCCTGGGTTCACGCCATTCTCCCGCCCCAGCCTCCCGAGTAGCTGGGACTACAGGCTCCCGCCACCACGCCCGGCTAATCTTTTGTATTTTTAGTAGAGTCAGGGTTTCACCATGTTAGCCAGGATGGTCTCGATCTCCTGACATCGTGATCCGCCTGCCTTGGCCTCCCAAAGTGCTGGGATTACAGGTGTGAGCCACCGCGCCCAGCTGCCTTTTATTTCTTTTTCGTGCCTAATTGCTCTGGCTAGGACTTCTAGTACTATGTTGAATAGGAGTGGTGAGAATGGGCATCCTTGCCTTGTTCCTGATCTTAAAGGAGAAGCTTTTAGTTTTTCACTGTTGACTATATGATGTTAGCTGTGGGCTTGTCATATATGGCCTTTTTTTCTAAGCCATTTGCACATACAGATTGAATGAGATTAAAATAAACAACACAAAATGTATTTAAATGAGAAATTGAAACATTAAAAATAATATTAGGTGACATTAAAACTGTCATAGAAATAAACTGTATATACAACAAATAAATCAATGATTGTTAACTTTTTTAGACAGTTTGAATATCAGATTATAATGAATAGCATTATTAGCCAGTAAAAAGAGCATATAAATTATTTTAAAATTCCAAATAAAAATATTTAAAATTTTGAAATTTTGGACCCAAAATTATGTCAGTAATTTCATGAAAGTAGATCTCCAATAGGTCCTATATTCTAGACACTATGAAATGACATCAGAAACCGTCAATTAAAGTGTAACCCACAAGTGATAACTAGCTACATACAAGTTTAATTTTCGATCAATTTGAATAACTGTTGAATTTAAAAGAAAATTGATGCTGAGGTTAATTTACAGAGTCAATGAAATGCCAAGAAGAAAGCATTGAGACTGAAACCAAAGAACCAAATATCGCATAACAAATTCTATCAACACTAACTTACATTTGTAGAGAGAAAAATCTATTCTGGCCATATGTAGCTACTAATATTTTCACATATGATTAATAAACTAATCACATTCTGCACATCAGTGTATCATACTGTATATTGGAGAGGGGGTGCTTCAAGTAAAGAGACTCAAGATTTCTCATAAGATGCTGATGTGTGGTAGCATTACATAACTAAAATATTTTATGTGTGCAGTGTGAAAGTTTGTGCATCAAAAGTTACAAAAATCTCTAGAATGCCCAATGGGGCTGAAAGGAAAAATATCAGAACTTTCCAGGAACACAAATGAGTCAAGAAAAGATTCAAAGGCTTTATCAACGTGAGAAGCGAATGGCTGATCACAAGGCAAAATTGATAATATTGTGCCAGGTTAAGTAGAACAAACAAATATACTGATTGAAGACATTTACAGGGAAAGGTCTCCCAATCATGACAGCTAAATTATAAGAAGTTATGAAGTACACACACACACAAAATAAGCTACCACAATTTAGAGTAAGAAGAAATTGGATGCTACATAAATTAATAATAATTGGAATTGTATTTAAAATGTTTACATCAATTCAGTGATAAAATAAGAGACAAAAATAGTGTTTAAAGAGGAAGAAACTTAAAAATTGAAGAGCATCCATGGAAAGAGCTAACTGTAAATTGAATAAATGAGAAATAAAAATCTATAAATTCAATATACATTGTATTGGGAAACTATTAACTTAGAATAAGCTAATGAGATAAATAGTGCACTGGAAGATTAAGGAGAGAAAATCGATGCTAATAAAAGTAAAGTGATATAAGATGTAAATATATTTATAGATCTATAAAGACAAAGATTAGAAGGAATAAAGTATATTCAGTTGTTTCACTGAAATACATACAAAGAATAAGACACAAATGTAATTTTAGAAAGAAATAATTTTTTGTAAAATTAAAAGCCAGAAAAAATTCTCGAATTCAGAAGTACATAGTTTTCAAAAAAAAGGTAAATACAGGTGATCATTTATACAGAAATAATAGTCAAGCTGTATAACACTAAAAAGAAAGAAAAATCTTAAAATTAGGGAGATAAAAAACAGAGGTAAGCCACAAATTTGTAGGCACCATCCACACAGCCTTGATAGAAGCCAGAACAAGGAGAAGTAAATATTGAGTGTAAGAATTTAATATTTAGTCAAATATCTTTAATAAATAAAAATAAAACATTCTCAAAAATACGAAGACAGAGAGATTATATTACCAGGAGGATATTCTTAATATTATACTTCAAAAAGAAAGAAAAATGTTCTCTGTATTAAGGCCTGAAAATCAAAATGAAAAAGAAGACACTTGTAAACATATGGGAGTATCTATCCATCATGTATGTTAAACTAAAAAAAACCCACAGAGAATTGGCAGCATTTGATTCAAAAGTATTTAGACATATTGAAAGTGTAAATCCATACATTTAAGTTAAATTAAATAGCAAGTTCTGTACTACTTATGTAATTTAACTGGTGACAGAATAATCTATTTTCAATAAAAATAACTTGTTAACCCTCTGTCTCACAGTTTGTGTCACAATGATTATCCTTTTATCAGATCTGAGTAGCACCAAAAGACTGACAAGCCTCTGGACACCCAGGACAACAGGGTCATATGCCCATAGCGAGGTTGAGGTGCATGAGATGATGAAATCGACCCAGTAGATGACCACAAAGAAACTCACTAGCAGCAGGATGGTCTGAGTGGCACTTTTCTCTGGGGAAGGTCTTGGGGAGAGGCTGGTGCTGTGAAAGTATCAGAATTTCTTCTGGTGCCTGAACAAAAGGACCACTCTGTATGCACTTGAAAGCAGCATTGTTCCTATAAGAAAAACATATCTGGAGTAAGAAACAGAGTAAGAAACAGTCTTCTGATGATGGAGTTCATGGTGGAAAAGTGAACAGTCTTTACTGGTATGCAGAAGATTGCTCAGGGTCACATTAGAAGACCCCACAGTGCACAAGATGAGATTACTACTGAAAAAAAAAAAAACTGAGAAAATGTAAAAACAACAAGAAATGACAGGTGAAAATGGTGGATTTATGGTTAAACCTCACCAACCAAGAGCTTCTGGGGCTGATGATTATGGTCTGAAGCACACTCAGGAAGCAGGTGGTGCAGATGGAGAAACTTCTCATCATCTTGTTCAGGTAAAAAAAATCCTTTACACTTGAAGTCATTCTGAAAATACAGTGACTCAGGCAGACCTGGAGACAACAATGACACCAGAGTAAGGAGGATCACTATGTGGATGAAGACCAGGTGATAAATGGTCAGGTCTGTGGGCTCAGGCCTGCATTACAGAAGAAGTGTGAAGACGAGGAAGAAAATGAGGAAGCTGAGGGTCAAGATTCCAATGCCAGCTTGAAAAAAAGAGGCATTTTTCAATGAAAACATAAGTGGAATGTAATAATGTAAATTGCAAAAGAGAAACATATTTTGAATATCTGAAAATAATAGACTTTACACCCGGCGTGGTGGCTCACGCCTGTAATCCCAGCACTTTGGGAGGCCAAGGTGGGCGGATCACGAGGTTAGGAGATGGAGACCATCCTGGCTAACACGGTGAAACCTCATCTCTACTAAAAACACAAAAAATTAGCTGGGCGTGGTGGCAGGCACCTGTAGTCCCAGTTACTTGGGAGGCTGAGGCAGGAGAATGGCATGAACCCGGGAGGTGGAGCTTGCAGTGAGCCAAGATCGCGCCACTGCACTCCAGCCTGGGCAACAGAGCAAGACTCTGTCTCAAAAAAAAAAAATAGACTTTACCTCATAAATGTTATTTATTGTATGTTCAAAATCATCACTTTTTTATCTCATAAAATTCTTGATTAATTCTATTACATAAATTTTCAAAAGTACAGTCAGCATTATTTTTACACTATATACCTAGTATATATATATATATATATGTATATATATATATATATATATATTCTAAGAATAATTGTGTGTGTGTGTGTGTGTATATATATATATTTTTTTTTTCTTTTTTTGAGATGGAGTCTCTCTGTCGCCCAGGCTGGAGTGCAGTGGCATGATCTCGGCTCACTGCAACCTCCACCTCCCGGATTCAAGCAATTCTCTTACCTCAACCTCCCTAGTAGCTGGGACTAAAGGTGTGCACCACCATGCCTGGCTAATTTTTGTATTTTTAGTAGAGACAAGGTTTCACCGTGTTGGCTAGGCTGGTCTCCAACTCTTGACCTCAAGTGAACCACCCACCTTGGCCTCCCAAAGTGCTGGGATTACAGGCGTGAGCCACCGTGCCTGGCCGTGTATACATACTTTTTTTTTTTTTTTTTTTGTGACGGAGTTTTACTCTTGTCCCCCAGGCTGGAGTGCAATGGTGTGATCTCGGCTCACTGTAACCTCTGCCTCATAGGTTCAAGCAATTCCCTTACCTCAGCCTCCCAAGAATCTGGGATTACAGGCACCTGCCACCATGCCTGGCTAATTTTTATATTTTTAGTAGAGATGGGGTTTCACCATGTTGGCCAGGCTTGTCTCGAACTCCTGACCTCAGGTGATCCGCCCGCCTTGGCCTCCCAAAGTTCTGGGATTATAGGCGTGAGCCACTGTGCCCAGCCCAACATAATTTAAAAAAAAATTAAAAAAAAATCTGACTCTCATATCACAGCATTAATTTTCTTAGCCTCTCATTCCCATTTAAGAACTTTTGTGATTACCCTAGGCTCACACTTATAATTCAGATAAGATCAGGTGCATTCAGGGTGGTATGGCTGTAGACACCAATCTCATAATTCAAATTAATCTCTTTGTTTTAGAGTCATCTGATTATCATCCTTGATTTTATCTACAGCCTCTATTCTTTGTCATATACCATAATATATTCCTAGAACGTGGGGGTTAAGACATGGGCACTTTTGTGGGGCATCATTTCATTTATCACAACTCCTATTAATTGTATTTTATTAAAATAATCCTGGCTCTGTCCAACTTTTGTTTCCATCCCAGAGAACCCTTATGTAAACTTTTTTATCTTAGAAGAAAATTGTGGCAGGGTGCGGTGGCTCACGCCTGTAATCCCAACACTTTGGGAGGCCGAGGTGAGGATCATTTGAGGTCAGGAGATCAAGACCAGCCTGGCCAACGTGGTGAATCCCCGTCTCTATTAAAAATACAAAAATTAGCCAGGCATATATGGCCTTTATTATGCTTAGGTAAATTCCATCTATACCTAGTTTAGAGTTTTTATCATGAAGTGGCATTGAATTTTTGTGAAATACTCTTTCTGAATCTTTTGAGATGATTGTTATCCTTCATTCTGTTAATGTGGTATATCACATTTATTAATTTATGTATGTTGACCCATCCTTGCATCTTAGGGATTAATCCCATTTGGTCATGATGTATGATCCTTTTAATGTGCTGTTGGATTTTGTTTGTTAGTATTTCGTGCAGGCTTTTTGCATTTATGTTCATCAGGGATATTGGCTGTAGTGTTCTTGTAGTGTCTGACTTTGGCATTAGGGTAATGCTGGCCTTGTAAAATGAATTTGGCAAACACAGGCAACCAAAGCAAAAATGGACAAATGGGATCACATCAAGTTAAAAAACTTCTGCACAGCAAAGGAAACAATCCACAAAGTGAAGAGACAACCCAAAGAATGGGAGAAAATATTCGCAAACTACCCATCTGACAAGGGACTAATAACCAGAATATATAAAGAGCTCAAACAACCCTAGAGGAAAAAATCTAATAATCTGATCAAAAAGTGGGCAAAAGATCTCAATAGACATTTCTCAAAAGAAGACCTACAAATGACAAGCAGGCATAGGAAAAGGTGCTCAATGTCACTGATCATCAGAGAAATGCAAATCAAAACTACAATGAGATACCATCTCACCCCAGTTAAAATGGCTTCTATCCTGCCAGGCACGGTGGCTCATGCCTGTAATCCCAGCAATTTGGGAGGTGGAGGTGAGCGGATCACCTGAGGTTGGGAGTTTGAGATCAGCCTGACCAACATGGAGAAACCCCGTCTCTACCGAAAATACAAAATTAGCCGGGTGTGGTGGTGCATGCCTGTAATCCCAGCTACTGGGGAGGCTGAGGCAGGAGAATCGTTGGAACCCGGGACGCGGAGGTTGTGGTGAGCTGAGATCGCATCATTGTACTCCAGCCTGGGCAACAAGATGGAAACTCAGTCTCAAAAAAAAAAAAAGGGGGGGCCGGGCGCGGTGGCTCACGCCTGTAATCCCAGCACTTTGGGAGGCCTAGGCAGGCAGATCACCTGAGATCAGGAGTTTGAGACCAGCCTGGCCAACATGGTAAAACCCCGTCTCTACTTAAAAAAACAAAAATTAGCCAGGCGCGGTGGCGGGTCTGTAATCCCAGCTACCCGGGAAGCTAAGGCAGGAGAATTGCTTGAACCTGGGAGGTGGAGGTTGCAGGGAGCCGAGATCAAGCCACTGCACTCCAGCCTGGGAGACAGAGTGAGACTGTCTCAAAAGTAAATAAATAAATAAATATAAATAAAATTGTAAAATATGCATTCACAAGTTAGTGTTACTGGAAAACTGCATGTTATGTAACAGTATGTACAGAAGTGAAAAAGTACAACCAAAATGATATATCACCAAAATTAAAAACACAAAAATTTAAGATAAAAACAAAATGACACGTACAAGTAAACCGTTTTTTTTAATTTATGTAAATATAAACACGGACATTTAGAAATATACACATTGAAAGGACAGAGATGAGAAATTATTCCTTGGGTGTTGGGTGTCTGTTTGCCATTTATTTCTATAATGTAGTTCCCTCTTTTCTGAAAAACTTGCAACCAACGTGGATGACTTTTCCAAAGAGAAGAGGGACCCAGCATGGTGGCTCATGCCTGTAATCCCAGCACTTGGGAGGTCGAGGCAGGTGGATCATCTGAGGTCAGGAGTTCGAGACCAACCTGGCCAACATGGCAAAACCCCTATCTCTATTAAAAATACAAAATTAGGTGAGTGTGGTAGCAGGCACTTGTAATCCCAGCTACTTAGCAGGCTGAGGCAGGAGAATTGCTTGAATCCCGGAGGCGGAGGTTGCAATGGGCCAGGATCGCGCCACTGCACTCCAGCCTGGGTGAGAGAGTGAGACTCCGTCTCAAAAAACAAACAAACAAAAAAACACAGAAGAGAAAACACTCTCTGAAATGGAAGTAAAGGGACTAGAAAACAATGGGAAGCTATTTAGTAGTAGGGGAAAGGGCTATTTTCCAATGGCGAGTGACAAAACCACAAGGCAAAACTGTCCCTCCCCCTCCAACTGGAGTCCATACAGGGACGCATGCACACGGGCACACGTGTGTCCCTCTGTGAGCGTTGTATGGTGCACACTGATAGACTGATGGGGACCCTCTGACCATTCCTGTGAGGACTTGAGCCAAAAAGCTACTTCTCTCTTGGCACACCTGGCCTAGCCCAGTGTGCTTTTGAAACTCTAGGAACCATTGGAGTCCACTGGAGGGCTTCTGAAAACACCAACTGCTGGGCCCCAGGCCCACAGCTTCTGATTCAGTGGGTCATGGGTGGGGCCTGGGAGTATGCATTTTTAATAGATTCCCAGCGAGGCAGCTGCTGCCTGCCAGGGAACCCCACTTTGGGAACCACTGGACTAGTGTCTGGGTCAGCGAATAGAGGAGGCCACCCGGAGGCCAGAAGGTGCCTGAGGCCCTGGGCTTCATGGCTGGTGGCTGGAGATGCCCTCCTCCAGGCCTGGAGCTTCCTCAACCTGACAACTTGCCAATAAGGGAAATGGGCGCGATCTAACGTGCCGCGAACTAGTGCAGACTCACAGCCTAGGTCGAGTAGGAATGGAATTCTAGAAATGATATATGCCAAGAGTTTGCAGTGTAGACCTCAGAATCATCTCAGATTCAAAGAGGAAACCAAACGACTGCAGCAGCAGCAGCAGCAGCAGCAGCAGCAGCAGCAGGGAACAGGTTGGCTACAGAGCCAGTGGTCACACCCGGCTTTCTGCAGCCTTTCTGGCTCCGCAGCATTTTTTTCAGAGCTTAAGGGCGGGAGGAGATGCTGTATATTTAGGGGTGGAGTGAGGAATAGCGGAGCATTCCGGCATTTCTGGAGTAACACTGCCCCCAAGAGCAATCTGTGATAAAGCCTCAAGCTATGTGGACAAACAACATGAAAGGCGAGGTAATGAAAAAAAGATCCAGAAAGATCCAGCAGCCAACTTGACGATCCTCGCTGATTGAAGATTAAAGCACTATGAGCGCAGCTAGGTTCAAATAGCGGTTCTGCCACTTACTCACTTTGTGACCCTGGGCAAATTAGTCAACTTCCCTGTGCCTCAGTTTCCCCTACTTGTACTTCATGGGGGATTAATGAACTAATATATGGAAAGTATTCAAAGCATTTCTGCTGACTACAGAAACTCTTTACAATTCTCCCAGAAATAATCCAGGTCATCATGCATTTGCCCACATTCCATCTTTGTCAGGAATTGTAGGCCAAAATGTTCTTTTTTTATTTTAATTTAATTTTAATTTTTTTTTGAGATGGAGTCTCCCTCTGTCTCCCAGGCTGGAGTGCAGTGGCGTGATCCGGGCTCACTGCAACCTCCACCTCCCAGGTTCAAGGAATTTTCCTGCCTTAGCCTCCCGAGTAGCTGGGATTACAGACGCCCGCCAACATGCCTGGCTAGTTTTTATGTTTTTTTAGTAGAGACGGGGTTTTGCCGTGTTGCCCAGGCTGGTCTCCAACTTCTGACTTCAGGTGATCCGCCTGCCTCGGCCTCCCAAAGTACTGGGATTGTAGATGTGAGCCACTGCAACCGGCCCAAAATGTACTCTTTTTTTTTTTTTTTTTTTTTTGAGGCAGTCTCACTCTGTCGCCCAGGCTGGAGTGCAGTGGTGCGATCTCGGCTCACTGCAAGCTCCGCCTCCTGGGTTCACGCCATTCTCCTGCCTCAGCCTCCCGAGTAGCTGGGACTACAGGTGCCCGCCACCACGCCCGGCTAATTTTTTGTATTTTTAGTAGAGATGGGGGTTTCACCGTGTTAGCCAGGATGGTCTCGATCTCCTGACCTCGTGATCCGCCCGCCTCCGCCTCCCAGAGTGCTGAGATTACAGGCGTGAGCCACCGCGCCCGGCCAATGTACTCGTTTTTTAAAGACAATGCTTAGTTATAGTTCTCCACAATTAAACCCAGCACAGTGGCCAGGAGTGGTGGCTCATGTAATCCCAGCACTTTGGGAAGCCAAAAGGATCACTTGAGACCAGGAGTTCGGGACCAGCCTGAGCAATATAGGGAGACACCCACCCCCCCCACCTGTCTCTATTTTCAAAAATAAAATAGGCCAGGTGCAGTGGTTCAATGCCTCTAATCCCAACATTTTGGGAAGCTGAGGAGGGAGGATTGCTTGAGTCCAGGAGTTTGAGACCAGCCTGGGCAACATGTTGAGGTCCCATTGCTACCAAAATTTTTTAAAAATTAGCCAGGTGTGGTGGTGCATGCCTGTAGTCCCAGCTACTTGGGAGACTGAGGTGGGAGGATCACTTGAGCCCAGGAAGTCAAGGCTCCAGTGAGCTGAGATCATGCCACTGCACTCCAGCGTGGGTGACAGAGCAAAGACCCTGTCTCAAAACAAACAAATAAATAAAATACAGTAAAATAAAATTATAATAAAATAATATAAAATATAAAGACATTAGTTGGGTGTGGTGGTTCGTGCCTGTAGTCTCAGCTACTCAAGAAGCTAAGGTGGAAGGATCGCTTGAGCCCAGGAGTTCAAAGCTGCACAATGAGCTATGAGCACACCAGTGCACTCCAGTCTGGGCGACAAAGTGAGACGCTGTCTCTAAAAAAATTTTTTTTAATTAAATTAAAATAAAAGAAATTTTTAAGGTCAGGTCTGGCTTTTTTTAAAAAAAAGTCATGAGTCATACTCTCAATATAGGCATAGAACACTGTTTACAGCTTTTGCCTCCATAAAATTATTTTTCTGTTATGGAAAATTTCAAGCGTATAAAAAAGTAGAGAGAACAATACAATAAATCTCCATGTAGTCATCACCTAGTTCAACATTTATCAATTCACAGCCAATGTTGTTTCTTTTATGTCCTCTACCCACATCCCCACTGGATTATTTTGAAGCAACACCCAGATATTACATCATTTTACCCATGAATCTCTCAAGATGTTGCTGTAAATGATAAGAACTTTTCCTTTTTTTGTTTTTTTTTTTTGAGACAGAGTCTTGCTCTGTTGCCAGGCTGGAGTGCAGTGGTGCAATCTCGGCTCACTGCAACCTCCGTCTCCCAGGTTCAAGCAATTCTCCTGCTTCAGCCTCCCGAGTAGCTGGGACTACAGGTGCACACCACCACGCCCAGCTAATTTTTGTATTTTTAGTAGAGTCGGGGTTACACCATGTTGGCCAGGATGGTCTCCATCTCTTGACCTTGTGATCCGCCCGCCTCAGCCTCCCAAAGTGCTGGGATTACGGGCGTGAGCCACCGCGCCCGGCCCAAATGATAAGAGCTTTTAACAAGTTAGCAGTAAATCATGATCATATCTCAAAAATAATAATTCTTTAATCAATTATCTAGTCAGTTACTTTGTCTCTCTCTTTATTTATCAGTTTTCAGAATGAGTTGGTTCACTAGCATCCTCCAAAGGTGGCCAGGGAGATTTTGTGGCATCATTCTGCCCTGAGGGCTAGGTGATGTATTTCAATCTATTGCAGTTATTGTTCTTTTTGATGCTCAAATTGCCCCATCTTTGGCCAATGGGAGCCTTTGAAACTTGCTTGATATGACCCCAGTAATCTATAACTTCCTTTTGATATGATGCAATTTTTAAATAATACATAATTTTATATAATAATGATTATACAATGATACTGTGTTTGCATGGTTCTCAATAATAGTACAGTATATTCAAAAGATAAATAATAATAATATGGGCCAGGCGCAGTGGCTCACGCCTGTAATCCCAGCACTTTGGGAGGCCAAGGCGTGTGGATCACGAGGTTAGGAGATCAAGACCATCCTGGCTAACACGGTGAAACCCCGTCTCTACTAAAAATACAAAAAAATTAGCCGGGTGTGGTGGCGGGAGCCTGTAGTGCCAGCTACTCGGGAAGCTGAGGCAGGAGAATGGCGTGAACCCGGGTGGCGGAGGTTGCAGTGAGCCGAGATCGTGCCACTGCACTCCAGCCTGGGCGACACAGTGAGACTCCGTCTCAAAATAATAATAATAATAATAATAATATGGTATATTTAGATAAATCTAGCTTCTATCCCTGTCTCCTCAACCTTCTTCCCTCTCCCTCCACCCATAAGAAACTATTTTATCTTTTTTTATTCACCCCTTTATAAATAGCTGTTTATATATTTTTGGTTTACTCATCCATTAAAAATATGCAGACAGCTATTTTTTTAAGTAAATTTACAAAGTAAAAACAAAACAAAAAAAAAAACCACACACACAAAGAGCAAATTCCTAGCCAAAAAAAAAAAAAATCCTGGATCAAAATGTATATAAATGTAAAACTTTGATAAATACTGTGAAACTTTTTCTAAAATGCTTGCTGAATTTTATACTGCCACCTGTTATATATTATCAGTTTTCCTCATACTCTTGACAGCACTGGATATTATAAAACGTGAGAGAGCTAAATCTTTTTTCCCTGAGCTATTGGAGTTTTGTGGTTTTATTTTTGTTTTAAAAAATCCAAGTTTGGCCAGACCTGGTGGCTCACACCTGTAATCCCAGTACTTTGAGAGGCCGAAGCAGGAGGATTGCTTGAGCTCAGGAGTTCAAGACCAGCCTGGGCAACATGGCAAAACTCCGTCTCTACAAAAAAATACAAAAAGTTAGCTGGGTGTGGTGGCTCACGCCTGTAGTCCCAGCTACTCAGGAGGCTGAGGTAGGAGAATCACTTGAGCCCAAGAGGCAGAGGCTGCAGTGAACCATGATCACACCACTGCCCTCTAGCCTGGGTGACAGAGCAAGACTCTGTCTCAAAAAAAAAAGAAAAGAAAAAAAAAAGAAAGGGAAAGAAAAAAGAAAAAGTCCATGTTTATGTTTATTGCATTATGGTCAAAGAATGTGGTCTGTATCCATTCTACTTTTTGGAATTTATTAAACTTTTCTCTGTGGCCTAATATTATGGCCAGTGATTACTAATGTTCCATAGTTGCTGACTGACTAAAAGATGTATTCATGGTTTTAAGAAAAGAGAATTTGATATAGCTTTATTAATTATACTGTTTTTGTTTTTGTCTACTAGAGCTGTCATTTGCTGACAAAGGTAAGTTAAAGCCTCCTGCTTCTGGTATATTTCCATCATTTATTTATTACATTTCCCAGAGGTTATACTTTTTGCATCTTGCCACTCTATTAATTAGTACCTACAAATTTATGACAGCTATAGCATTATTTCATTTAAAAATTTTTCTTTTTAGAGACAGGCTGAAGTGCAGTGGTGCCATCATGGCTCACTGCAGCCTTGAACATTTCTCAACCCTGGGCTCCACCTCAGCCTCCCAAGTAGTTGGGTGAGTCACCACACCCAGACATACACACTGTTCTATTTTATTTATTGATTGATTTATTTCACTTCACAATGGGTCGACACATTGTTCTAAACCTTTACCCTCCAAAAGCAAGACACTATCTCCACCAACAACAACAAAAATTTTTAATTAGCTGAGCATAGTGGCGTCATGCCTATAATTCCAGCTACTCTGGAGGCCAAGGTGGGAAGATCATTTGAGCCCAGGAATTTGAGGCTGCAGTGAGGTGAGATCACGCCACTGCATTCCAGCTTGCGTGACAGAGCAAGACCCCATCTCTAAAATAAATAAATTAAAATCTTCATCAGTAAATCCCAATACCTCATATGGACTCATGATCTTGTAATACATTTTGTATTTAAATTGTTTATATAGACAGAGTTCCTGCAAAAAATACTTGTCTGGGGCCCCATACATTTTAGGGGCAATGCTGTGGTCAGCCTTTGAGGTGGTCCCTGATGATTCCCCATCCTGGTGTCTGTGCCCCCCGCCTTGAGTGTGGTCTGGATTTTGTGACTCAAAACAAATAGAATATGGTAGAAATGATAATACCACCTCTGAGATTCATTTATAAAAAGATCCCTCTCTCTGTCTCACTGGAGCCCAGCCATCAATTAGAAAGGCTATATGAAAAAAATGAGGCCCTGGAGACTGAGAGGCCACATGGAGGAGACCTGAAGCACCCCAGCCAATAGCCAACACCAGCCATCAGCCAGGTGAGTGGGCCTTCTTGGGAGCAGACACCCCCAGCCCCAGTCAAGCCTTCAGATGACTGTAGCCCTAGACGCAACTTCATGAGAGACCCTGAGCCAGGACTATCTATTAGTAATAGCAAAGCTGCACCCAGATCCCACACCTACAGAAACTAAGATAAAAATGTTTGCAGTTTTAAGCCGTTCCTAATAATTTTTTTAGACAAAAATGTCTCTAAAGATAATGATTAAGTTTATTTTTATTTATTTATTTTTTGAGATGGAGTCTTGCTCTACCACCCAGGCTGGAGTGCAGTAGCACGATCTCGGCTCACTGTAACCTCTGCCTCCCAGGTTCAAGGAATTCTCTCCCTCAGCCTCCCGAGTAGCTGGGACTACAGGTGCGTGCCACCAGGCCCGGCTAATGTTTTTGTATTTTTATTAGAGATGGGGTTTCGCCATGTTGGCCAGGCTGGTCTTGAACTCCTGACCTCAAGTGATCCACCTGCCTCAGCCTCCTAAAGTGCTGGGATTACAGGCATGAGCCGCCATGCCCCGCCGTTTTTTTTTTTTTTTTTTTTTTTTTTTTGATACAGAATCTCACTCTGTCTCCCAGGCTGGAGTGCAGTGGCACGCTCTCGGCCCACTGCAACCCTACCTCTCTGGTTCGAGTGATTCTTGTGCCTCAGGCTCCCAAGTAGCTGGGACTACAGGCACCCGCCACCACGCCCAGCTAATTTTTGTACTTTTAGTAGAGACAGGGTTTCACCATGTTGGCCAGGCTGGTCTTCAACTCCTGACCTCAGGTGATCCACCTGCCTCAGCCTCCCAAAGTGCTGGGATTATAGGTAATGAGCCACTGCACCTGGCCAAAGTTTATTTTCAAAGACACCTGTGAATGCTACCTCTCATTTATAAATATGGATGAACACATTCTTATAGAGGAAAAAATCTTTATTTTTACTTTTTTTTTTTTTTTTTAGAGACAGGGTTTTGCCCTGTTGCCCAGGCTTGAGTGCAGTGGTATAATCACAGCTTACTGCAGTCTTGACCTCATGGACTCAAGCAACTCTCCCACCTCAGCCTCCCCAGTAGCTGAGATTACAGGCACATGCCACCATGCCCAGGTAATTTTTTGTACTATTTTGTAGAGACTGGGTTTTGCCATGTTGCCCAGGCTGGTCTCGAACTCATGGGCTCAAGTCATTGCCCACCTTGGCCTCCCAAAGTGTTGGGATTACAGGCATCAGCCACCACGTCCAACCAGAAAAAAAAACTTGTATATAGTATATAGAAAAAAAAATTTGTATATAGTATATAATAATCCTGAGATGTAGCATGCATAATATACCAAGAATATAAAATAACGAGATTCAGTCAGTTTGGAGTAGAATCTAAACATCTGTATTTTAATAAAACCTTATGGGTAAGTCTGATGTGCACTGAGCGTCACTGGCCTAGAAGATGTCAGATTCAAATTAAAGAAGGCTGTGAGCAAGTAAGCATTTACAATAATAACCAATTATTATGACCAATAATACTCTATACTGCTGTTGTCTAATATCATCAAGCAAAGCACCACCAGGACTCTGATGAATACAGGAAAACTCAACGAAAATAATTTTTTTCTTTTTTTTGAGACAGGGTCTTGCTCTGTGGCCATGGCACAATCTCAGCTCACTGCAGCCATGACCTACGAGGCTCAAGCAGTCCTCCCACCTCAGCATCCTGAGTAACTGAGAGTATAGGTGCATGCCACCATGCCCGTTTACTTTTTAAAAAAAAATTTTTAGTAGAGACGGGGTCTCACTGTGTTGCCCAGGCTTGTATTGAACTCCTGGGCTCAAGTGATCCTCCTGCCTTGGCCTCCCAAAGTGCTGGGATTACAGGCATGAGCCACCGCCCTGCCCAGGAAATATTTCATAACAGTTTCATTCAGTGTTTCCTCTAAGTTGCAACATATTATGAAAAGCAAGGGCACACATCTCCAGGAACTTCCGATAAAGCATACACTTTTTTTGTTTGTTTGTTTGTTTGTTTTCTTTTTTTGAGACAGAGTCTCACTCTGTCACCGAGGCTGGAGTGCAGTGACGTGATCTTGGCTCACTGCAACCTCTGCCTCCTGGGTTCAAGAGATTCTCCTGCCTCAGTCTCCCGAGTAGCTGGGATTATAGGCGCCCGCCACCAATAATTTTTGTATTTTTAGTAGAAATGGGGTTTCCCCATGTTGCCCAGGTTGGTCTCGAACTTCTAACCTCAAGCGATCTGCCCGCCTTGGCCTCCCAAAGTGCTGGGATTACAGGCATGAGCCACCATGCCCGGCCTAATTTTTTTTTTTTTTTTTTTGAGACGGAGTCTCACTCTATCACCCAGGTTGGAGTGCAATGGCATGATCTCAGCTCACTGCAGCCTCCATCTCCCAGGTTCAAGCAATTCTCTCACCTCTGCCTCCCAAGGAGCTAGGACTACAGGCACACACCACCACGCCCAGCTAATTTTCGTGTTTTCAGTAGAGACGGAGTTTCACCATGTTGGCCAGGCTGGTCTCAAACTCCTGACCTCAGGTGATCCGCCTGCCTCGGACTCACTCCCAAAGTGCTGGGATTACAGGCATGAGCCACCACGCCCAGCCTAATTTTTGTATTTTTAGTAGAGACAGAGTTTCACTATGTTGGCGAGAACTCCTAGCTTCATGTGATCTGCCTGCCTCAGCCTCCCAAAGTGTTTACAGACATGAGCCACCACACCCGGTATCTAGCATCCTTTTTAAATAAAGTGAAATAACTGATCCTTGTAACTTTCTAGGATCCCTGTGTGAAATCTCAAAGATAGTTTTAGGTACAAAGGAGATCATGAAAGTTAAACTTTATTTTTTTCTATATTTAGGTCTGACTTTGGGAAGATAAAAATGAAAACCTAAGCCAGGCATGGTGGCTTGGCCAGGCAAGGTGGCTCACACCTGTAATCCCAGCACTTTGGGAGGCTGAGGTGGGCAGATCAACTAAGGTCAGGAGTTCGAGACTAGCCTGGCCAACATGGTGAAACCCCGTCTCTACTAAAAATACAAAAATTAGCTGGGCATGGTGGCACGTGCCTGGAATCCCAACTACTCGGGAGGCTGAGGTGGGAGAATTGCTTGAGCCCAGGAAGTGAAGGTTGCAGTGAGCCGAGATCATGCCATTGCACTCCAGTTTGGGCGCCAGAGTGAGACACTCCCTCTCAAAAAAAAAGAAGACCAGGCACGGTGGCTCACGCCTGTAATCCCAGCACTTTGGGAGGCTGAGGCAGGCAGATCGTCTCAGGTCAGGAGTTCAAGACTAGCCTGGCCAACATGGTAAAACCCCGTCTCTGCTAAAAATACAAAAATTAGCTGGGCATGGTGGCTCACACCTGTAATCCCAGCTACTTGGGAGGCTGAGGCAGGAGAATCGCTTGAACCCAGGAGGCAGGGGTTGCAGTGAGCTGAGGTCACACCATTGCACTCCAGCCTGGGCGACAAGAGCGAGACTCCATCTCAAAAAAAAAAAAAGGAAAAAAGAAAAATTAAGAGGAGTTTTATACACTTGAGTAAGATATTATAGGTACCTGAGAAACAATAATGGTGACCAAAGTGACAATAAAACATAAAAATACGGATAGAGAGTAACATGATTATAAATCACTTAAGAGAGAAAATTTTTTTCTTTGTATTTCTTTTCTTCAAAAATTAAGGACATAGGGCTGGACGCGGTGGCTCATGCCTGTAATCCCAGCACTTTGGGAGGCCGAGGTGGGCGGATCATGAGGTCAGGAGATCACGACCATCCTGGCTAACACGGTGAAACCCCATCTCTATTAAAAATACAAAAAATTAGCCGGGCATGGTGGCAGGCACCTGTAGTCCCAGCTACTCAGGAAGCTGCGGCAGGAGAATTGCTTGAACCCAGGAGGCAGAGGTTGCAGTGAGCCGAGATCGCACCACTGCATTCCAGCCTGGGTGACAGAGCAAGACTCTGTCTCAAAACAAAACAAAACAAAACAAAAATTAAGGACATAATAGGCCAGGCACGAGGCCAGGAGCGGTGGCTCACGCCTGTAATCCCAGCACTTTGGGAGGCCAAGGTGGGTGGATTACCTGAGGTCAGGAGTTCAAGACCAGCCTGGCCAACATGGTAAAACCCCACCTCTACTAAAAAAAATACAAAAATTAGCCGGGCCTGGTGGTGTGTGCCTGTAATCCCAGCTACTTGGGAGGCTGAGGCAGGAGAATCACTTGAACCTAGGAGGCGGAGGTTGCAGTGAGCTGAGATTGCGCCACTGCACTCCAGCCTGGGCAACAGAGCGAGACTCCATCTCCAAAAAAAAAAAAAAAATTGGCTAGGCACGGTGCCTCACATCTGTAATCCCAGCACTTTGGGAGGCCAAGCGGGGTGATCACTTGAGCCCAGGAGTTCGAGACCAGCCTGGGCAACTGGTGAAATCCCATCTCTATTAAAAATACAAAAATTAGCCAGGCATGGTTGCACGCACCTGTAATCCCAGCTACTCGGGAGGCGGAGGCAGGAGAATTGCTTGAACCCGAGAGGCAGAGGTGGCAATGAGCCAAGATGGGCACCACTGCACGCCAGCCTGGGTGACAGAGCAAGATTCTGTCCGCGCTGCGCCCCGCCCCCCCCAAAAAAATTAAGGACATACTAAAGCCAAAATAAAGCACAGAAAACTATTCTAGTAAAACATTCTTTCCTCTCTAGGCAGATTAAATATAAAGTAAAGAATAACAGGCTGGGCGCGGTGGCTCACGCCTGTAATCCCAGAACTTTGGGAGGCCGAGGCATGCGGATCACGAGGTCAGGAGATGGAGACCAGCCTGGCCAACATGGTGAAACTCCATCTCTACTAAAAATACAAAAATTAGCCGGGCATGGTGGCGCGTGCCTGTAGTCCCAGCTACTCGGGAGGCTGATGCAGGAGAATCGCTTGAACCCAGGGGGCAGAGGTTGCAGTGAGCCGGGATTGCACCACTGCACTCCAGCCTGGACGACAGAGAAGCGAGACTCCGTCTCACAAAAAAAAAAGAATCACCATGTATGTTGTAAGCCAAGGAAACAAACCTAAGACATGAATACATTGCATAGCTTCCTCCATAACTCAGGGGTTATCAGCCAAGGCAAATAACATTCACTTTCCAAGTTTCATATCATGGAACAAACTGACACTTTACTTGAAGACAGATGTCAAGGGCCCAAAGGTCAGAACTGATTTCATAGTAATACCAAGATATGTTTTTGTTTTGTTTTGTTTTATGAGACAGGGTCTTGCTCTGTCTTCCAGGCTTGAGTGTAGTAGCAACCATCATAGCTCACTATGGCCTCAAACTCCTGGGCTCAAGCAATCCTCCCATCTCAGCCTCCCACATAGTTGGGACTACAGGTATGCACCATCACACCCAACATTTTTTACTTTTAAATAAAAATTAAAAGTAGAGACAAGGTCTCTCTATGTTGCCCAGGAAATAAAAAAAAAGTTTGATTTTCTAATTTTCCTATAATTTTAGAAATAT
Organism: Homo sapiens; assembly: GCF_000001405.40. Lineage (NCBI taxonomy): Eukaryota > Metazoa > Chordata > Mammalia > Primates > Hominidae > Homo > Homo sapiens. Next base: position 48,620,838 of record NC_000023.11, on the reverse strand, counting down.
TTGATTTGTATATGTGCTTATTTATTTCTATCAGCCAATCAGAACAGAGTTCCTTTAATTTAAGTGACTTCATAAAATAATTTATGGATACCCTCCAGAAACAGGAAAATATTGCTCACTCACCTGAGGAGTCTGACTACAGCCTCAAGTGATCCTCCCACCTCAGCCTCCCAAAGTACTGGGATTACAGGCATGAGCCACTGCACCCGGCCCTAAGATATTCTTTATGTTAAACATGTTAATGCATTTGTTATTACTATGACTCAATAAATATTTACAATTTTCTGTTTTAATTTCTAACCCAGTAAGTATCAATAGCCATAACCCACGTAAATCAAAGCTCTTTGGGGTCTTTAATAAGCCCTAAGAGATTAAATAGAACTAACTTTGACTTCACCAAGGTGTGGATAATTGTGAAATGTCATTTTAGTCAACTAGCCAAGCTCAGGGCTACACTTAAACCAGCTCCCTAGAATGGCCCACATCCCTTATATGACATCTTGATGTGGCAAAAATGGATATGTTGATTGATAGACCCCAAAACAGGGCCTCTCTGTAGCACATACAAACAAGCAGCAGGCCAGGCACAGTGGCCCACGCCTGTAATCCCAGCACTTCAGGAGGCCGAGGCAGGTGAATTGCTTGAGCTTGGGAGTTCCAGACCAGCCTGGGCAACATGGCGAAACCCCATCTCTACAAAAAATACAAAAATATGGCTGGGTGCAGTGGCTCAGGCCTGTAATCCCAGCACTTCAGGTGGCCGAGGCGAGAAGACTGCTTGAGTTCAGGAGTTCGAGACCTGCCTGGGCAACATGGTGAAACCCTCTCTCTAAAAAAAAATACACAAATTAGGCCGGGCGCAGTGGCTCACGCCTGTAATCCCAGCACTTTGGGAGGCCGAGGTGAGCAGGTCACGAGGTCAGGAGATTGAGACCATCCTGGCTAACACGGTGAAACCCCATCTCTACTAAAAATACAACAACAACAACAACAACAAAAAATTAGCTGGGCATGGTGGCAGGCACCTGTAGTCCCAAATACTCGGGAGGCTGAGGCAGGAGAATGGTGTGAACCCGGGAGACAGAGCTTGCAGTGAGCTGAGATCACGCCACTGCACTCTAGCCTGGGAGACAGAGTGAGACTCCATCTCAAACAACAACAATAACAACAACAACAAAAAACACAAATTAGCTGGGTGTGGTGGTGTGTGCCTGTTGTCCCAGCTACTCGGGAGGCTGAGGTGGGAGAATCACCTAAGCTTGAGAGTTCGAGGCTGCAGTGAGCCAAGATCAGGCCACTGCACTCCAGCCTGGGCAACCAGAGTGAGACCCTGTCTCAAAAAACAAAAAGCGAAAACTAGCCGGGCTTGGTGGCATGCGCCAGTAGTCCCAACTACTTGGGAGGCTCAGGTGGGAGAATCGCTTGAGCCTGGGAGGTCAAGGCCACAATGAGCTGTGTTCGCACCACTGCATTCCAGCCAGGGCAACGAAGTAAGACCCTGTCTCAATTAAAATAAATTGAATTAAATTTAAAAATAATAATAAGCAAAATTATACAAATTTAAAATTGTGCTTAGTAATCAGTGTTTCCGTTTTCTTCCTTACTTAGAAATGCTCTGGGCATCCAGTGAACATCCATTAATTAAGTCAATTGAGTATCAGTCAGAATTTTCAATTACCTAAAGATCTTGGAAGTTATCTTCAAGATGACGTACTACAAAACATAATTACGTTGAAATAAACTTATTAGATTAATGATTTATTTTAGTCAAATGCAAGGATACATTTTTTGTAATCTTCAACATTATGGAGGAGAAGTGGTAGCTTATTTGATCAGTAAACCTTCATCAATTTAGGAAAATACAAACTTAAGTAGATAAATGCACACTTGTATTATACTTAACACTAACAAATCAGAGAGAAAGCATCCATAATAATTACAGGATAATTACTTAATAATAGCATAATTTTGTTTTTGTTTTTGTTTTTGCTTTTTTTGAGACAGGATCTGGCTCTGTCACCCCAGCTGGAGTGCAATGGCATGATCTCAGCTCACTGCAACCTCTGCCTCCCAGGCTCAAACCATCCTCCCACCTCAGCCTCCCAAGTAGCTGGGACTACAGGCGCACACCACCACTACTGGCGAATTTTTGTATTTTTGGTAGAGACAGGGTTTTGCCATGTTGGCCAGGTTGGTCTTAAACTCCCAGGCTCAAGGGATTCTCCCACGTTGGCCTCCCAAAGTGCTGGGACTACAGGCATAAGCCACTGCACCCATCCTATACTGTTTTTATTAAACTCAAATAATTAAACTAATGTCATTTGCCAAAGATTTATCTTAATTATGAGAACTTGGATTCTTAAAGTCTCTGAATTAGTTTCTGAAGGAGGAATCTTTTTCAAGACTAGTGCATTTACGGTACTAAAAGTTCAGTTTCTTCCTGGACTACAGAGGACAGCCATTTAAAAAGTCTGATTTCCTCATTTTCCTAAATTTTAGGAATATTTGATTTGTATAAGTGCTTATTTATCTCTATCAGCCAATCAGAACTGAGTTCCTTTAATTCAAGTGACATTACAAAATAATGTATAGACACCCTCCAGAGATGGGAAAACATTACTCACTCACCCCAGGAGTCTGACTGCAGCCACAGAGGGAGCTTAATGCTTCATTTTCACACCGTTAGCCACAGGGCAAGAGATCCAAGAGACACAGGATAACATGCCTGACTCCTGCTGTTCTCTGCCAACATCCGTTCATTCATTCCCAGAAGTCACCAAATGGTCAGATCAGAAAGCCAAATTCCCAATCATCACTGCCACCACTAGGGAATAACTCAGCTATAAACAAACCAAAACCAAAAATATAACAGGGGACAGACAGGGTGGCCTGGCCTCGGCTATTTGCCTTAATTTGACTCACCTAAGGGGCAGGGTGACATGCAGTAAAAAGGTCTTTTTCTATTGATTGCCACTGGAATTGCCCTTCTGAAGTTTTGCACTGATATCTCCGTGCTCCTGCTCAAGGACCCACAGTGGCTCCTTCCTTCCTGTTACCATGTGGATGCCACTGATTAGATCCTCAGCTTCCATGTCAGGCTGTCATCTGTCTGAATATGCAACGAGGCCACGGTGCTCACTGTGCGTCATGATCATTGCAAGCAAGGCCAGGGGTGACATCTGCCCTCAGTCTGGGTCACTGGGTAGATTTGAGGGGTTCTTGGCAATGTCAGCTCCCTGAGGGCGAGGTTTTGTGTGCCTTGTTGACTGTTATAACTTGGCACAGTGCCTGGCACATGTAGGTACTCAGTCAATATAGGTCAGAAGAATGAATGGATATACTCCCCAACCCTCAACTGAGTCTTGAGGAAACTGAGGCACAGAGTGGTAAAGTGACTGGCTCAGGACCATGTGGGCGAGTCATGGGAGTAACAGGATTTTCCCTGGGTCCCCAGTTACTTACCCAGTGGCCACCCATTTCTTTTCACAGCTCCTCCCCATACCTTTCCTGACAGTGGGAGACAAAGATGTGAACCACTGGCTGGGTGCGGTGGCTCACACCTGGAATCCCAGCACTTTGGGAGGCCGAGGCGGGCGGATCACTTGAGATCGGGAGTTCGAGACCAGCCTGGTCAACATGCTGAAACCCCGTCTCTACTAAAAACAGTAGAGACGTGTGGTGGTGCACGCCTGTAATCTCAGCTACTTGGGTGGCTGAGGCGTGAGAATCGCTTGAACCCGGGAGGCAGAGGTTGCAATGAGCAGAGATCATGCCACTATACTCCAGCCTGAGCGACAGAGCAAGACTCTGTCTCAAAAAAAAATGTGCACCACTGAGACCCCTTTTCAAGGAAAGGCTCGCTGCACAGCTGCAGGGAGTGCGGTGGGCAGGCAGCCTCCAGATGTCAGCTCCATCAGAGTCTGCAGAAAGTCACTTCCCCAAGCTCATGCCCTTTACCCCAAAACACTCTGCCACGCCATCCCTGCTCCAGAGCTCCCCGCTGGGCTGGCCAAGGCTTTGTGTGGCTTGCATCATACTCAGCTCTCCCCCTGCCCGATCCTGCTTCCTCCTCCTTCCCTTTACATCAACTGATAAACCTCCTGTGCCCCAAACTCCAGCTGAAATTCTGCTTCTAAAGAGCCTGCCCTGTGACACTGCCCAGTGAAACTAAGGGGTCCCAACACTGCATCCACTAGGAGTTACCCCAGGGGAAAGCACATGAGTGGAATGGTCACTTTATCGGCTGAAGAGTAGTGGAAAGAGTCAAGAAAACTCACCTGAGAAAACCAGAGGGCTGCAGCTCAAAGTCAAGGGTACAGGAAGTGACCCTGAGAAGGTCTCCAGCACTGTGTTCTATAAGGCTCAGCCCAACACAACCAAGCCGGTGAGTAGAGCAAGAATACCCAGGACTGGCTTTTATTCAGAACATGTTTCCACCTGGTTCTGAGGGAATCAAGATATCAAAAAGCTAGGCACAGTGGCTCACACCTGTAGTCCCAGCTACTTGAGAGGCAGGGGTGGGAAGATCTCTTGAGCCCAGGAGGCCAAGTCCAGCCTGGGCAACATAGTGAGACCCTCCCCCATCTCTAAAATAAAGAAGAAAGCAAAAAGCCCAAGGGAATAGCAGATGGATTGCATGTTTCTGGAGCTGGGAAATCAGTCTATGGGGAGTTCCTGAAACATGTAATATGCAGCATAGCTCAAAAAACAGGTTGTTTTAACTTAGAAAAACTCAACAATGAAGAGTTGATAGTGGCCAGGTGTGGTGGCTCACACCTGTAATCCCAGCACTTTGGGAGGCCAGGGTGGGTGGATCACTTGAGGCCAGGAGTTCGAGACCAGCCTGGCCAATGTGGAAAACCTGTCTCTACTAAAAATACAAAAATTAGCTGGGCGTGATGGCATGCATCTGTGGTCCCAGCTACTCGGGAGGCTGAGGCATGAGAATAACTTGAGCCCGGGAAGCAGAGGTTGCAGTGAGCCCAGATGGCGCCACTACACTCCAGCCTGGGTGACAGAGCAAGATTTTGTCTCAAGGAAAAAAAAAAAGAAGAAGAAGAAAGTGATGGTACTTGGCACTTGAATAATCTCTCGGATGCAAGAGTAAGTTATGTTGATGTGTTGAGAGCTGACCAGACCAACCCTGTTATGAAATGCTAGAGCATCACCATGGACAGATGGAGGACAAAGCCTCAGAGCCACCAGCCGGAATCTCAGTTAGCTGTGGTAGGAGGGGCTTAATGGCTTCTTCTGTACAATTGAGTACTAATTTCTAACCATGATTGCATTGTGGTCTTGAGCTTATGGCCACTATAAGTTGTTGTTTTGTTTTGTTTTGGAATTTATTATTATTATTATTTAGAGACAAGGTCTCACTCTGTTGCCCAGGCTAGAGTGCAGTGGCACGATCATGGCACATCTTTTCTATACAGATGAGGTTGTGAGGTAGAATTTGCCATCAGTGACTTCCCCTTTGAATAAGCACCTGAAAATGAACTTAGTGTAGTCATGTCAAGGTCTCATAGGGGCGCTCAACATTGTACTGTAGCCACTTATATTCACTGCAAGGGAGAACACCCAAGGTCACCAAAGTATCCTTTCTTGGGTCCAGGGAGAGAAAATGGGTAAACCATGTGTCCACTTCCTCGCTTTTCCTCCATTGTCCACTAAACCTAATTGATAGGCCCATTTCAATTTTTAGTGTCTGCTGTGAAGATTCCTCAATTTGATCCGACCATATGCATAAGTTTGGCTAGGATTCAATTGGCTGTCTTCCATTCCTCTAGCTAAAGATTCGATCTCTTGTATGGAATACAGGAATTCAAGACTTGTATTTTCAATGTTGATCATGCCCTTCATCAATAAAAAGGGTCCTCTTTGACTGTCTAATGCTTTTTTCCCTAATTTTATCTTGAATTTCTATTGCAACTGCTGTTTTCTCTGTCTCTTTACTTTTCTCATGCATTTTTATGCATCATTAAAAAAACTTTCTGAATCATATTGATTCAGATATCATTTGGTTATTTCTTGGGAGCATTCATTCAGTCTGAGTGCCCTTGTCATTTTTTTTTTCTGAGACAAAGTCTCACTCTTACCCAGGCTGGAGTGCAGTGGCACGATCTCGGCTCACCATAGCCTCTGCATCCCAGGTTCAAGCGATTCTCCTGTCTCAGCCTCCTGAGTAGCTGGGATTACAGGCACACACCACCATGCCTGGCTAATTTTTGTATTTTTTTGGTAGAGACAAGGTTTCACTGTGTTGGCCAGGCTGGTCTCAAACTCCTGGCCTCAAGTGATCTACCCACCTCAGCCTCCCAAAGTGCTGGGATTACAGGCATGAGCCGCTGCGCCAACCTATCCCTGTTTTAAATTCCACTTGTGGTTACCTTTAGGTTAAAAAAAAAAATACAGTTGAGGCCAGGTGCGGTGGCTCACGCCTGTAATCCTAGCACTTTGGGAGGCCGAGGCGGGCGGATCACAAGGTCAAGAGATCGAGACCATCCTGGCCAACATGGTGAAACCCTGTCTCTACTAAAAATACAAAAATTAGCTGGGCGTGGTGGCGGGCGCATGTAATCCCACCTATTCGAGAGGCTGAGGCAGGAGAATTGCTTGAACCCGGGAGGCAGAGGTTGCAGTGAGCCGAGATCACACCACTGCACTCCAGCCTGGCGATAGAGCGAGACTCCATCTCAAAAAAAACAAAAAACAAAAAACAATTGAATTTACATTTCTCTAATTATCAGCAGCAGAAATGAAAGAATATCTATTCTCTCCTTTGTGAATAGGATGTGAACTCTTCTGAGATCACACAAACGGGTTTCGATGCTCTGAGAGTCACACAGGCTGGGTGTAGGCATACTTGGGATAACAGACTGGGATGTGAACCCCATGAGTCACACAGACTGCAGTTTGGAAATGCTGGGGTCAGACAGACTAGGTATAGATACTCATATCGACTGTGATATGAACACTTCTGGGGTCACACAGACAGGAATTTGGACACTTATGGGTCACACAGATTGGAGTGTGAACTTACGGGTTCAGGGACCAGGATGCCAACAATCCTCAGGCCACAGAGACTAGAATGTGGACACTCCTGGCCACATACATACTGGGACATGACTACTTCTGGTGTCACACAGAGCAGGGTGCAGAAACTCCTGGGGTCACACAGTGTCAGGTATAGATCACAGGAGTGTCCATACGCCAGTCTGTGACTCCACTAGAACTCACATTTATTTCTGTGAACACTTATGTCCACACTGCAGTCTCTCACCCCATTATATCCTGACTGCAGTCTGCATTTCCTTAATAGTGACCACTCTGAAGTCCTTATAAGTCCAGTAATTTAATCTTCTATATTTGAGTTCAGATCTGAAGGCCACTAATGCTGAAGTATTTGCCATAAGCCCAGGTTTAAAGTGTAACCGAAGAGGCATGGATATAGAGACACTTAACAATTGTCCAGTTGGGTGCAGTGGCTCACGCCTGTAATCCCAGCACTTTGGGAGGCTGAGGCGGGCAGATCACCTCAGGTCAGGAGTACCAGACTAGCCTGGCCAACATGGTGAAACCCTGTCTCTACTAAAAATACAAAAAAGTAGCTAGGCCTGGTGGCGCTCACCTGTAGTCCCAGCTACTTGGGAGGCTGAGGCAGGAGAATCACTTGAGCCTCAGAGGCGGAGGTTGCAGTGACCTGAGATCACGCCGCTGCACTCCAGCCTGGGCGACAGAGCAAGACTCCGTCACACACACACAAAAATAAATAAACTCTGTCTCAAAAACAAAACAATGGTCCAAGTTCAAGGTCAGAAAATAGGGCATGGGTGATGGACTAGTTAACACATGCCAGGGTCAGTGCTTTAAAACAGGAAGGTATCAGCCGGGCGTGATAGCACACCCCTGTAATCCCAGCGCTTTGGGAGGCTGAGGCAGGCGGATCACTTGAGGTCAGGAGTTCGAGATCAGCCTGGCCAACATGGCGAAACCCTGTCTCTACTGAAAATACAAAAGTTAGCTGGGCATGGTGGCGCATGCCTGTAATACCAGCTACTCGGGAGGCGGAGGCAGGAGAATCACTTGAACCCAGGAAGCAGAGGTTGCAGTGAGCTGAGATCGTGCCACTGCACTCCAGCCTGGGCAACACAGCGAGACTATCTCAAAAAAAAAAAAAAAAAAAGCCACACGTGGTGGCATGCACCTGTAATCCCAGCTACTCAGAAGGCTGAGGCAGGAAAATCGCTTGAACCTGGGAGGCAGAGGTTGCAGTGAACCAAGATCGTGCCACTGCACTCCAGCCTGGGTGACAAGAGCAAGACTCTGTCTCAATAAAAATAAAAAAATCAAACGGGAAGGTATTGATGGTAAACTCACTAACCAAAGTCCTTGTTTAAGGGGGCATTAACAATGGTAGTTTTATCAGAGGCCTGTGTGGAAGGCAACACTACCAGAGAGGAATTTATAGTGGAAGAATGAACAGACACCATCGTTTAAAGTCAGACACGGACATTGATGTTAGGAGAGTTAATACACAGAGTTCAATAATAGACAAGAAAAGCACTGATGATAGAATAAAGACACCCAGATTTGAGGTCAAGTAAGAGGGGCAAGGAGTTTTAATTAGTTCTGCTTTAATTATTCTGTTAAATATATAGACAAAGAGGTGGGATTTGATATTGGGATAGTTAGAAAATGCTTGAACTCAGACTAGAGGAACATTCCAGGCGTAATAGTTAACACAGACCTTGGTTTAGGATCAAACCAGAGAAAAAGGGATGAGGACAATCAAATGAATATCTAGGTTTGAGGTCAGTTCAGAGTGGACTCGAGTCTAGAATACTTAACAGAGCCTGGAGTTTGAGTTCACACTCTAGGGGCACTGGTGTTGGAAGAGATAACTGTACAAGTTCAATGACAGATCCACAGGACACTGGCGATGGAGCAGTTATCAGAGGATCAGATTCAAGGTCAAACCAGATGGGAGTTGGTGGTGTATTTAACAGAAGACTGGTTTGAGAAGGCTTGGAGTGGAAGGATTTGGGGATAGTTAAATGGCTGTGTTGGCTAACTAGACTAGTAGATCTTTAAATATGAAATAGGAAATGTAAGTCCTGGTTAAGAATCAGACAGACTAGAGAGCAAGGATAGTGGAAGAGCTCTGATTAGGGACCAGGATGATATTGAATATGGAATGACTAGAAAAGAGAACCCAGTGGCCAGGCGCGATGGCTCACGCCTGTAATCCCAGCACTTTGGGAGGCCGAGGAGGGCAGAGCACGAGGTCAAGAGATTGAGACCATCCTGGCCAACATGGTGAAACCCTGTCTCTACTAAAAGTACAAAAATTAGCCGGGCGTGGTGGCATGCGCCTGTAGTCCCAGCTACTTGGGAGGCTGAGGCAGGAGAATTGCTTGAACCTGGGAGGCGGAGGCTGCAGTGAGCCGAGATCATGCCACTGCACTCCAGCCCTGGCAACAGAGCGAGACTCCGTCTGAAAAAAAAAAAAAAAGAAAAGAAAAGAGAACCCAGATTTTGAGAACAAACCAGAAGAACATTGATGCTTAACAGTAGACCAGATTTGAGATCAGACCAATTGACGGTGTGAGTTAAAATGGCCTACATTCAAAGTCAGATCAGAGGAGACTGAAGGTTGAATAGTTAAAAAGAAGACCAGGCATTACCCATGTGGCATTGTTGGATGAAAACTGAACCGAGGTCCAGGTTTGATTCGAGACCAGAAGGACCTTTAAGCTAGAATATCAAATGAAGGTCAGCCGGGCGTGGTGGCTCATGCCTGTAATTCCAGCACTTTAGGAGGCCGAGGCAGGAGGATCACTTGAGGTCAGGAGTTTGAGACCAGCCTGGCCAACATGGTGAAACCCCATCTCTACTAAAAATACAAAAATTAGCCGGGCTTGGCGGCGGGCACCTGTAATCCTGGCTACTCGGGAGGCTGAGGCAGGAGAATCACTTGAACCCAGGAGCAAGAGGTTGCAGTGAGCCAAGATCGTGCCACTGCACTCCAGCCTGGGCAACAGAGTGAGACTCTGTCTTAATAAATAAATAAATAAATAAATAAAGTGCCTGGGTTTGAGGTCATAGGTACTGGTGAAAGAAACATTAAGAGATGCCCAGGGCCGGGCACAGTGGCTCACGCCTGTAATCCCAGCACTTTGGGAGGCCGAGGCAGGCGGATCATGAGGTCAGGAGATCGAGACCATCCTGGTCAACATGGTGAGACCCCCTGTCTCTACTAGAAAATACAAAAAAATTAGCCAGGCGTGGTGGTGGGCACCTGTAGTCCCAGCTACTCAGGAGGCTGAGGCAGGAGAATGGCATGAACCCAGGAGGCGGAGCTTGCAGTGAGCCTAGATGGCACCACTGCACTCCAGCCTGGGCGACAGAGCGAGACTCTGTGTCAAAAAAAAAAAAAAAAAAAGAGAGAGATGCCCAGGTCTGAGATCAGACCAAAGAGTCAGTGATAGTAGACTAGTTAACAGAGGCCTGGGCTTAAGTTTAGACTCCATGGGCATTAATGGTACAACTGTTTTGTTGTTGGTGGTGATGTTGTCGTTTGGGGTTTTTTTTGAGACGGAGTTTCGCTCTTGTTGCCCAGGGCTGGGGTGCAATGGCGTGATCTTGGCTCACTGCAACCTACGCCTCCCGGATTCAAGCAATTCTCCTGCCTCAGCCTCCCGAGTAGCTAGGATTACAGGCATGCACCACCATGCCTGGCTAATTTTGTGTTTTTAGTAGAGATGGGGCTTCTCCATGTTGGTCAGGCTGGTCTCGAACTCCCGACCTCAGGTGATCTGCCCATCTTGGCCTCCCAAAGTGTTGGGATTACAGACGTGAGCCACTGTGCCTGCCCAGCCAGTGGTGCAACCGTTAATACAGAAGTGCAGACTGGAATTGACACCATAAGGGCATTGGTGGTGACATAATTAACAGAGGCCCAGATGTAACGTCAGGACTGAGGGTCCTCGAGGTTGGAATGGAGCAAAAGGGCACCGTCACAAAATACAGTAGTTAATAGAAACCCAAGTTCAGTTCAAGGTCAGATCAGAAGCCAATTGCTAGTGAAATATTATACAGTAGCCCTGGTTTGAGATTTGACCAGTGGTACACCAGTGGGGTAATAGTTAACAAAGGCCCAGCTTCGTTCTGAGACCAGAGAGGCTTTTTTTTTTTTTTTTTTTTTTTTAGTCTCGCTCTGTCGCCAGGCTGGAGTGCAGTGGCGCGATCTCGGCTCACTGCAACCTCTGCCTGCTGGGTTCAAGTGATTCTCATGCCTCAGCCTCCCGAGTAGCTGGGATTACAGGCACGCGCCACCACACCCAGCTAATTTTTGCATTTTTAGTAGAGATGGGGTTTCACCATGTTGGACAGGATGGTCTTGATATCCTGACCTCATGATCTGCCCACCTTGGCCTCCCAAAGTGCTGGGATTACAGGTGTGAGCCATCGAGCCCAGCCATTTTTTTTTTTTTTTTTTTTTTACACGGAGTCTCGCTCTGTCACCCAGGCTGGAGTGCAGTGGCGCGATCTCAGCTCACTGCAACCTCCGCCTCCCGGGTTCAAGTGATTCTCCTACCTTAGCCTCCCGAGTAGCTGGGACTACAGGCACGTGCCACCACGCCCGGCTAATTTTTTTGTATTTTTAGTAGAGACAGGGTTTCACCGTGTTAGCCAGGATGGTCTCGATCTCCTGACCTCGTGATCCGCCTGCCTTGGCCTCCTAAAGTGCTGGGATTACAGGTGTGAGCCACTGCACCTGGCCCAGAGAGGCTCTTGATGGTAAAGTAGTTGACAAACACACAGGTTCAAAGTCAGACAAAGGGCAGGGAACAGTTAATCGAAGCCTCGATTTGAGGCAAGACCAGAGTGGAATTGATAGTGGAATGATTGACAGAGCTTCAGATCTGATGTGAAACCAGTGATGCTGAACAAGTTAACCGAGGCCCAAATGTGACTGATAACACTATTTTTATTCTTTCTTCATTATTTATTCCCCCTTAGGTGGTGAGTCAAGAAAAGTGCCACCAAGATGAGTTTAAAGTAGAATGTCAAATCTGCCACCTCAAAATTTCACAAGGAGGAAACCCCCAAAATCATGCACAACAATATTCACAATCAATCATCTTGAATCCAGACTCAATAGACAATGTGAAGAGTGTAAACAAAAGAAGAAAGTGTTAGCGAAAAAGGAGGTTCCTCAAAATTATCCTGCCATCCACAGACCTTGGTAGAAACTGGGCATCTGTGTGGTGTTGCACACTGTGCAGAAAAACAGTAACAGAGCAGGCCTCAACTGCGATCCTTGGAAAGGCCTGCTTCAAGGTTGGCCCTTGGGTGGTGTCTAAGAACATAGACTCCAGGAGGGTTCCCACCATTCCCTAAGAGATAAGAATGGCTCACTCGGGCCGGGTGTGGTGGCTCACACCTGTAACGCCAGCACTTTGGTAGGCCAAGGTGAGAGGATCACTTGAGCCCAGGAGTTCAAGGCCAGCCTGGGCAACATGGCAAAACCCATCTCTGCAAAAATCAGCTGGGGTCATGGTGGTGCATGTCTGTGGTCCCAGCTACTTTGGAGGATGAGGCAGCAGGACCGCTTGAGCCTGGGAGGTTGAGGCTGCAGCGAACCATGTTTGAGCCACTGCACTCCAGCCTGGGCAACAAAGTGAGACCCTGTCTCAAAAAAAAAAAAAAAGAAAGAAAGAAAAAAAAGAATGGCTTACTCTACCTAAGCTGTTTGTATAAAAAAGTGGGCCAGGAGCGGTGGCTCATGCCTGTAATCCCAGCACTTTGGGAGGTCGAGGCAGGCGGATCACAAGGTCAAGAGATGGAGACCAGCCTGGCCAATATGGTGAAACCCCGTCTCTACTAAAAATACAAAAATTAGCTGGGCGTGGTGGTGGCAGGCGCCTGTAGTCCCAGCTATTCAGGAAGCTGAGGCAGGAGAATTGCTTGAACCCAGGAGGCGGAGGTTACAGTAAGCCGAGATCACGCCACTGCACTCCAGCCTGGCGACAAAGCGAGACTCCGTCTCAATTAAAAAAAAAAAAAAAAAGGTGGTTTATGCTGAGCCCCTGCTTTCCTTTTGGGAGCCTGGGATTTGGGTAGGTGCCAGGCAGGGGGTGCCTATGTGACCATGCCCCAATAAAAACTTGATACCAGCCAGGTGCTCACGCCTGTAATCCCAGCAGTTTGGGAGGCTGAGGTGGGAGGATCACTTGAGGTCAGGAGTTCAAGATCAGCCTGGCCAACATGGTGAAACCCCATCCCTACTAAAAATACAAAAATTAGCCGAGCTTGCTGGTGCGCGCCTGTAGTTCCAGCTATTCGGGAAGCTGAGGCCCGAGGATCGCTTGAACCCAGGAGGTGGAGGCTGCAGTGAGCCAAGATCATGCCACTGCATTCCAGCCTGGGCGTCAGAGCAAGACCCCCCCCCCCCCGCCAAAAAAAAACCAAAACAACAACAACAACAAAAAAAACCTCTGGGTGCTGAGTCTCTAATTGAGCTTCCTTGGTCAGCAACATTTCGCATGTATTGTCACAACCCATTACTGTGAACCGAGCACATCTTGTGTGACTCCAATGAGAGAGAAGCCCTGGAAACTTGTGCCTGGGTCTCTCTGGGAGTTGGTCCTGCACACCATTTCTTTTTGCTGATTTTGCTCCATATCTTTTTGTTGTAATAAGTCAATCGTAGCCATGAATACAACCACATACTGAGTCTTGGGAGTCCTCCTAGCAAATCACTGGGCTTGGGGCTGGTATTGAGGACCATGACACACACACACATACATGACCTTTACCATGGGAACAATCCAGCTCACTGATGTCCCTATCTCACCACCATGTACCCTGAGGTCTATTAGATGGAAGTGCCAGTTAGAAATGCTTGGGGTGCAAGTAACCACACTGTCAAATAACTGGACTGAACAAACGGGAGATTATTTCCCTCCAACAAGACTGTTGGTGCGAGTTCAGCAGCTCAGCAATGCTGGGCCAAGCTGGAGTCTCTACCACGCTGTGGACTGACCCTAAGGTCCCAAGATGTCAGTCGCAGTTCCAGTCAACGCATATGTGGCAACAAATGGAGCTGAGAAGGAAGGGAGGGGCCGGAGCAAGAGCCTCTTTGCTGCTTCAGGTAACTTTGACATTTTCTGGTGACGCAGGCCACTGATAAGTGATTTTGGTTATTTACCCCCATCAATACTCAAAGCTTTTTCTCCTCTCTTGGGGCTCCCCTCAAATACTTAACATCACTTTTTGGTCTCTGAGCTGTTCCAGGGCTGGAATTTGTACCCTGGATGGGGCTGGGAGGAGACAGGGGTGGTCTGAGGGATGGAGATTCCGCCACACAGCAGGAGGCCCCAGGTCAGCCTTAACTTCCCGTTGCTCCTGCACCAGCTTGGGGCTCCAGGACTCAACACCTCTGCTCCCTGCTTTTAATAAACAACACAATGCACAGAAGGGTTGGGAATATCGCCCCCTGAGGAGGCAGCAGAGTCCTGCAGCCTAACATAGTGAACCCCCTGGGGGTCCGACCCAACATTCCCCCGCCAACTCCTCCACTGTCACTACCCTGGTGCAAGTCCCCATCACTGCGCTCAGAGGGGTCTCCTGCTGGGTCCCCTGCTTCTACCCCCACCCCCAATCTGTCCCCTTCAGCAGCCAGAGGGAGCCTCTATGACCAAGTCAGATCATGTTCCTCCTCTGCTTGACACCTTCTGGTCACCCCCACTCAGAAAAAAAGCCAAAGTCCTAACTGTGGCCCATGAAGCATCTGGCCTGTCTGACCTCATGTACTGTCACACTCTGGTCCAGCAAGACTCTGGCATACACAATGATCCTTCTGGAGCGCTCCAGCCTCAGTGCCTTTAGGCTGGCTTTCTCTCTGCCTGGAATGTTCTCCCCCTACACTATGACTCCCACTCACTTCATTCAGGTCTTTAAATGTCACCCTGAGCCAGGCGTGGTGGTTCATGCCTGTAATCCCAGCACTTTGGGAGGCTGAGGCGAGTGGATCGCTTGAGCCCAGGAGTTCAAGACCAGCCTGAGCAACATGGCGAGACCCCGTCTCTACTAAAAATACAAAAATTACCCGAGTGTGGTGGCACACACCTGTAGTCCCAGCTACTTGGGAGGCTTAAGTGAGGATCACTTGAGCCCTGGAGGTTGAGGCTGCAGTGAGCTATGGTCATGCCACTGCATTCCAACCTGGGTGACAGAGTGAGACCCTGTCTCAAAAACAAAAAAGTCACCCTGTCAGGATCATCTTCCCTGATGCTGTCACCATAAAGAGCCCACTCCCCCAACTTCTGCAGCTCTGTCTCCCATCCTTGCTTTATTTTCTTCATACCACTCATCATTAGCTGGCCTGTTCCATGTTTTTATCTACTGTCTCCGCTATGATGCAAGCCCAATGAAGGCAGGCATTTCCATCAGTTTAGGTCAGAGCAGTATCCCCAGTGCCTAGAACAGTTCCTGGCACACGGTCAGGGCTCACTAATGTCTATCGAATGCATAAGTGTGTAAAACAGTTAAGGCAGGGCCTGTAACCCAGCAGACATTCAATCAATGCTTGTGGAATGAATGAATCCGTCGATGCATGAATGCACAAATGAGTCAATGAACCCCGTTCCACCGTGTTCCTGGAGCTGCCCGCTGCCCTCTGCCCTGTCCGTCCCCGGCAGAGCTGGGAGCCGGCCCTCAGCATGACCACCGAAACTTTATTTACAACACGAGGCTGGAGTAAGAGGGGTGGGATGGAGGACAGCAGCAGGGCCGACAGGACCCTACTTCTGCTCCCGCCTCCAGACGATGACCATGCCGCTGGCGTCACTGGAGGCCAGTAGGCTCTCGTCGCAGTTGAAGCTGACATCAAGCACAGGTGCACTGTGGCCCTGCAGCTTGTTGACAGCAGCCTTGGCCGCCCGCTCCACATCAAAGAAGTGCACGCACATGTCCTCACTGCCCGTCACTGTCGGGGTGAGAGGGAGAGGCCATCGGGAGGCGCCTGGGGTGCCCCTGGTGGGAAGTCCCTGAGGTGTCTGAGGTGTTGAAGGGTGTATGTCCGAGGTGTGAGGTCCTAGCATGGCTTGGGGAGGTTTGAGGGGGCCCCATCCCTAGATGGGAGGTCACCTGGCTGTTTTGGTACTGTGTGCAGAATGCGAGGTCTCTGGGCTGTTTGGGGAGTTAGTGCGTTCAAAGTGTGAGTTTTCATCACTTCTCGGCCTTTTGGCCGAGATCAAGTGCAAACTGTGAGTTCTCTGAGCTGTTTGGAGCTGTGAGTTCCACAGTGAGGCTGTTGGGGCAGGAGGGGTCATGAGGTCCAGGAAGTCAGGGCATCGGTGTCGTGATGTCTGAGCCAGGTTGGCACCAGCCCTGGTTCCTGCCCCTCCCCAGCCACCCAGATCCCCTGTCCCTACAGGACTCACCCACGCAGGCCCCCTGGCGGAAGGACATGAGGGGACAGAAGATGCTGCGCACAGGATGTGAGCTCTGCTCGATGGGGAAGCTTCTCTTCAGCTGCAGGGTCCCCTCGTTGTCTACCACCCTGAGAGGATGAGAGAGTGGGTCAAAACACAGCCCCAGCCCTAGCAGGGAGACAAGTTGTGGGCCTGTGTCCCCACCCCTGTGCCTAAGTTCTTTACAGGGTTCATGAAACCCATATTTTTTTTTTTGTTTTTGAGACAGGATCTCACTCTGTCACCCAGGCTGGAGTGTAGTGGTGCGATCACGGCTCACTGCAGCCTCAACCTCCTAGGCTCAAGTGATCCTCCCGCCTCAGTCTCCCGAGTAGCCGGGACTACCTATAGGCACACACCACACCCAGCTTATGAAACCCAATTCTGAGATGACTACATAAACTATAAGTAGGGGCTGATGTGTGAGTTACTGATGGTTCAGAAACTGTCTCTGTTGATATAAATGGGAGCCTCTGCAGTTTCATTCACTAGTTTTTCTTTGTAAGGGTCTCTAAAAGATCCTGGTATTAAGATAAGCACAAAGAGAGGAAATGAACACACCATGGTATGCCCACACTGTGGAAAACTGCACAGCCCTTAGAGAGAATAAAACACTGTCCCCACAGGTAACCTGGGGGGGTTTCCACAAGGCATTGCCTGGTGAGAAACTCGAAATGTAGGAAAGGCCATTTCTTTTTTCTTTCTTTTTTTAAGAGATGGAGTCTGGCTCTGTCACCCAGGCTGGAGTGCAATGGCACGATCTCGCCTCGCTGCAACCTCCGCCTCCCAAGTTCAAGCAATTCTCCAGCCTCAGCCTCCCAAGTAGCTGGGATTATAGGCGCCTGCCACCATGCCCAGCTAATTTTTGTATTTTTAGTAGAGACGGGGATTCACCATGTTGGCCAGGCTGGTCTTGAACTCCTGACCTCAGGTGATCCACCCGCCTTGGCCTCCCAAAGTGCTGAGATTACAGGAGTGCGCCACTGTGCCTGGCCGGAAAAGGCCATTTCTTTAAAACGTCTTTCTTTCAAAACTGTGGTGGGAGCTAGGCAAGGTGGCTCACGTCTGTAATCCCAGCACTTTGGGAGGCCAAGGTACAAGGATCACTTGAGGCCAAGAGTTTAAGACCAGACTGAGTAACACAGCAAAACCTCATCTCTACAAAAAATAGATTAAAAAGGTTGGCCGAGCATGGTGGCGTGTGCCTGTAATCTCAGCTACTTAGGCTGAGGTGGGAGAATCGCATGAGCCCAGGAGTTGGAGGTTGCAGTGAGCCATGATCATGCCACTGCACTCCAATCTGGGTAACAGCAAAACCCTGTCTCACAAACAAACAAAAACATACATGGATATATGTACACGCCTAGGATTTGTGGAAAGAGAAGGATATGTGGAAAGATGTGGATCATTAATGGGCTTTACTGTGGCAGGAGGAGGCCAGAGGTGGCAGGAGGAAGAAAGGAGAGGCTGTGGGAAATGGGCAAACTTAAGGGTACGCTTAAATTAAAAAATTGTTAAGTATATATACAGAAATTGTTTAAAAAGGAGGAGAGAAATAAAGGGGTAGAATAAAAAGCATCCTGTTAGGCAGTGGTTTTCAGGACTGGCCAGACATTGCTTAGGGAATTTCTCAATCTACCAATGCCCAGGCCCATCCCAAAGCTTCTGAAATTACTGGCCTGTAGAGGGGCCCAGACAGGAGTTTTTGAAGCTCTTCAGGTCATTCCAATGTGTGGCCCAGGCTGAGAACTGCATTTGGGTAACATGACAGATGTGAGTGGGGACAGTAACCCCCACACTACTCCCCGCAAAAAAAAAAAAAAAAAAAGGAAGGAAGGAAGAAAGGAAAACAGGTCTCTGCTTTAAGTAGCCCTAATCTATTTTATGCTTCAGTTTGCTCACCTGCAAAATGGAGATAATAACAGCACCTACCTCACAGGTCGGTGCAAGGATTGAATGTGGTGATACGTGGAAACTGCTTCGAACAGGGCCTGGCCACAGTGATGGCTGTAAACGCGCTCACTACTGCTATTACTGTTACTGCTACTACTGCTCCCTCAATTAAATTAACCTGATGGAGGAGATGAGCTACTGTCCCAGTGTGCTGGAGGAGGCAGGTCCTCCGTCTCCAGGAGGCCCTGATGGGGGACCCACCTGTAGAGCAGCAACTTGTTGAGGCAAGCATTGATGAGCAGTGAGGGATCCCGGGCCTCGCGGCTGACCCAGGACCGGGCTGAGATGCTGGTCACAGGGCTCCCCTCATGCACCACCAAACGCTTGGCTTTGGTCAGCTTCCCTGCAGCAGCAGAGGGAGGGAAGGCAAAGGTGAGGGTGAGGGCTGTGCCCTGGGAGGGCTGGAGGGCGAGCACCCAGATGCAGGCCTGCTGTCTGCCTACCTGTGGCCATATCAAAGAGGAAAGAGAAGACACTGCCACGGTCATCACCCGCCCAGAGCAGCCGGCCAGGGGCATCAAAGGACAGAGCAAGGACACGGCCTGTCAGCTTGCTGGAGCCCCCCTTCACTTTCTTGCCTGTGGAGATGTTCATGACATGCACGTTGTGCTTGGCGTTCCCCACCTGTGGGGAGAATGCACAGACCATCATCCTGCTTCCAGCCAGGCCCTCCTTGAGTCTGACCACAGTGGGGCTGCTGTTGATGCGACTGGCTGGTCCCTATTAGAGTCTATTCACAATAGGGCTGTGGCAGGTAGACAAGGTGACCAGGCATGAATCCACCTCCCTAGCCAGCCCCTTTTGCAATCTGCCCAGAGTAGGCCACCTGCCTACGGGACTAAAGGGCCTTCAGAGCCATCATGCTGCCCCTTGGCCAGTCCTCCTACAGTGTGAGAACCATAGGGCCTGCCTAGGCCTGTGATCCCAGCTTTCCCCTGCTCCCTGGCTGCTCCTTTCTGGAACTTGTGGGGCTGCTGCTAATGCGGGGAGGATCCCGGCCCACAAGCTCACTCTTGGTCTGTTCCTCTGCAGTTCACCCCACTACACCCCGGGCCACACCAGACTTTCTAATGTCCTTCCCCTGCTCTCTGACCAATCTACCCTGGAGTCTGACACGGTGGGGCCACTGACAGACCAGACGAGGCTCAGCCTCATCATCCTGCTCCTCAGAGGTAGCCCCTGCAGTTGGAAAACTGTAGGACTGTAGCTGATGGGACCAAAGGGGCTCCAGAGCCAGAACCCTGACCCTGGCCCGTGCTCCCTGGAGTGTACCACAGCAAGGCCAACCCAGATCAAGAACGGCATTCCCCTTTTTATGGGGGGTGGGGGCGGAGTCTCGCTCTGTCGCCCAGTGGTGCCATCTCGGCTCACTGCAAGCTCCACCTCCCAGGTTCACACCATTCTCCTGCCTCAGCCTCCCAAGTAGCTGAGACTATAGGCGCCCGCCACCATGCCCGGCTAATTTTTTGTATTTTTAGTAGAGATGGGGTTTCACCGTGTTAGCCAGGATGGTCTCAATCTCCTGACCTCGTGATCCGCCCGCCTCCGCCTCCCAAAGTGCTGGGATTACAGGCGTGAGCCACTGCGCCTGGCCCACTCCCGTCTTCTGATCTGCTTCCCTTTTAAGTCTGACCACACTAGGACTGCTCTGACGAGATTGGGTGGGGGGTGGGGGGGTCCTAGGCCCCCCCTGGCTGTCCCTCCTTATACTCTGATTCCCTCAGATAGCCTTCCTGACCCAGCCCACCAGCCCTTGGTGAGTGGGTGTCCTGGAGCCTGACCACAGTGAGGTTGTTGTTGACAGGCTGGAAGGTGCAGCAGAGCAGTTCAGCGCTATCGGGGTCAGGGATCTCTCGGATGCAGCGACCATCCTCAGAGGCCCAGATGCGCATGGTGGCATCCAGTGAGGTGGACACGAGGATGTCATTGGAGAGGGACCAGGCGAAGTCGGAGACACCACGGGTGTGGCCCCGTAGCACGCGAAGCACTGTGGGTGGGGCAGGCACCAGCTGGCACAGGGAGATGCTGCCGTCGAGTGAGCAGCAGGCCAGGCGGTGTCGGTCATCATTGGCGAAGCGCACCCTTGGGACTGCAATGCCAAGAAGCCATTAGTGGGAATCTGCACACTCACTGGGCACTTTTCTCTCTAAAAGGCTCTGACGTGTGTGCCTGGGGCTGGGGCCCCACTGCATGAGGAACAGTGGCCTCAGCAAAGGGCTTTCCTTGGCTGACAAAGGGAACTGTAACCCCTGAAGACCCTCTGCCAAAGCTCCCTAAGTCTTAGCAGCTCCTTTGCAGATTGCAAAAGTCTTCTGCAACATGAAAAAGTTCCTGTCTTAGCGAACACTTTATAATCAAGGTCTTGGCAATTTGCAAAACCCTTGACACTGTAGCCCACTCTGCCCTCTGCAAGGGGATTTATCATCAGCAAAGGCTTTGAACTCTTCCAAGTGACTCAGGAACCCAGGCAGCCTGCTGCAAAGGGCTCTCTCTTAGGCTTCTGAGGCCCTTTCCAGTAGACGAAGCACTGACCACTTTGCAGAGGGATTTTCAGTCTACAAAAGGCTTTATGGATGGTCATTCCTCCTTTGGAGTGTGCCAGGGGCCTTGGATTCAGAAAAGGATGCCTTGGTTGGTTGTCACAGTTTGGGCAAACGCTTGGTGATGGAACCCGCTACCCACTGGCTCACCTGCCTCATCCACGTGCTGGTCAAAAACATGATACATGCCCGCAAAGGCATAGTTCTCGCTCAGTGACGTGTCCCCGGCCATGGCCCGACTTGCCTCTGCTGCTGACGTGGGCACCACGCTGCCAGGGGGCCTGGGCCCCAATAGGAAGTGAGGGGTGACAGGAGGTAGATGCGAGAGTGTTCAGTCTGCCATTGCCCCAGGGCCCCTCTCCTCCTCGCAACCCGCCCCCCGCCTTGGCTGCCTCTGGTGCATACCTGTCCTCATAGACGGCACGGTTCATCTGCGCCTGCAGCTGGTAGGAGCCTCTGCTGACAGAACGACGGTGCCCACGGGCCCCCAGGGCCCGAGGATCATCCTCAAAGTCCTGCAAATGGAGAGGGTCAGGGTGGGTGCATCTTGCAAAAAGCCCGAGAACCTTTGAGGTGTGGAGCCCTGAAAATCTACCTAGAGTCAGATCACTTCTCACTGTGTCCCCTGCCACCACCACCGCTGCCCACTTGTACTACTGCAGTGGCTTCCTCACGAGTTCTGCTGTTCCTGCCCTCCCCCTGCTCAGCAGATACTAAAGACAGGGCTTGCTATATGTTTACTGACCTGTTTACAAAGTTTGTGTGTTTACTGGTTTACTTGGCATATTATCTTTTTGTCCTCTGCTGATGCAGAACAGTGCCCAGCAAAGAGCAGGTGCTTGATGAAAGTCAGTGGAGTGAATGTGTGCAGGCAGGGTATGCCCGGGGGTGAATGTGGCCAGAAGCTCACCTCCATGCGGTCAAGAGTAGTGCGGCTACTGCGGACGATGCTGTTGCTATAGGCACGAGCACTGCCTGGCTCGGAGAGGGGCCCGTAGCGCTGGCCCAGCAGCTGCCCCCGAAGCCTCAGGTACTGCCGACGCAGCGCTGGGGGGTGCCCAGCCTTGGCATTCTCCCGCAGCAGCTGGCTGCGCCGGCGGATATACTGCGTCCGAAACTGTGGAAACGTTGGTGTGCGGTACGCGTTGTACCTGCAGGGTCAGGATGCAGGGCAGGCAGCAGGCACAGGACAGAGGGAATCAATCAGCTCGGGGGGGGGGGTACGGCAGGAGAGTGAGGTGTGTGGCAGTGACTGGGGCCTAGGTGGTAAGAATGACTAGCAGTGGTGATGAGGGACCTCTTGGTCCTGTGGTGGGAGTGAGTCTGCAGTAATAATGAGCATGGTCATGAGGTCAGTTTGCAGACAACAGAGTCAGTCTGCTGCCGTGCTGGGGTCCCTACGGGGTGACTGGGTCAGCGCAGACAATAATTAGGGTCAGTATACCAGGGCGACAGAAATCAGACTGACATTATGGGGGTCAGCGTTGGGAGGTGATGGGGTCAGAATGGGGAAGTGATGATGTAAAAAAAAAAAAGTCTAGGGGACACCCATAGGGGATAGGATGTCACCTGCCTGAGCCCCACCTCCCTCTCACAGGTAGCCGCTTTGCGCATGCCCACATCTGACCACATTTTCCCAGCTTGCTGTTTAGAATCCTCTCCGGCGCAGCCAACTCACCGCGGGCGTGCCCGCCCCCGCTACTGCGCATGCTCACCTCCGGCATGCCCACGCAGCCGCATAAGGCAAGTTCTCCGCCCAGCCTCACTTATCGCCATTGCGCATGCACCACAGTAAGTTCTGCTCCCATGGGCTTTGACCCCACGCCTCACCTCGCGTCCACTGCTAAGACTTGCTGCCACACCGCGGCCATTCCCCGGCCTCCTCCTCTGGCGTGTCCGCCCGCGGCAGCCTGCAGGACAAGGGCCTGGAATGTGAGCGTCCCGAGCGAAGGGATCTAGTTCCGTCCCTTCCACCAGGCGACCATTGCCATAGACATCGAGTCCCTCCGCGCCGGAGATGTCACGAACTCCCCCCCGGGTGTTACCATGGTCATCACCCCAGCCCTGCCCTTCCTGGGCAGCGCCCGGGTGACACACAGCGATTCAGAACAGACACCGCCCCTCCCCAGTCGCCATAGCAACGCCCCTCCCCCGCCTAGCATTCCTTGCTTGACATTCTCCACCCATCTTGTCCCCGCCGCCCTCCGCCTTCCCTTCTCAGATCCAAGAGCATAGCCCGGGATCGGGGACCACCTCCGGGGCTGCCTCCGGTTCTTGAGGCCCCCCGGAGCGGCCCTGAGACCACTGTCGCCGGTTCCTTCTGTCTCTCCTCCCTTTCTCAGGCTCCAGGCAAGATGGCTGCCTGCTATCAGAAAGAACTGCCGAGCCCAGAGCGAATCGATAGGCATCCTTCCCAGGGCGTGGGAGTCTCGCAGGCGCATTGAGGGACATTGGCTTCAAGCCCAAGGACGGAGGCTCCACCCCTTGACTTCTACCCACTCGTTAATTGCACTTTTTGTGTATACAAGGATAATGTCCAAGGGACATAGCGTCAGGGGTGAGTTTGCTAATCATTCCCTAGAAATCAGAAGTACAACATTATAAAAAAGAGAAGAAACACGACTTTTAAAAAGTGGTGTAGGGCCGGGCGCGGTGGCTCACGCCTGTAATCCCAGCACTTAGGGAGGCCGAGGCAGGTGGATCACTTGAGGCCAGGAGTTCAAGACCAGCCTGGCCAACATGGTGAAACCCCGTCTCTACTAAAAATACAAAAATTAGCCGGGTATGGTGGCGGGCGCTTGTAGTCCCAGCTACTCGGGAGGTTGTGGCAGGAGGATTGCTTGAGCCCAGGACGCGGAGGTTGTAGTGAGCTGAGATCGCGCCACTGCACTCTAGCCTGGGCGACGGGAGTGAAACCCTGTCTCAAAAACAAAAACAAAAAAAGTGGTGTAGGCCACTTTTTAGCAGCACAATCTTGTCCAAGCAAAACTTGAATAATAGAATAAAAAATCATCATATATGCAAAGACGCCTTGAAAGTTCACCAGTTCTTGCAGTGGGCCTCTGCACACCCCTGGGATGAGTAAGGTCGGTTGTGTGTGTGTGACTGGGATGGTTGGACTTGGATGCCCCCAGACAGCTTGAGGCTTGAGTTTCTTTCTTTTTTTTTTTTTTTTTTCTTTTTGAGACGGGAGTCTCGCTCTGTCGCCCAGGCTGGAGTCCAGTGGCGCGATCTCGGCTCATTGCAAGCTCCGCCTCCTGGGTTCACGCCATTCTCCTGCCTCAGCCTCCCAAGTAGCTGGGACTACAGGCGTCCGACACCACGCCTGGCTAAATTTTTGTGTTTTTAGTAGAGAGGGGGTTTCACCGTGTTAACCAAGATGGTCTCAATCTCCTGACCTCATGATCCGCCCGCCTCGGCCTCCCAAAGTGCTGGGATTACAGGCGTGAGCCACCGAGCCCAGTCGAGGCTTGAGTTTCTAAAGACAGAAGATAGAATTAGGCAAAAGAAGCTTTGGGGTTTGGATCCAAAGAGGCTATCTGAATCATCTCTATTTCAACTTCCAGCAGGAAGCTGCTTTCAAACTGTTCATCTTAACGTTATCAGGGTAAACTTCCTGTTGGATCTTAACATCAACTGACATAAAATTCAAAGCTGTTATTTTCCACATTATTTTTATAACAAATACAATCAATTCAACAATGTTTTAAAGTCACCGAAAGATCACACTGTATTGTGTTGACTCAGCATCTCCCTTGTCCCTGTAACAAGCTTATCAGTGTCTTTTCATATTAAATACTCTTTTGTAACATGATTGATAAAGAGTAAACTCTATTTCACTGCACAAACATGTAACCTTAACAAGAACAACTAATATTTATGAGACAATGTGCTGGGTACTGTTCAAGGTATTTTATACATATATTAATCTATTTAATCTTTTTTTTTTTTTTGAGATGGGGTTTCACTCTGTCACCCAGGCTGGAGTGCAGTGACACGATCTTGGCTCACTGCAATCTCTGCCACCTGGGCTCAAGCAGTCCTCCTACCTCAGCCTCCCGGGAGCTGGGACCACAGACATTTGCCACCACGCCCGGATAATTTTTCTATTTTTGGTAGAGACGGGGTTTCACCATGTTGGCCAGGCTGGTCTCAAACTCCTGAGCTCAAGTGATTCGCCCGCCTCGGCCTCCCTAAGTGCTAGGATTACAGGCGTGAGCCACTGTACCCAGTCAATTTAATCATAATAACTGAAGGTTGTGGGTCCTGTTACTATCCCCATTTTACAGATGAGGATATCTGAAGCCCAGGGAATTCAAGGGTGACATTTTATTGAACTGGTTCCCTTACGTTTTTTTTTTTTTTTTTTTTTTTAAGACATGGTGTCAACTGGGCGTAGTGGCTTATGTCTGTAATCCCAGCACTTTGGAAGGCTGAGGCGGGAGGATCACTTGAGTCCAGGAAGTTGAGACCAGCCTGGGGAACAAAGTGAGACCCCATCTCTACCAAAAATTAGGCATGGTGGTACATCCCTGTAGTCCCAGCTACTCGGGAGGCTGAGGCAGAAGAATTGCTTGAGCCTGGGAGGTTAAGGCTGCAGTGAGCTGTGATCATGCCACTACACTCCAACCTGGGCAACAGAGCGAGACCCTGTCTCTTAAAAAAAAAAAAAGAGGTCGGATGTGGTGGCTCACACCTGTAATCCCAGCACTTTGGGAGGCTGAGGCGGGCAGATCACCTGAGGTTAGGAATTCGAGACCAGCCTGGGCAACATGGTGAAACTCTGTCTCTACTAAAAATACAAAAAATTAGCCGGGCATGGTGGCAGGAGCCTGTAATCCCAGCTACTTGGGAGACTGAGGCAAGGACAATCACTTGAACCCTGGAGGCGGAGGTTGCAGTGAGCTGAGATCGTGCCATTGCACTCCAGCCTGGGCAACAAGAGCGAAACTCCATCTCAAACATAAATTAATTAAAAAAGAGAGAGCGACATGGGGTCGGCTGGGCATGGTGGCTCGTACCTGTAATCCCAATACTTTGGGAGGCCAAGGCAAGAAGATCACTTGAGTCTAGGAGTTTGAGACCAGCCTGGGCAACACAGTGAGACTACATCTCTACAAAAATAAAATTAGCTGGGTGTGGTGGTGTGTGCTCATAGTCCCAGCTACTCAGGAGGGTGAGGTGGGAGGATTGCTTGAGCCTGGGAGGTCAAGGCTGCAGTGAGCCATGCCACTGCACTCTGGCTTGGATGTTAGAGTAAGACCCTGTTTTTTTTTTTTGTTTTTTTTTTTTGTTTTTTTTAAAAAGAGAGAGATATGGGGGTATCTTGATATGTTGCCCAGGCTGGTCTCGAACTCGTGGCCTTGAGGCATCCTTCCACCTCAGCCTCCCAAGGAGCTGAGATTTACAGGCATGAGCCACTGCACCCAGCCCTGAACTGGTCCCCTATTTGTGACTGGCATTGGGTTTATTTCCATGTTCTTTTTTCACCATAAAGAGTGTTGTGATAAATACCTTTCCCATTCACTTCCACCTTCTCTCAACAGAGCCCTGCCCCTTCATCCCACCACTCTGCTTCCAAAGAAATATGATGGAATGAAATAACAGAAGAGTCAGGAATTCGAGTCAGGGATACCTGGGAAATTCTGTTTCACCATTGGAATGAATTCTTTTATTGTTTTTCAATATTAACATATTAAATTTATAAAAATTATTTTTAAAACCTCTTCCTATAAGGCTATAAGATACTAGACAAAACAAGCTGATGAAAGGTTTGTTGGCTGGGCACTGTGGCTCACGCCTGTAATCCCACCACTTTGGGAGGCTGAGGAGGGTGGGTCACTTGAGGCCAGGAGTTAGAGACCAGCCTCGCCAACATGGGCACCTCTGCCTCCCAGCTCAAGCGATTCTCGTGCCTTAGCCTCCCAAGTAGCTGGGACTACAATCGTGCACTACCATGCCAGGCTAATTTTTGTGTTTTTAGTAGAGATGGGTTTCACCATATTGGCCAGGCTGGTCTCGAACTCCTGACCTCACGTGATTTGCCTGCCTTGGCCTCCCGAAGTGCTGGATTACAGGCATGAGCCACTCAGCTGGTTTTTCTTGATTAAACATTCCTCTGCTTGTTACAAGCTTTCGGTTAGTTTTCAAAGTTTGAGACCTGCCTGACAGCATGGTGAGACTCTATCTTTACAAAATAAAAAAAAATAACCAGGCATGATGGTGTACACCTGTAGTCCCAGCTATTCAAGAGGCTGAGGTGGGAGATCACTGGAGCCTGCGAAGTTGAGGCTGCAGTGAACCGTGATCACACCACTGCACTCCAGCCTGGGCAACGCAGTGAGACCCTGTCTCAAAAAAAAAACAAACAAACAAACAAAAAAAAAAAAACAAGAAATGCAAAGGAACGCAGTGGACCACATTGGCTGTGTCTGCTTTTCATTGCTACCACAGGCTGAAATAAAATCTCAAGTTGGGCCCCAACTTCAGAGGACAAAGTAAAAGTGTAGGTGGGAAAGTGTAGGTGGTTCAGGGTACAGGTGTGCTGAGAATCAAGGCCAGAGAGAGAAACGGGAGGAGCCATGGAGCTGAGGTGTAATTGGAGTGGAGACACGGAATCCTCATTCACTTATCTCATCCCTGAAGTTTCTTCCTAAATGGGGTGAGTGGGGGTTGGGATATGAGTTCATAACTTTCATCATTTCCTGATGGGAAAACATTTGCCTCTGAAGCCAAAGTTCTCACAACCCCCAAATGGGGGTTGGTGACAACTCTCTATGCCCTAAGTCAGAAATAAAATTTCTGCCTTTGGAAAAAGCCTCAAACGGAGCACTGTGCGGTCCCCAGCGTGCTGAACTAGCAAGCCAGCCTTCTGACAGATACTTCTTCAGTCCCTGGAGCTACGATTCTAACTGCCAAGATCAATAGTAAGAAAATAATAATGTAAGAAATTGGTAAACTTGTAAATGAAATAGTAGTTTGGCCGGGCATGGCGACTCATGCCTGTAATCCCAACACTTTGGGAGGCCATGCGGGTGGATCACTTGAGGCCAGGAGTTTGAGACCAGCCTGCTCAACATGGTGAAACCCCATCTCTACTAAAAGTAGAAAAATTAGCTGGGCATGGTGGTGGGTGCCTGTTATCCCAGCTACTGAGGAGGCTGAGGCAGGAGAATCGCTTGAACCTGGGAGGTGAAGGTTGAAGTGAGCCGAGATCACGCCACTGCACTCCAGCCTGGGCAACAGAGTGAGACTCTTCTTAAAAAAAAAAATAGTAGTTTGGTTATTGTTGCTGGGGGGCAGGTGTGAAAAATAAATTTGAACTGAAACCAGAATGCACAAAGCCTTGGACTGCTGAGCGTGAGGATAAGGCGGACGTTAAAGCCTGTCGGCCACGGATTCAGAGCCAGCGGAAATCACTTCACAGGGGTAGGACTAGGATCACTCTGGTCTTAAGATCTCAATTCAGCTTGCCCAGTGAGGCATTCAGGGCTAGATTGCAGATCTGGGAGTGTTTAGCCCTTGCATCTGATATCACAGTCCCAGGCAATTACAGCCCTTGATTCTCTTTCTTTCCTGCTAATATGTTGAACTACATCTCATGCTTTTCAAATGTCAAGCCACCCTTGCTGTCCTGGGATAGGTCCCACCTGGTTGTGGTGATAGCCTGCATTACTGAGTGCTGACTATACTGATCTTATATGTACTGTCACAAACCTAAGGAGGTAGGTATGACATTTAAGCCCCATTTTGAAGATAGGGAAAGTGAACTCTAGAGGGGTTTACTGCCCATGGCCACAGATGTAGACAATATTAGAACTAGTATTTGGACTCCAGTGGGAAGTCGAACTGTTTTGTTTTTTTTTGTTTGTTTGTTTTTTACTTTAAGTTCTGGGATACCTGTGCAGAACATGCAGGTTTGTTACATAGGTATACATGTGCCATGGTGGTTTGCTCCACCTATCCACGCATCATCTAGGTTTTAAGCCCCGCATGCGTTAGGTATTTGTCCTACTGCTCGAACTAGACTGTTTCTTATCCTGGACACCAGAAACCACCAACCACTGGTAACCAGCCAGCATTGTTGACAATAATGCCCCGTCCTTCTCCTAGCTCTGTGCACCCCCAGCACTAAGTCCCAGATCTAGTTCTGTTCCTGGTCTCTTCTGACCTCCAGGACTGCTCTATGCACCAAGGTCTGCAATGGCGTCCAGCTACCGTGAGGGGCTGATCTCCTCCTAGGCTTCCTCTCCAACCTCACCTCTTGGCACTCTTACTCCATCAGGTTATGTTCCAGCCACGCTGGCTTCCTGTCACATGCTTTGAAAACTGTACAAAGTGTTCCTGGTATCTGGAATGCTCTTTGCTATGACTCACTTCCCTGACACTTCTCATCCCATGGTCATGTCACTAATAACAAGCACTTTATTTATGCCAGGCACTCTTTGAAGCACTTTATTTATTTATTTATTCATTTTAATTTGTTATTTTTTTGAGACAGTCTCACTGTCATTCAGGCTGGAGTGCAATGGCGCAATCTCGGTTCACTGCAACCTCTGCCTCCCGAGTTCAAGCAGTTATCCTGCCTCGGCCTTCCGAGTAGCTGGGATTACAGGCATGCGCCACCATGCCTAGCTAATTTTTGTATTTTTAGTAGAGACGGGGTTTCTCCTTGTTAGCCAGGCTGGTCTCGAACTCCTGACCTCAAGTGATCCACCCGCCTCGGCCTCCCAAAGTGCTGGGATTACAGGTATGAGCCACTGTGCCCAGCCTGAAGCACTTTACATTAATAGAAAACCTTGTGTAATCCTTACAACAGCAGTCTTGTGAAGTAGATACTATTGCCATCTCATCTCACAGGTGAGGAAATGAAAACAAAGAGAGGAAGTGACCTGCCCAAGGTCACACAGCCAGTAAGCAATGGAACTGGATTTATATGTAGGCCACTTGGCTCCGAATCCCTGTTCTTAACCACAACACTAACACCAACTGTCAAGTTACTTTTTGTGAGCTCATCTAGTGTGGATTCCTAACAAGTACTTTGTCATCCCGCCCTCGCTTTGCTTGATCTGTCAGCAAACCCTGTGAGTTCCACCTTCAGAATATGCCAGAATCCGAGCTCTCCTCTCGGCGTCCACTGCCGCCACCACCATCACTGGTTTGGATGACTGCAGCAGCCTCCTCACCACTGCCGTCCTCGCCCCCTCTCCTCAATCTGTCCTCACGGCAGCCAGAATGATCCTGTTGCAACCCAAGTCAGCCCAGGGCCCTCCTCTGCTCAGAGCCCTGCCGTGGCTCTCATCTCTCTCAGAGAAAAAGCCAAAGTCCTCTCCGTGGCCCACGAGGCCCTCCGGGCCCTCCCTGACCTCACCACCCACCACTGGCCCCTGGCTCACTCTGCTCCTGCCCCGCTGGCTTTCTTGCTGTTCCCCACACACCAAGCAAGCTCCTGCCTCAGGGCCTTTGCACCTGTTTGCTTTTCCCTCTGCCTTTAATTCTCTTCCAGATGTCGAAGCAAGGTAAGGCTGACAGGTTTGGTTGGAAATGAAACAAGCCCTAGTTACATTCAGATGTTACTTACGTGGACCACGAAAGCAAGAACATCCACAGATTCTGGTTCATGTCCCTTGTGCCGGGCAACACCGAAATGAAAGGGGCGAGATGACCACACACCAGGTGGCAGGACACCTTGTTGCTGAGGAGCTAATTTCATGCTGCAGCTAAGCAGTTCTATAGCCCAGAGGTGAGGGGTAGAAAGCCTCAAACCCCACCAGAACCTCAGGAGGTGGGGAGAAAACTGTCTCACAACAGGCTCCTTGGTAGATAGGAGGTGAATGGTAAATGGCCTCGTGAGAATTCCCCACAGACCTTCCGTGCTCTGTGTTCCGAGGATTACAGGGCGTTCTGCCAAGACTTACATCAGCTTACCTACGTGGCCCATGTGGAGACGTGCAACGGAGCCAGAGCGCTATGGAGGAACCATTCCCACGAACTAGACCACTGGATATCCTCCTTGACTGCTCTCCCTCGAACATCGGGTCTCTGTTGAAAGGCACCTTTTCAGAGTCACCTTCCCTGACTGCCATGTGTAAACCATCACATCTCACTCTCCACCCCCACCCTGCTTTATTTCCCTTAATGCTTCCCACTCCCTAACATTACATTACACGGCAATGTTTTAGCTTATTGTAGGTGGACCCCACCAATGCATGATATAATGAAACTTCACAAAATCAAGTTTTAACAAATTTAAGAAGAATGAAATCATATCAAGAGCCTTTCTGACCACAATGGTATAAAAGTAGAAATCAATAAAAGGAGGAAAATCAGAACACTCACCAATATGTGGAAATTAAACAATACACTTCTGGCTGGGCACGGTGGCTCATGCCTGTTAATTCCAGCACTTTGGGAGGCCAAGACAGGAAGAGCTGTTTTTTTTTTTTTTTTTTTTGAGACGGAGTCTCACTCTGTCTGGAATGCAGTGGCACTCTCTCTGCTCACTGCAACCTCTGCCTGCCAGGTTCAAGCGATTCTCCTGCCTCAGCCTCCCAAGCAGCTGGGATTACAGGCGCCTGCCACCACGCCTGGCTAATTTTTTGTATTTTTAGTAGAGAGGGGTTTCACCATGCTGGCCAGGCTGGTCTCAAACTCCTGACCTCAAGTGATTTGCCCACCTCGGCCTCCCAAAGTGCTAGGATTACAGGCATGAGCCACTGCACCCCGCCAGGAAGATCTCTTGTGGCCAGGAATTCAACACCAGCCTTAGCAACATAGTGAGACCCTTGTCTCTACAAAAAATAAAAGAATTAGCTGGGCATGGTGGTGTGCGCCTGTAGTCTCAGCTACTTGGGAGGCTGAGGTGGGAGGATCCCTAGAGCTCAGGAGGTGGAGGTTGCAGTGAGCTGTGATCTTGCCACTGCACTCCAGCCTGGGTGACAGAGCAAGACCCTGTCCCAAAAAAAAAAAAAAAAAAAAAAGAAAAAAGAAATAAAGATCTCAAATAAACAACCTAACTTTATACCTCAAGGGACTAGAAAAATAATGAAGTCCAAAGTTAGCAGAAAGATGGAAATAACAAAATCAGGGCAAAAATAAATGAAATAGATGAAAAAAATATAAAAGATTAATGACACTAAGAGTTGGTTTTTTGAAAAGATGAACAAAGTAAATAAAATCAGAAACATTACAAGTGAAACGACAGAAAAACAAAGGACCTGCCAGGCACAGTGGCTAACGCCTGTAATCCCAGCACTTTGAGAGGCTGAGGTGGGAAGATCACTTGAGGTCAGGAGTTCGAGACCAGCCTGGCCAACACGGCGAAACTCCATCTCTACTAAAAATACAAAACCTAGCCAGGCATGGTGATGTGTGTCTGTAATCCCAGCTATCCAGGAGGCTGAGGCGGGAAGGATCACTTAAGCCTGGGAGGTTGAAGCTACAGTGAGCCGTGATTGTGCCACTGCACTCCAGCCTGGGCGACAGAGTGAGACCCTATCTCAAATAATAATAATAAGCCTACTAAACACTACTATGAACAGTTGTTACACAAATTGGATAACCTAGAAACAATGGACACATTCCTAGAAATATACACTCTACCAAGACCGAATCAGGAATAGAAAATCTGAACAGACTGATAACAAGTAAGGAGATTGAATCATTCATCAAAAATCTCCCAACAGGACGGGCACGGTGGCTCACGCCTGTAATCCCAGCACTTTGGGGGGCCAAAGTGGGCAGATCACCTGAGGTTAGGAGTTGAAGACCAGCCTGGTCAACATGGTGAAACCCCGTCTCTACTAAAAATACAAAAATTAACCGGGCATGGTGGTGGGTGCCTGTAATCTCAGCTACTCAGGAGGCTTAGGCAAGAAAATTGCTTGGTCGTGGGAGGTGGAGGTTGCAGTGAGAGCCGAGATCAAACCACTCCAGCCTAGGCGGCAGAGTGAGACTCCGTCTCAAAAAAGGAAAAAAAAAATTGAAGAAGAGGGAACACTTCCAAACTCATTTTATGAGAACAGAATTACCCTGATGCCAAAGTCAGATAAATGGTAGTGGGGGTGGGAGGAGGTGGGGATGGTTAATGGGTACAAAAAATAGAAAGAATGAATAAGATCTAGTCTTTGACAGGACAATAGGGTGACTATATCCAATAAAAATTTAATTATACATTTAAAAATAAATAAAATAAGCTGGGCGCGGTGGCTCACGCCTGTAATCCCAGCACTTTGGGAGTCCGAGGTGGGCAGATCACCTGAGGTCAGGAGTTCGAGACCAGCCTGACCAATATGGAGCACCCCCATCTTTACTAAAAATACAAAATTAGCCGGGTGTGGTGGTGCATGCCTGTAATCCCAGCTACTCGGGAGGCTGAGGCAGGAGGATTGCTTGAACCTGGGAGGCAGAGGTTGTGGTGAGCCGAGATCGCGCCATTGCACTCCATCCTGGGCAACAAGAGTGTAACAGTCTCAAAAAAAAAAAAAATAGCTGGGCATGGTGGTGTGTGCTCATAGTCCTAGCTGCTGGGGAGGCTGAGGTGGGAGGACTGCTTGAGCCCAGGAGTTCGAGACTGTAGTGAGCTGTGATTGTGTTACTGGACTCCAGCCTGGGCAACAGAGCAAGACCCTCTTTAAACACACACACACGCATGCACACACACACACACACACACACACCCAGTGGAACAGGATCAAGGGCCCAGAAAATAGGGAGTCTCTCTGAGCCTACTCTGGCTTGGGAGGCTGCCTGATAAAAACAAAAAACAAAAACCAACCCCCAAAACCCAAGAGAGCCCAGAAATAAACCCACACATACAATATAAACTAATCTTATCCCCCGCCACCCAAGACGGAGTCTTGCTCTGTTGCCCAAGCTGGAGTGCAGAGGTGCGATCTCGGCTCACTGCAACCTCTGCCTCCTGGGTTCAAGCGATTCTCCTGCCTCGGCCTCCCAAGTAGCTGGGATTACAGGCATGTGTCACCATGCCCGGCTATTTTTTTTTTTTTTTTGTATTTTTAGTAGAGACAGGGTTTCACCATGTTGGCCAGGCTGATCTCAAACTCCTGACCTCGTGATCCGCCTGCCTTGGCCTCCCAAAGTGCTGGGATTACAGAGGGGAGCCACCGCGCCCAGCTAGTATCAACTAATCTTTGACAGAAGTGCTATGAATACACAATGGAGGAAAGACAGTCTTCAATAAATGGTGCTGGGAAAAATGATGGACCCTTATCTTACACCATACACAAAAACTAAAAATGGATTAAAGACTTAAACATAAGATCTGAAGCCATAAAAGTCCTAGAAGGAAACCAAGGGGGAAAACTCCTCGACATTGGTCTTATCGATGATTCTTTGGACATGAAACCAAAAGCACAGACAACAAAAGCAAAAATAAACAGCCAGGTGTGGTGGCTCGCGCCTGTAATCCCAGCACTTTGGGAGGCCGAGGTGGGTGGATTGCCTGAGCTCAGGAGTTCGAGACCAGCCTGGCTGACATGGTGAAACTCCATCTATACTAAAAATACAAAAATTAGCCGGGCGTGGTGGTGCACACCTGTAGTTCCAGCTACTCAGGAGGCTGAGGCAGGAGAATCGCTTGAACCTGGGAGGCGGAGGTTGAGCCCGAGATCGTGCCACTGCACTCTAGCCTGGGCAAGACTCTGTGTTAAAAAAATAAGCAAGTGGGACTACATCAAACTAAAAAATTTCTGCACAGCAAAGGAAAAACAATCTACAAAATGAAAAGGCAACCTATGGAATGGAAGAAAATATTTTCAAACCATTTATCTTATAAGGGATTAATATCCAAAATATATAAGGAACTCATATAACTCAATAGCAAAACCCCAAATAAACTGATTTTAAAATAGCCAAAGTACCTGAAAAGACATTTCTCCAAAGAAAACATACAAATGGCCACCAGGTATACAAAAAGGGGCTCAACATCACTAATCATCAGGGAAATGCAAATCAAAACCACAATGAGATATCAACTCATACCTATTAGGATGGTCACTATAAAAATGAGGAAAGGACCAGACATGGTGGCTCATGCCTGTAGTCCCAGCACTTCGGGAGGCCGAGGCAGGTGGATTGCCTGAGCTCAGGAGTTCGAGACCAGCCTGGCTGACGTGGCAAAACCCCATCTCTACTTAAGGTACAAAAATTAGCTGGGTGTGGTGGTGGGCACCTGTAACACCAACTACTCGGGAGGCTGAGGCAGGAGAATCGCTTGAACCCAGGAGGCGGAGGTTGTAGTGAGCTGAGATTGCACCATTGCACTCCAGCCTGGGTGAGAGAGTGAGATTCCATGTCAAAAAAAAAAAAAAAAATAGGAAAGATAACAAGTGCTGAAGGGAACTCCTATACACTATTGTAGGAATGTAAATTAGTACAGCTAGTAGGGAAAATTGTGTGGAGGTTCCACAAAACATTAAAAATAAACTACCAAGTCCGGGCATGGTGGCTTATGCCTGTAATCCCAGCACTTTGGGAGGCCGAGGCGGGTGGATCATGAGGTCAGGAGATGGAGACCATCCTGGCTAACATGGTGAAACCCCGTCTCTACTATACAAAACATTAACCGGGCATGGTGGTGGGCGCCTGTAGTCCCAGCTACTCGGGAGGCTAAGGCAGGAGAATGGCGTGAACCCGGGAGGCAGAGCTTGCAGTGAGCCAAGATCGCACCACTGGACTCCAGCCTGGGCGACAGAACAAGACTCTGTCTAAAAAAATAATAATAATAAAAAAAAATAAACTACCATAGCATCCAGCAATCCTACTTCCAGGTATATATCCAAAAGTTATGAAATTACTATCTCAGAGATATATGCACTTCCATGTTCATTGTAGCATTACTCACAATAGCCAAAACGTGGAAACA
This sequence comes from Homo sapiens, assembly GCF_000001405.40. Lineage (NCBI taxonomy): Eukaryota > Metazoa > Chordata > Mammalia > Primates > Hominidae > Homo > Homo sapiens. Next base: position 48,584,983 of record NC_000023.11, on the reverse strand, counting down.
ACCCAAATGTCCATGGCAGATGAGTGGATAAAGTAAATGATGTGTATATGTACAGTGGAATATTATTCAGCCTTAAAAAAGGAAATTCTGCCATTTGCAACATGGATGGAGGACATTATGCTAAGTGAAATAAGCCACTCGTAGAAAGACAAGTACTGCATGATCTCACTTGTATCTGCAGCCTAAAAAAAGTCAAACTCATAGAAATGGAGTACAATGGTGGTTACTAAGGGCTGGGGGAATTTTTGGTCAATGGGTACAAGCTTTCAGTTATAACATGAGTAAGTTCTGGAGATCCAATGTACAGCATGGTGACTATAGTTAATAACACTGTGGTGTATACTTGAAATTGTCTAAGTAGATGATTAAGTGTTCTCATTTCACTCACAATAAAGGTAACTAAGGTGATAGATGTGTTAATTTGCTTTATTGTAGTGATCATTTTAAATGTGTATATTTATCAAACACCCTGTTATACATCTTTTTTTTTTTTTTTTGAGATGGAGTCTTACTTTGTTGCCCAGGCTGGAGTGCAGTGGCACGATCTCGGCTCAGTGCAACCTGCACCTCCTGGCTTCATGGAATTTCTCCTGCCTCAGCCTCCCGCGTAGCTGGGATTACAGGCATGCGCCACCATACCTGGCTAATTTTTGTATTTTTAGTAGAGATGGGGTTTCACCTTGTTGGCCAGGCTGGTCTCGAACTCCTGACCTCAAGTGATCCACCCACCTCGGCCTCCCAAAGTGCTGGGATTACAGGCGTGAGCCACTGCACCTGGCCTATACATCTTAAATATACTTTTTTTTTTTTTGGTTAACCACACCTCAAAAGAGCTGGGCAAAAAATTAATGTGAAAAGTTTCCATCAAAAAAGGACTAATAATCCAGAAAAGATTTGCTAAATAAGACTGGGCATGGTGGCTCACACCTGTAATCCTAGCACTTTTGGAGGCCAAGGTAGGAGGATTGCTTGAGTCCAGAAGTTTGAGACCATCCTGGACAACATAAATATAGTGAGACCCTGTCTCTACAAAAACCAAAAAAGATTATTGGGCATGGGTGATGCATCCCTGTAATTCCAGCTACTCTGGAGGCTGAGGTGGGGGGATTGCTTAAGCCTGGGAGGTCGAGGCTAGAGTGAGCTGTGATCATGCCACTGCATTCCAGCCTGGATGACAGAGCAAGATGTCATCTCAAAAAAAAAAAAAAAGTAAAAGAAAAGATTTGCTAAACAAGCTTATAGTAGGGGCATTAATTGATCTTATAGTGTGAATATTGACAGTGTGAATATAGGGTGAATATTACGCGGTTTTGTTTTGTTTTGTTTTGTTTTTTTATTGAGACAGGGTCTCGCTGTTACCCAGGCCAAAATGCCACTCACCGCAGCCTAGACCTTCCAGGCTCAAGCAGTCCTCCCACCTCAGCCTCCCAAGTAGCTAGGACCACAGGCGTGCACCATCACACCCGGCTAATTTTTATTTTGGTTTAACAGGGGCAGGGGGCAGGTGGCGGGTGCGCCTCACTGTGTTGCCCGGGTTGGTTTGGAACTTCTGGGTTCAAGCGTTCCTCCTGCCTCAGCCTCCTAAAGTGGTGGAATTACAGGTGTGAGCCACCGCACCCAGCCCAGATGTACTTACATTTAAAAAATATAGACATTTGTTCTGAATGTGATCACCTGTAACAGAAACATGTCCTTTGGGGCCACTGCTATGAGAAGGTGGGCAGGGACACTGCAGAAGTCAGACGACAGATAGGGAAACAAGAGGGCCCTTTTAAGGCTCCCACTGTAGAGACTATGGTGTTGTACATGGGAGCGACGCTGTCTGAACAAGATCAGGGTGAGGATCATAGAACGAGACAGGAAGCAGCCATCCTGGTTCACCCACAATTAACACCAAAGATGTTAAAAGGTTAAATTCACAGTAAATCATTTCTCCTGAAATAGAGGAAGATTCTGTCTTTATGTTGTTGTGCTTGTTTTTAAATCATCAATATAGTTTAACACATTCTAAGCAGTTTTGTGTGGGATAATTTGAAGGACATGGGTAAACTCTAAAAAATCTTTTCATGTTATCTATGATAACTAGCAAGGAAAATAGCTGGATGATGAGTAGGTGAACTTGCTTTCTCAAGTAGGCACATTCCCTAAGTAAAGGTTTTTGTATGAGTTAAGCCTCATGGTAGATAAACTTGGATAGCAACATATAAACTGATGTTAAGTTGCAAATTCTTCATGTTTCATGCACTGTGCACTTTGGATACCATGGAGTCCAAGCCAGCACACAAGGCAACCAAGTCCCATAAACCGGATGATTTCAATGCAGGCTGACACTGAACTCCCCCGTCTAGGACTCCACTTTCTCCTTTACCAAATGGTTTTCCTTTTTTTTTTGAGACAGAGTCTCACTCTGTCACCCAGGCTGGAATGCAATGGCGCAATCTCGGCTCACTGCAACCTCTGCCTCCCTGGTTCAAGCAACTCTCCCACCTCAGCCTCCCGAGTAGCTGGGATTACAGGTGCCTGCAATTAGGCCTGGCTAATTTGTGTACTTTTGTAGAGATGGGGTTTCACCATGTTGCCCAGGCTGGTCTTGAACTCCTGACCTCAGGTGATCCACCTGCCTGGGACTCCCAAAGTGCTGGGATTACAGGCGTGAGCCACCGCACCGGGCCCCAAATGATTTTTTGAGTAGCGCATGCCCAATTACCTTTTACAAGACAGACTCACATGCTGATTTTCCAGCCTTCAGCAAGAGTGTGGAGACAAAAGTTACTCCATCTTGGATGCCAATCCACCACGTTTACTTCTGACTAGCGCCAGTCCTGTAAATGCCTGATTCCTCCTTTGCCATCCCTAGTTTAAGAGCTTGTCAGGGGCCGGGCGCGGTGGCTCACGCCTGTAATCCCAGCACTTTGCGAGGCCGAGGCGGGTGGATCACGAGGCCAGGAGATCGAGACCATCCTGGCTAACACGGTGAAACCTCCTCTCTACTAAAAAATACAAAAAAATAGCCGGGCGTAGTGGCGGGCTCCTGTAGTCCCAGCTACTCCGGAGGCTGAGGCAGGAGAATGGCATGAACCCGGGAGGCGGAGCTTGCAGTGAGCCCAGATCGCGCCACAGTACTCCAGCCTGGGCCACAGAAAGCCCAGATCGCGCCACAGCCAGGGCCACAGAGCGAGACTCCGTTTCAAAAAAAAAAAAAAAAAAAAGAGCTTGTCAACTTTTACATTATCGCACAAATTAGATGATGATGCATAGAGTATTATGCCTGTTCTGGAGTTGCCTTCATCTTGAGCACACTCTTTCCCTATGGTATGTAAGCCGTGGGTTGAAGAGCAACAGCATGGTTATCTTGCTGCCACCCAAGGCCATGCTTATTTTTGAGACAGTTGTGCTCTGTCGCTCAGGCTGGAGTGCAGTGGCACGATCTGGGCTCACTGCAATCTCCACCTCCCGGGTTCAAGCCATTCTTGTGCCTCAGCCTCCCAAGAAGCTGGGATTACTTGGTGTGCGCCACTACACTCGATTAATTTTTGTATTTAGTAGAGACGGGGTTTCATCATGTTGGCCAGGCTGGTCTCAAACTCCTGACATCAGGTGATCCACCCACCTCGGCTTCCCAAAGTGTTGGGATGACAGGTGTGAGCCACTGCGCCCGTCCCCACGTCATGCTTCTAAGTCCCCCCAGTAAAGAACCCTTTACTAACAATTTTTGTCTGCCTTGTTTCTTGGCTCCTTCGGCATTTGGAGGTTTGCATACAAGGCTCTTTCATGGGAACAATGAGTAAATGGATATATGCATTAAAAAAACGAATATACTCTTTCACAGCATATTAGAAATGTTTATTAAGAATAATGGCATGAACTGCTTTTAACAATTTAGAAAAGACCCATTCCCCCCGCCCCCCCCCGCCCCCAGATCCAGGGCACTTCCTCTAAGTAAATACAAATATTTCTGTAGTGAACTGTATGCATATTCCCACTGAGTAAAGGTTATAAGAAGCCTCAGGTCAGGTCTTACCACCAAACTTGAAAACACTTGGAATGCAGCTGGGCAGGGACTTGAGCAGGTTTTGTCTTGATAAGCAGGTAAGAATGGCAGAACACTGGCTTATTGTCAACCAATGTTTTTTTATATACCTGAAGTATTCACAGCAACTTATTTTAAGAAGCTTTTTAAAAGTTCTACACCTCCACCCCCACAACTCCCCAATCCAGAACATGGAACAAGGGTGTGGAGCTGTTTGATGGACTTGGTCTGTTCTTAACATTTAATACTCTTAACTCCTAGGCCAGGTGTGGTGGCTCACGCCTGTAATCCCAGCACTTTGGGAGGCCGAGGCGGGTGGATCACTTGAGGTCAGGAGTTCAGGACCAGCCTGCCCAACACGGTGAAACCCTGTCTCTATTAATACAAAAATTAGCCGGGCGTGGTGGCAGGCACCTGTAATCCCAGCTACTTGGGAGGCTGAGGCATGAGAACTGCTTGAACCTGGGAGGCGGAGGGTACAGTGAGCCGAGATTGTGCCACTGCACTCCAGCCTGGGAGACAGAGTGAGACCCTGTCTGGAAAAAAACCAACAAAAAAACACTCCTAACCCCTGTGTGAGGTGGGTATTATTATTTCCATTTTATGGATGTTATAACTGAGGCAGAGAAGAAATTAAACTAGGAAGCAAGGATCTGAAGTGATTTCTGCCTAGGTGGGATAGGAGGGGTTGGGCTTAGGACTTGAAAGCCTAATTGAAAACCAAAAGCCAATCTCTTAATTTATTCTGGCCCTTGACAAGAGATTTGGTGAATGGTTCAGAAAGATTTTTGGTACAGACAAGTTCCAGGGCTTGAAAGTGAAAAGTAGTTACAGGCCATGTGTTTGGTCTTTGCAGGTCTTGGGATACATGTTCTCAAGGTACCTTGAGTGTTTGGGGGGTTTCTAGCCTCAGTGGGTTCTTGACAAATGTGCATCAGTTGGATGCTGAAGACAAACCAAAGTAGGAGACCAACAAGCACTTTAAGGGTGGTCGGGGGTTGACCTCAAATCTGGAACTTTATTCATCACAGACTATGGCACTATAGAGAACTGTGGGCTCTCTTCCTTAGAGCAGATAGACAGCCAGAGACTGGGACTCCCTGGGCTGGATGATCACAAAGCACATTGTAAACACAGCAGAGCAGAGCAGGTTTAGAGTTGTTATACAAATAAATTTTGGTCTTCATTGATTCCACTTAGGAACATTTTGTTGCAGGAATATTACTGATTATGGATCCTACCTCAGCTGACACTGGGGGTGAGAGGTACATTGCCATCCTGAGAGACAGGGAGCAGAGGACCCCCTCCAATCCCCCGACCTACAAGGCATTCACAGCAGTCCTCCTGCCAATTCTCACTGCCTTAGCTCCCTAAAGGCCCAGAATAAGATGCGTCCTCAGACCAAGTATCCACCTGGTGGGGTTAGCCACAATGCCCCATAGCCTGGGCCTGGCTTAGTGGGTGAGGTGGAAGTTCCCAAGTCTCCATCCACCTGCCAAAGCAAATTCATGACTGTTTGGGTTACAGGAAGAAGGGATATTGGGGCCTGTCCCAACTAGCTGGGAAACTCAGGAGGCAGGCCTCCAGGACTGGAACTAATAATACAGGGTTCCACAACGCACCAGCAAGGGAATAGGCAGCTCAGGACAATAATGTCCTGGAGTTTGCAACCTGGTGGTAACTTAGCTCAGTATTAGCCAGGTGAAAGCCATGAATACAACAGATTTTTCTGTTCCAAACTAGAACCAATGGAGGGATAACACCCATGGGGCCTCAATACAGCCACTAGAAAGAACCATGACTAAAGGGAGCAGAACTGAGGAACTAAGACCAGCTAGAATTACAAAATTACCACTTTACCACCCAAGACACACACACACCAAAAAAGATCAAATCCCCGTGACTGAGAGCTTTGCCAACTCTTCTCAGTGGCTTTATATGCCAATTAACCTAACCCTCCACAGAAAATGTAAAATGGCATAAGGCTGAAATTAAATGACTCACCTGAGGTCAAATACCTGGGAAGTAGAAGAGCCCCTACATAAATCCTGGAATCTGAGCTCTTAGCATTGTTTTCAAACCAGGCCTCTCTCATGGCCCTCATACACAAAGATGAGTTCAGTGCATCTCTGCCCAACCCCCATCATTTCAGGGGAAGGAATGAACTGGTACCACTATTTATGATAGGGATTAGCTCACGCCATGAGATTAGGTGCTTATGTTCTCAGAACAATGGGACTAAGATAAGAGACCAGTTAAGGAAACCCAATTCCAGCAGGCCTCAGGCCTCAATGTACACCTAACCCTCTGGCAGTCCCTGCCCACCCACCAACCAAATATTCTCCAAGCCTCCCTCTCGTTGATGTGCCATTTTTTTTTTTTTGAGACAGAGTCTTGCTGTCACCTAGGCTGGAGTGCAGTGGCACAATCTCAGCTCACTGCAACTTCCGCCTCCTGGGTTCAAGCAATTCTCCTGCCTCAGCCTCCCGAGTAGCTGGGATTACATGCACCCGCCACCACGCCCCGCTAACTTTTGTATTTTTAGTAGAGATGGGGTTTTGCCCTGTTGGCCAGGCTGGTCTCGAACTCCTGACCTCAGGTGATCCGCCCACCTCTGCCCCCACTTTTAATTTGCAAAATGGGCTGAGTAAGAATAAAGCAGTTTGTTCTCAGGTTTCATCTTTTTAATAAGCTCTGTGAAAGACATCCTAAGCACTGTATGAGACACAACAGAATATTTTTTCTTCCAGTATTAAAAAAAAAAAGACATTTGCAAACATTTTAAAGCCAACTCTTCTATATAATCAGTTTGATGATCTGAATTAGAAAATACCGCTGGATAATCATGTTCTTGATACACATTTCCTTTTTTTTTGAGATGGAGTCTCGCTGTTGCCCAGGCTGGAGTACAGTGGCGCGATCTTAGCTCACTGCAACCTCCGCCTCCCGGGTTCAAGCGATTCTCCTGCCTCAGCCTCCCAAGTCACTGGGATTACAGGCGTACACCACCATGCCAGGCTAATTTTTTTATGTTTAGTACAGATGGGGTTTCACCATGTTGGTCAGGCTGGCTTGATGCACATTTCTTATAGGTACATTGGGAAATTGCTTCCTAACCACAATAAACACTGTGTACAGGTTTTTAAAATGTCCCTGGATACACATTAATTTTTTGAAGTCAGTCTGGCCAAACTTGCCAGAACCAATTATTGCTAGCTCCAATAAACCTAAGAGCTCAAACTAAAAAACTGGTAAAAAGAAAAATACTCAGGTTCTACAAACGTCCCATAATTTGTCTTTAAATAGGCAGAAAAAATTTAAAAAAAAAGATGGAACTGTCTAAAAGGTCTTCAGCTACCTTGGCAGGTCAATTTAAAAACAAAAGGTTGATATACTATAAAATAAGATGCTTCGGTGCAGCTCCAAAAACCTTTATAAATACAGCCATTTGGAAGGACGATCCTGGATCAGAAATTATTCCTTGTGTATCTGGGAACAGCAAGAGGGGGAGAATTGTGATGTCATGAAGTAACAGCTGACAACATGCTCACCTCCTAGAGCTGATGAAGATGCTGAGGGTTGGACAACAGGGACACACCTTCATTTCCTCCATCCCACACAAGAGTAGAAGATTATAGGAGATGGGTTTTCAGATCCCACCCCCTAGCAAACTTGCTCTGATATGCACCTGAGAGCAAGGAAGGCCTAGCTAGGAATGTTTGGTAGGTTGGCTGGGTGAGGTATGAGGGCAGCAGAAATGCAGAGCAGTCTTGCCAGAAAAGGTGAGAGGGTCATGACAGAGTGTGACAAACAGGTTCACTCAATGCCGATATCCAAGTCTCACCTATATTATGTGCATGTCTCATTTCAGTTGTCATAATTGTCTCTGTAATTTCCTCCTGAGTAGCGGTCATAACCACCCTGGTTTCTGGGGGGGAAAAAAAACACACAAAAGTTTTCTGGTACTGCATTATATATACCACTGTAATTATATGCGTCACATTTTACAGTATGGGTCATAACATAAACCTTACGTATCAAAAACAGGATATGTTAAGCATATGAGTATCACAGTAAACAGTTTTATGGCATACGATTTATACGCAGTATATTAAATCATATTACATGTTAAAGCAATATAGTTATATAACCCACACAGCACAACATATATAGTATACTTTACCATGTCGCAACTATATGACTACACAATTAACTTAAAATGCTAAATTTCATACTCATTTTAGGTACACATTAGTAACAGCAAGGTGTGGTATGCATGAACACCCAGGCGCTGAGTTCTTAAGGAGAGGGAAGCAATAGGAGAACATCCCAGCCCTTTGGCTACCCACCTGCCATTATAGTCTCTGGAACGTCCATATCCATATCCATACCCTCCAGGTCGACTGTCATAATACCTGCCACTCCCATAGCCCTGGTCCCCACCACCTAGAGCAGAAAAATATTTAAATGGCAGTTGTCCACACATAGGCAACTCTCCCTCTCACCCCATGATCAAAACGATCACTGCACTCACCTCTAGAGTAGCTGCGACCACGCCCATGGGCCCCAAAGCCACCTCCTCTGGTTCCCCGAGCAGACTTGCCTGCATGATCCACACGGATCTGACGACCATCCAGAGACTAAGTGTGGGAGACACAAGGATGATGGGTTGGCAGTCAGTCAGGGCAATGGTGAGGGAAGAGCAGGCAAGGGTAAGTGGGCAAAAGAGGCCAAAAATTCCTGCTGGGCACCAGGTTCTGGGTGCCATGTTCCAGAATAAGCTCCTTTACCCCAGAATGGCTTCATCAGGAGCTATAGAATCCCACACAAAATGACCTGAATGCACCATGTTCCCCTTGCTACTACTTACATCTTGACTGAACTCAGGCTGAGTTCTCCTCCCCACTCCTCTAAGCTGCCCGACTATCAGGGCTAGACAGACACCTCTCTTGGTTTGAGGCTTCAGAGTCCATGTCAGAAGACTCACGAGGTCCTCTCCGGGCCAGGCCCACAGGTCTGCAGACTCTACTACCTAAGCCCAAGGCAGGTCAACCATCCACAGGTGGCTTCTCGGCCTCATGCAGGACCAGTCGTCGCCTCCCAGGCGGCCAGGCTCTGTCTGCCGCTGCCCTCCACCCCCTAGAACAAAAGGCAGTCATGCTCCTGTGAGTGGGCACTGCGGGGCTTGGTGGCCACGCTGCCCCGAGCAGACACAGAGGGAAAAACAAAAAGAATGAAGGAAGCCGCAGATGGGGACAAGGTCCCTCTGCAGATAGGAGGCCCCACCTCTCCGTTCATGGCTCTCATGGCAACTGAAGCATGCTCTGGGTTGGTGAAGGTGATGAAACCAAAACCCCTGGACCGCTGAGTCTCCCGGTCCTTGACAACGACCACTGTGAGAGGGAGAGAAGATGGAGCAATGTGGACCAGTCAGTACCCCAAAGGTTAAGTAGCAAAGGGTGGCCGGAAAAGGAGATGGCATAGGTAGGGAAAACGGAGCGCTCCCACTAATCCCAAAGACGCTTCCCCTCATCCTTAGTCTACACCATAGGCTTAGGAAGAAAAAGAATTTGGAGGCGTGGGTCCTAACTTTTCAGTTAATACTCCTTGAAATGCAAGGATCCCAGACTTTCTCTCACCAACCCCCATTGTGAGTATGGCCCGTCTCACCCTCAGAGATAGGTCCGAAACTGCTGAAGTGGTCTTCCAGTGCCTGCTCGTCGGTGTTAAAGTTGAGCCCTCCCACGAAGAGCTTTCCTTCTTCAGAGGACATGGCAGTTCAAGTCCTGTGGGAAGAACATGAAGAATGGTGGCAGGAAGGAGAAAGAAAATGGAGATGTGAGAAAATAGCGAGACGGAAAGCAGAGAAAAAGCACAGAAAATAGACAAGAAAGAGGAACAAAATATGGGTAACTACAGAAAAGCTGAGAAAGGCGGCCAATAAGGTGGTAATCTGAGGAGCTGGCTCAGCGCAGCCACCATTAGGGGGCCACATTGCGCATGCTCTCACATTCATAGCCGCCACGCCCGTCATTTTGTGCCACTGCGCAAGCCCAGAACATCCCTGCGTTCCCTTAACGCCGGCAGAACAAGATGGCGGCGGCCACGTGGGATAAGGAAAGTAAGTGTCGGCTGTCGCGTGGTCACTGCCACCACCGACGCCACCAGTCCCTCCCGGTAGGCCTCACACTCAGATACAGCGCGCCGGCCTCCCACCAACCGAAATGTTTCACCTCCAAGCACGGGACCCGCCCGTCCCAGAGAAAGCCAAGCCTACGTGTCAGTGGCCATTACTCTCCCCACTCGCTATTCCCCGGTCACGGCCGGCGCGGCGCGTGTGTGGCGAGGAGCCGCCGTTTCGCAGGACATATGCAACTTACCTGGAAATTAAAACGTAAAAAACCCGGACGAACAGCGAGCTCGGAGGAGCACAAAAAACAGGGACGGGGCTGCGCCGGAAGACGATTGATAAAGAGTACGTAGCGAGAACGTCCCGGAACGTTCCCCTTGCGCGTCCCGGCGTGCGTGCTGATTGGCTGAGGCCAGCAGGAGCGGAGTGGTGGGGAGAGGAAGGGACAGCAAAGCGAAGGGAGCAGTGTTCTCCGCGAAATGGGGTGTTTCCGGAAATGGGGTGTTTCCGGAAATGGGGTCGACTTTTGAACAGCTGGTGCACCCTAAACGTCAGCATCCCCCCCACAACCGGCTGAGCTGCCTTTATCCCTTCCACAAAGGAACCTTCTCAATCTCATACTACTTGCTGTCCCTGACATCATCCTCCCGTCCTTGCCATCATTTCCCCCGCTGGATCGGATGTCTTCCTCACCATCGTAGTCGTCTTCCTCTAGGTCCCTGCCATTCTCTGATGTTAACCTCCTTCACCTTCTAGTTCTTTAACCTCATACCCTTTAAAGGCCTGACATTTTATCCCCCACCGTCACTGATGTCATCACCCTTCACAGTCCATGATGTCAGACCCAACGTTTTAAGGTTTGACCCTGACTCCTACTCTTTCTCCTCTGTGCTCAACATCTAGCCGCCTGTCATGGGACCCTTTTCCCTGGCGTCATTCCATCTCATCTCTGACTTCAGCCCTCACCCTTGTCTGACTGCTGGCGTGAAGCCAGCCCCTTAATTTTCTCACCAATAGACTGCCTGAGATGGCTTTTACAAAACAGGATGCTGGCCGGGCGCGGTGGCTCACGCCTGTATTCCCAGCACTTTGGGAGGCCAAAGCGGGCGGTTCACGAGTTCAGGAGTTCGAGACCTGCATGGCCAACATGGTGAAACCCCATCTCTACTAAAAATACAAAAAAAAAAAAAAAAAAAAAAAAAGAAAAAAAAAATTAGCTGGGTGTGGTGGCACGTGCCTGTAGTCCCACCTACTCGGGAGGCTGAGGCTGGAAAATCGCTTGAACCCGGGAGGCGGAGGTTGCAGTGAGCCGAGACCACGCCATTGCACTCCAGCCTGGGTGAAAACAAAACAAAACAAAAGAGGATGCTACGATCTTCAGAGGTTGTAAATCCCAATCCATAGAGCAATTTTTGCTCTCTTCGAAAGTAACTGAGCCCTTGCCGGGCGCAGTGGCTCATGCCTGTAATCCCAGCACTTTGGGAGGCCGAAGTGGGCAGATCACAAGGTCAGGAGTTCAAGACTACCCTGGCCAATATGGTGAAACCCTGTCTCTACTAACAATACAAAAAAAAAAAAAAATTAGCCGGGCGTGGTGGTAGGCACCTGTAGTCCCAGCTACTCAGGAGGCTGAGGCGGGATAATCGCTTGAACCCGGGAGGTGGAGGTTGCAGTGAGCTGAGATCATGCCACTGCACTCCAGCTTGGGCGACAGAGCAAGACTCAGTCTCAAAAAAAAAAAAAAAGTAACTGAGCCCTTGATTCACAGAAGGGACTTTCGCAATACACAATAGACTTATCCCAATCAAGTAGTGTCTGAGCCCACTGTTCACAATTTAGTCTTCAGTGTCTTGGCCACCTTTACAATAAATGGATTTGACAGATTTTTCACTTCTGAGCGCCACATCAACGAAGAATAAGTTAGTTTGCCCTCAGAGGCTAAATTTCTTATCCATAGAATGAATTTGCCCAACACAGACCAAATTTGCTAACATACAGAATACAGTACATCCATATTCCTGTTGGGGTAATTCCCATATTTATCTTCCTGTTATTGTCAGGGATTCCTCACATAGTCTAATTATTAATCCCTTAGGTGTTGGAAATAGCCTCTCCAGCTCTGGCATTTGTGTTATTAACTTTGTAAGCAGTAAACTTAGTTGAATAAAGATCCATAATTTTGATATAATCATTTTTCCCCCTATGTTCTGTGCTTTTTTCTGAGACGGAGTCTCACTCTGTCGCTCAGGCTGGAGTGCAGTGGCATGATCTCAGCTCACTGCAACCTCCGCCTCCCAGGTTCAAGTGATTCTCCTGCTTTAGTCTCCTGAGTAGCTGGGATTACGGGCATGTGCCACTATGCCCAGCTAATTTTTGTATTTTTAGTAGAGATGAGGTTTCACCATGTTGTTCAGGCTGTTCTCAAACTCCTGACTTCATGATCCGCCTGCCTCGGCCTCCCAAAGTGCTGGGATTACAGGCGTGAGCCACCACGCCCGGCCTGGTCTGTGCTTTTAAAGAAATCATTCTCTTTCCCAGGTCACAAAATGTTCCCCTACAGTTTCTTTCTTTCTTTCTTTTTTTTTTTTTTTGACAGAGTTTCGCTCTTGTTGCCCAGGCTGGAGTGCAATGGCACTATCTCGGCTCACTGCAACCTCCGCCTCCTGGGTTCAAGCAATTCTCCTGCCTCAGCCTGCTGCGTAGCTAGGATTACAGGTGTGTGCCACCACACCTGGCTAATTTTTGCATTTTTAGTAGAGACAGGTTTTTGCCATGTTGGCCAGGCTGGTCTTGAACTCCTGGCCTCAAGTGATTCGCCTGCCTCGGCCTCCCAAAGTGCTGGGATTACAGGCATGAGCCACCGCACCCGGCCACATTTAGGTCTTTAATCCATGTAGAGTTCGTCCTTGTATATGGTGTGAGATAGAGCTCCAATTTTATTTTTCTCTGTGTCATGAGCCAGATGCCCCATCACCATCTATTAAGCAATCTGTCCCATCCCTGTGTGTGTTTTACCACCTCTATCATGTATCAAGTTCCATAGATATATGGGTCTGTCTCTGAGGTGGTTTGTTGCTGGTTTTGTTGTTATTGTTGTTTTTAAGAGATGAGCCCAGGCTGACTCCTGGCCTCAAGCATTCTCCCCAACTCAGCCTCCTGAGTAACTGGGATTACAGGGGAGCACTATTGTACCTGACTTCTGAGCTTTTTTTTTTTTTTTGACAGAGTCTCACTCTGTCGCCAGGCTGGAGTGCAGTGGCGCGATCTTGGCTCACTGCAACCTCCGCCTCCTGGGTTCAAGTGATTTTCCTGCCTCAGCCTCCTGAGTAGCTGGGACTACAGGCGCGTGCAACCACGCCCAGCTAATTTTTGTATTTTTAGTAGAGATGGGGTTTCACCATGTTGGCCAGGATGGTCTTTTTTTTTGAGACGGAGTCTCGCTCTGTCGCTCAGGCTGGAGTGCAGTGGCGCGATCTCGGCTCACTGTAAGCTCTGCCTTCCAGGTTCACGCCTCAGCCTCCCGAGTAGCTGGGACTACAGGCGCCTGCTACCGCACCCAGCCAATTTTTTTTTTTTGTATTTTTTAGTAGAGGCGGGGTTTCACCGTGGTCTGGATCTCCTGACCTTGTGATCTGCCCACCTCGGCCTCCAAAAGTGCTGGTATTACAGGTGTGAGCCACCGTGCCCGGCCTTCTCTTCTAATTGGTCTACTTCTTAGCTCTTGGGCCAATATAGGTTTGTTGTTGTTTTTTTTTTCCCTTTTATTACTAACACCTTTAATATGTCTTAATATCTAGTGGGCAAATCCCCATCATAACGCTTTCTTTGAAGGCTGTCTTAACTGTCCATGATTCATTACTATTCTAAATTCTAATGTAAGTGTATTGCAGTTCTAACAAAAAGAAGTAATGAGGTCAGGCATGGTGGCTCTCGCCCAAATCCCAGCTACCTGGGAGGCTGAGGCAGGAGGATCGCTTGAACCCAGGAGTTGGAGTCTGCAGTGAGCTATGATCGTGCCACTGCACTCCAGCCTGGGCAACAAAGTGAGACCCTGTTTCAAAACATTAAAAAAAAAAGTAATGGAAGTGTTATTGAGAGTGCATTGAATTTTTACATTTTGGGAGAAATAACGTCTTTTTTTTTGAGATGGAGTTTCGCTCTTGTTGCCCAGGCTGGAGTAAAATGGTGCAATCTCGGCTCACTGCAACCTCCGCCTCCCGGGTTCAAGCAATTCTCCTGCTTCAGCCTCCTGGGTAGCTGGAACTACAGGCACCCACCATTATGCTCGGCTAATTTTGTATTTTTAGCAGAGACGGGGTTTGTCTATGTTGGTCAGGCTGGTCTCAAACTCCTGACCTCAGGTGATCCACCCACCTCGGCCTCCCAAAGTGCTGGGATTACAGGTGTGAGCCACCATGCCCGGCCAAAATAACATCTTAATAATATTAACTGTGGAGGTTTTAAGATATGGTCACACTCTGATACTGTACTCGTCAAGAGTTGGAGCCTAACTTCCTTCCACTTGCATGTGTGCTGGACTTAGTGACTCAATTGTAAAGCACAGAATGAGGTGGAAGTGATAGTGTGTCATTTCCAAGACCAGGCTGTAAAAGGCACATCTGCTTCATGCTCTCTGTCACACAGACTGCTCATTATGTGGGACATTAGCTGGTATGTCATGAGCAGCCCTATGGAGGGATCTAGGTGGCAAGAAAGTAAGGCCTCTTGCCAACAGCCATGTGAGCAAGCCTTCTTAAAGGTGGATCCCAGCCTTCAGATAACTGCAGTCCTGGCCAACATCCTGATTGTAGCCTCATGAGAGGCTCTGAGTCAGAACCACCCAGTTAAGCCACTCTCAGAATCCTGACTCTCCAAAACCATGTGAAATAATAAATGTGTATTGTTTTAGCCACTAAGTTTTGGGATAATTTGTTAAAAATAACTTATATATTACCAAAATCTTTCCAGCAAAGAGCATAAAATGTCTCTCTTTTATTCAGATCAATTTCTATTGTTAGAGTTTAAATTCTTTAAAATAGAGGTCTCTTGTATTAAATTCATTCCTACTTTTTTTTTTTGTTGGTTATTGCTGCTATACAGAAATGCTTTTGATTTTTACAGGTTGATGTTGATTTTGTATTGGGAAACCTTGCTGAACCCCTTTTTTTTTTTTTAAGATGGAGTTTTACTATTGTTGCCAAGGCTGGAGTGCAGTGGTGCGATCTCGGCTCACTGCAAACTCCACCTCCCGGGTTCCAAGTGATTCTCCTGCCTCAGCCTCCTGAGTAGCTGGGATTACAGGCACGTGCCACCACGCCCAGCTAATTTTTTGTATTTTTAGTAGAGATGGGGTTTCCTCATGTTGGCCATGCTGATCTCGAACTCCTGACCTCAGGTGATCCATCCGCCTCAGCCTCCCAAAGTGCAGGGATTACAGGTGTGAGCCACCACGCCTGGCTGCTGAACTCTCTTATTAGTCCTATTAGTTGTTTTTGTCATTCTGTTTGTTCTTTTTTTTTTTTTTTTTGAGATGGAGTCTCGCTCTGTCACCCAGGCTGGAGTGCAGTGGCACAATCTTGGCTCACCGCAAGCTCCACCTCCCGGGTTCACACCATTCTCCTGCCTTAGCCTCCTGAGTAGCTGGGACTACAGGTGCCCGCCACCACACTTGGCTAATTTTTTGTGCTTTTAGTAGAGATGGGGTTTCACCGTGTTAGCCAGGATGGTCTCCATCTCCTGACCTCGTGATCCGCCCGCCTCGGCCTCCCAAAATGCTGGGATTACAGGCGTGAGCCACCGCGCCCGACTCTGTTGGTTCTTTAAGGTAGTCACTCATATAATTTGCAAATGAGTTTTATCAATTCCTTCTACAATGTATACCTCATTTATTTTTCCTCATAGCATTAGGTGGTTTTATATTAAAGAGTAGTATTGAGTGAACATCCTTGCCTTGTCCCTGATCTTAAAGGGAAATGCATTTAAAAATTCTCTATTGGCCAGGTTTGGTGGCTCATGCCTGTAATCCCAGCACTTTGGGAGGCTGAGGCCAGTGGATCACCTGAGGTCAGGAGTTTGAGACCAGCCTGGCCAACATGGTGAAATGCTGTCTCTACTAAAAATACGAAAATTAGCTGGGTGTGGTGGTGGGCGCCTGTTAATCCCAGCTACTTGAGAGGCTGAAGCAAGAGAATTGCTTGAACCCGGGAGGCGGAGGTTGCAGTGAGCCATGATTGTGCCATCGCACTCCAGCCTGGGCAACAAGAGTGAGATTCCGTCTCAAAAAAAAAAAAATTCCCTATTAAGCATTTTTTGCTGTAATATTTTGCTATGTATGAAGTTAAAGAAGTTTTCTTCTACTTTTGTTTGCAAAGAGTTCTTTTTTTTTTTTCTTGTAGTGATGGGGTTTTGCCATGTTGCCCAGGCTGGTCTCAAACTCCTGGGCTCAAGTGATCCACCTGCCTCAGCTTCCTAAAGTATGAGGATTACAGGCACGAGCCACCATGCCCAGCCCCCTTTTAAATATCATAAACAGGCACTGAACCTTATCAAATCCTTTTCTGCTTTGAGATTATCATATAATTTCTTCCTTTATTAATATGGTAAATTGCATTCACTAATTTTCTTTTCTTTTTTTTTTTTTTAGACGGAGTCTACCTCTGACACCTAGGCTGGAGTGCAGTGGCATGATCTCGGCTCACTGCAACCTCCGCCTCCCAGGTTCAAGCGATTCTCCTGCCTCAGCCTCCTGAGTAGCTGGGATTACAGACGCCTGCCACCACGCCCAGCTGATTTTTGTATTTTTAGTAGAGACGGGGTTTCACTGTGTTGGCCAGGTTGGTCTCGAACTCCAGACCTCGTAATCCGCCTGCCTCAGCCTCCGAAAGTACTGGGATTACAAGTGCGAGCCACCACACCCGGCCTGCATTCACTAATTTTCTAATTTGGATCAATTGTATTCCTGGGATAAACCCTACTTATGATTTAAAACAAAACGCACTATTGAATTCAGGTAGCTAATATTTTATTAGAATTTTTGCATCTATATTCATAAGTCCAGTGGGTCTATAAATTTACTGTTTAGTATTTTCCTTATCTGGTTTTAGAATCAAAACTATTTTAGCCTCATAAAATGAGGTGTATGGCTTTTTCTCTTTTCCTATCTTCTGGAACAATTTGTATAAGATGGGAATTACAGTTCCTTGAAAGTTTAATAGAACTATAATCTGCAAAACCGTCTGGGGCTGGGCCTGAGGCTGTTTATTACAATAAGATGGGGTATCTTTGATTATCATTTTAATTTTTCCTAAAATTTATTGTATATTCAAGTTATATTCAAGCTTTCTATTTCTTTTTGCATTCATTTGAACACATTTTAATGTTTCCTGAAATTTTTGTTTTTCATCTATGTTTTCAAGTGTATTAGCTTACAATTTGTAGCCTTTTTGTATCTATAATTTTCCTTTGTTATGCATTTTGCATTGCATTGTTTTAAATCAGTCTTGGCAAAGGTCTATCATTATTAATTATTTTCAAAGTACCAGCTTTTTTTTTTTTTTTTGAGAAGTCTCGCTTTGTCACCCAGGCTGGAGTGCAATCTCAGCCCACTACAACCTCTGCCTCCCAGGTTCAAATGATTCTCCTGCCTCAGCCTCCCGAGTAGATGGGATTACAGGTATGCGCCACCACACCCGGCTAATTTTGTATTTTTAGGAGACGAGGTTTCTCCATATTGGTCAGTCTGGTCTCAAACTCCTGACCTCAGGTGATCTGTCCACCTTGGCCTCCCAAAGTGCAGGGATTACAGGCGTGAGCCACCACGCCCACCTAATTTTTTTTTGTATTTTTAGTAGAGACGGGGTTTCACCATGTTGGCCAGGCTGGTCTCAAACTCCTGACCTTCAAGTGATCCACCTGCCTCGGCCTCTGAAAGCACTGGGATTACAGGCCTGAGCCACTGTGCCTGGTGTTTTTTTTTTTTTTTTTTTTTGAGATGGAGTCTTACTCTGTCACCCAGGCTGGTGTGCAGTGGCACAATCTTGGCTCACTGCAACCTCCGGTCCGCCTCCCAGGTTCAAGCAATTCTCCTGCCTCAGCCTCCTGAGTAGCTGGGACTACAGGCATGCACCACCATGCCTAGCTAATTTTTGTATTTTTAGTAGAGATGGGGTTTCATATGTTGGCCAGGCTGGTCTTGAACTCCTGGCCTCAAGTGATAGGCCTGCCTTAGCCTCCCAAAGTGCTGGAATTACAGGTGTGAGCCACCGCACCTGGCCTATTCTGTTAATCTTTATTATTACTTTACAATTCTCTATTGTATCTTTTTCCTTCCTCGTATTATTTCCTCCATGACTCAATCCTTTGGGTTTGTTCCTCTGCTCTTTTACCAACTTTTTTCTTTTTGAGAGTCTCCATCTGTCACCCAGGCTGGAATGCAGTGGCATAATCTCAGCTCACTGCAACCTCCGCCTCCTGGGTTCAGGCGATTCTCCTGCCTCAGCCTCCTAAGTAGCTGGGATTATAGGCATATGCCACCATTCTAGGCTAATTTTTGTATTTTTAGTAGAGACGGGGTTGCACCATGTTGGCCAGGCTGGTCTTGAACTCCTTGCCTCAAGTGATCTGTCCGTCTCGGCCTCCCAAAGTGCTGGGATTATAGGCAAGAGCCACTGCACCCGACCTATTTTCTTAGCTATTAGGATAGCTATCTTAGCTTTCTTTGGGCTTTTAATGTGCCATATCCTTTCTTCATCTTTTCGTTTTTTGTTTTTTTTTTTTTGAGACAGAGTCTTGCTCTGTCACCCAGGCTGGAGTGCAGTGGCCTGATCTCGGCTTACTGCAAGCTCTGCCTCCCGGGTTCACGCCATTCTCCTGCCTCAGCCTCCTGAGCAGCTGGGACTACAGTGGAACTAGAGGCGTCCGCCACCACGCCCGGCTAATTTTTTTTCTCTTTTTTTTTTTGAAACGGAGTCTCGCTCTGTCGCCCAGGCTGGAGCGCAGTGGTGCAGTGGTGCGATCTCGGCTCACTGCAAGCTCCGCCTCCCGGGTTCACGCCATTCTCCTGCCTCAGCTTCCCGAGTACCTGGGACTACAGGCGCCTGCCACCATGCCCGGCTAATTTTTTGTGTTTTTAGTAGAGACAGGGTTTCACCATGTTAGCCAGGATGGTCTCGATCTCCTGATCTCCTGACCTCATGATCCGCCCGCCTCAGCCTCCCAAAGTGTTGGGATTACAGGCGTGAGCCACTGCGCCCGGCCATCCTTTCATTTTCAACATTTCTAAATCTTTGTGTGTGTGTATGCTATTGGACTTTTTTTTTTAATCCAATGAGGGTCTCTGTGTTTCAAATATTTTTGTAATTACTACTGGGACATCTCATTCCATATTCTCCATTTACAGTTTTTTTATTTGTATTATTATTTTTTTGAGACAGGTTCTTGCTTTTGTCATCCAGGCTGGAGTGCAATGGCACGATCTCAGCTCACTGCAGCTTCAACCTCCTGGGCTCAAGTGATTCTCCCACCTCAGCCTCCCAAGTAGCCAGGGCCATAGGGGTACACCACCACACCCGTATTTTATGTAGAGATGTATTTTATGTAGAGATGGGATTTTGCCACGTTGCCCAGGCTGGTAAACTCTTGAGCTCAAGTGATGTTCCTGCCTCGGCCTCCCAAAGTGCTGGGATTACATGCGTGAGCCACCACGCTGGGCTGTTTTGTTTTTCTCTACCATCATACTCACACCTAACATTTTTGGGGGTCCTTTTTATAATCTCTAGTTCCTGTTTTGTATTCTAATTTTTTTTTTGAGATGGCGTCTCGCTGTGTCGCCCAGGCTGGAGTGTAGTGGCGTTATCTCGGCTCACTGCAACCTCCGCCTCCCAAGTTCAAGCAAGCGACTGTCCTGCCTCGGCCTCCCAAGTAGCTGGGACTACAGGCGTGTGCCACCACACCTGGCTAATTTTTTCTATTTTCAGTAGATACGGGGTTTCCCCATGTTAGCCAGGATGGTGTCATCTCCTGACCTTGTGATCTGCCCACCTCGGCCTCCCAAAGTGTTGGGATTACAGGCGTGAGCCACCACGCCCAGCCCTATATTCTAATAGTTTTTATTTATTATGTTTATTTAAAATTTTTCATCTGTCTCAATACTTCTGCTTCAGATATTATATGTTACCCAGTGTAGGAGGCGGCCTCCAATATAGCCCCCCATGATTCCTGCCTCCTGGTATTCATGCCCTGTATAGTCCCCTCCCATGTTGTGCTAGGGTTGGTCTATGTGACCAGTAACACAGCAGAAATGATGGTCTGTCTTTTCTGAGGTTAAGGTAGACATTGTGGCTTCCGTCTTGGTCACGGTCTCACCTGCTCGTTAGGATGACATGTTGTGAGGAGCCCCACGGAGATGCTCAGGTGGTGAGAAATTGAAGCCTTTTGCCAACTGCCCGATGAGTGGGCCATGTTGGAAGTGGGTCTGTCAGCCAAGTGAAGCTGTCATCTGACTGCAGTCCTGGCTGCCAACTTGAGTAAAACGTCAGGAGAGACCATGAGTCAAAACTACCCAGCTAGGCTGCTTCCAGATTCCTGACCCTCAGAAACTGTGATGGTTTTTATTGTTTTTTTTTTTTTTTTGGAGGCAGAGTCTCACTCTGTCACCCAGGCTAGAGTGCAGGGTCACAATCTTGGCTCACTGCAACCTCCGCCTCCCGGGCTCAACCGATTCTCTTGCCTCAGCCTCCCAAGTAGCTGGGACTACAGGTGTGCCACCATGCCCAGCTAATTTTTTGTATTTTTAGTAGAGACGTGGTTTCACCATGTTGGCCAGGCTGGTCTCAAACACCTGACCTCAGGTGATCTGCCCGCCTTGCCTCTCAAAGTGCTGGGATTACAGGTGTGAGCCACCACACCCAGCTCAGAAACTGTGATGTTTTAAGTGGCTAAGTTTGGGGTAATTTGTTATCCAGCACTAGAGAATGTCCAGTTTATTTTTTCTTTGGTGGAAGTCATACTGCCCTGGTGTCTGGTTATTTTGGTGGTGAACTTACATGCCCCTGAAATTATCCGCTCTCCTGGCTGATAGAACGTACTGAGGAAAGGCTGAAGGCCTGACTCGAGTCAGCTTAATGACCTGGAGCTCCAGGGGTAAAAGGATGTGTGGGAGAGGAGCCAGAGGCTGGACAGCCACAGGTACCACAGAAGCACAGTTATCCCGCTCACCTGCCCTTTGGACACCTGACAATCCCCCTAGCGTGGGGTTCATCTTTAAACCGTCGGAGGAAAACCGCTTTAAGAGGTGCCAGTTTTGGCTGGGTGCGGTGGCTCACGCCTGTAATTCCAGCACTTTGGGAGGCCGAGGCGGGTGGATCACCTGAGGTCGGGAGTTTGAGACCAGCCTGACCAACAAGGTGAAACCCCGTCTCTACTAAAATACAAAATTAACCAGGCATGGTGGCAGGCACCTGTAGTCCCAGCTACTCAGGAGGCTGAGACAGGAGAATTCCTTGAACCCGGGAGGCGGAGGTTGCAGTGAGCTGAGATCGCGCCACTGCACTCCAGCCTGGGTGATGGAGCAAGACTCTGTCTCAAAAAAAAAAAAAAAAAGAGGTGGCAGTCTCCTTAGGTGTAATCCACCAGCCCGGGTGTCTGGAGGGAGACAGGTGGAGGACTGATTTCCTCTGGCTGCCTATTTCTTTCCCCTGCAGGGCCCTTGCTGCCCTGATCCTAGTCCCCCAGACATGTGTACCAGTGGTTTGGATGATTAATGCAATGAAGGGGGCAAACAAGGACCTCCCCAAGGCAATATAGGGGAGAGGTGAGAGCCAGAACTTAAATATCTTTTTCCCTAACCTATCCTCTATTTACTGCCTCTGGCCATCCGCCCGTCAAAACACACACCAGTTAAAGACAGCCTTCCATTTCCCCATGGGTCTCTCATTGCTATGTTGCAATTTCTGGAACCCATGTTTCCCTCTCTAGTTTCTCCAGAGTTGGTTTCGGGCAAAGGAATCAGTAGCTTGTGCTGTCTGCCATCTTTGCAGGAACCAGAAACCCCAAGTATCCTAGAGGAATATTAGAGGTTTCTGCCTTTCAGGGTATCTGAGCCTCCTATTCACAGAAAGGACTCTTCTATCTCTCAGAGGTCCCAAACTACTATCCACAGAATTGGCTTGTCTGGTCCTTCAAACACCTGAGCTCATAAATCACAGAATGCATCCCAGAGGGTATTAGCTGTTTACTGACAAAAGAGACATTTCAGGACCTCAGAAGGCCAGACACTCCCATAGGTTGGATGGCCCTTTGGGGAGTCTGAGCCCATTTCCACAAAATGCATTCGTTAGACCCACACACAGTGCTTGAGCCCCCTAGACACAGAATAGTCTTGTCCTGTTCTTCAAGTGACTGGGCTATCATCTGAGGAATAGTCAGCTTCCCCCCAATACTGGGGGTGACGGGAGACTTTTAAGGGTCATCCCCAGGTTTGTATGGCATTCTTGGGGCAAACAGCAGAAGGGATGACTGCCCTGATGCCTCCTCATCTCTGGCAGCATTGCCTAGTGCAACAGCTCTGGCCAGAACCCAGCCTGGTCTACAGCCATACCATCCTGAACATGCCAGATCTTGTCTGACCTCTGAAGCTAAGCAGGGTCAAGCCTGGTTAGTACTTGGGAGAAGCTGGTGTGGCTAGACCGTGACCTGAGGACCCCAGTTATTTCACCCATCCTTTGTGGATGACAGCACCTGGCCTGTGAGAGAATCCCACCCTCTGAGCATGTCAGTGGGAAAAAGGACCTTTTTTTGATCATTATCCTCCAAATAACGAAGTGAATTCTATTAGGGCCTGCGTTTTATCAGTGCTTGTTGTTTGTCCATATTAGTGAGATGGAGAAGGTAAATAAGTGGTTTCTACTGCTGAAATGGTTAAGACAGGTGCTGTGAGCTGGAATCCCAGTTTAGGGCCGCTAGGCATGGGCTAGGCCAGTCTTTCAAACTGGCTCCAAAGCAAGTGACAAGAATAGGAGCCCTAGATCCTTTTGTAATTCAACAATGTGATGATTGGGCTTTCACACTTGTGTGAGATGCACCTCGCTCAAACCTTGTTAACATCTGCACGGTACCTGTCTGAAGTGGAAAACAAAAAGGAGGCCGAGGCCCCTGCCCAGGGCTGCCAGCATTGGTGCATAAACCTCACAGAGAGGCCAAGATCCTAGAAATGGTGACATGTGGAATGCCAGGGGTGGCTGCTCCAACGTTTCTAAGTAGCCCATACTTCCCAATCTCAGTAAAGAATCTTGTCCTTTTTTGAGCCAGGAACTCTCTTATCTCTCATCCAGGGGGCTGTCCTGAAAACATATATTCACAGCCATAATACAGACCCTTACAGGCCGATGGATGTACCAAAAAAACAGACTCAGGCCTTCCTCAAGCAGTGCTCCACCTGGGCTCACCTTTGGGAACTGATTGTCAGCATCCACTCTCCCCATCACAAGGGGGAAGCTGGAGCCTCTCTCCACCAAGTGAAGTATTTCCCCTCCATCAGGTAAAGGGCCCCTGAGGACTCCATCTACAGCAAAACCCAGGGAGGAGGCAGAGAAACACACAAACCACAGTGACCTTCATGTGTGCAAAGTATAGTTGTTAAAAACAAAACAACAGAAACAGAATAAATAGGCGTGGCCTCTGCGGGGCAGTGCCAAAGCAGAGCTCCACATACTTAGGCCTGGGGAGGAAGGGCTCTATGCTCCAACAAGTCTAGGGCTGGCAGGCAGGGAGGGAGGTGGGGTCTCATGTGTTGGCCCTCATGGCAAAGAATGGAGATCTGGTGGGGCCGATGGAGGGCTTGAGAAAGCCTGATCAAGATGCGGCTGTGGCCTCAGCCCCCTCCTCTGAGTCCCACACCTCTGACTGCAGGTAATCAGCAAAGAGAGCCCTAGCCCGGCGCAGGACGCGCCCCAGGTGGTGTTTTCGCACAAGGCGGTCAAAGTGCATGGCCAGCTCATTATAATCCAGCCCATTGCGCATGATGTGGTCGCGGTGCTCCAGCAGGATGGCCAGGCAGAGGAACAGCATGAATGGGTTCCCCCGGCCAAACTCCTGGGGTGGGGGCAGGCCCATTGGTGGTACAGGTGGCAGGGACTTTCCAGGGTCTTTCGGGGAGCCTACCTCTTGCATCAAGGGGGATCCTACAGCCATATCACCAGTGGGAGAGGCCTCCTGGGTGGATGGTGGAGATGAGGAAGATGGGGAATCAGGGTGGGAAAAGGAGGAGAGCAGTGGGTCTGGGGAGTTCAATAAAGGCTCAGAGAGGGACTTGGAGCTGATAAGGGCAGCTGGGTGGGGCAGCTGGACCAGAGGGTCCCTCCTGGAGCCCATGTTATCCCTGAGTTGCTGGAGGCCATCCAAGCTGGCCTGTCTCAGGAGACGCCCCCCACCACCAGGCCCCTGACTGGCTGTGGCCAGGTGGTCAACAGCATCTTCAAAGGTACTACCTCCTCCACCAGCAGGCCTCAGCATGTGCCTCTGTCGCACGGGCCACCCCCTGTGGCCACCAAAACCAGCGTCTGCCACTTGGCTGGGGGGTCCAACCAGCTCTACCTCATGTTCAGGAGGATCAGGGGGCAGCGAACTCCAAGTGACCTCAAGCATGCGGAGGGCATCGTCGAAGGCGAACTCACGCTTGAGTTCCAGCAGCAGCCAGCGGTAACAGAAGAAGAGGTCATCAGCGCCTGCCTCTTGCAGGTATTGATAAAAGTCAGGGTCAGCGTGTCGCAGCAACAGCTTCAAGTGTGCAAACTTGGTGGCCATGGCGCGGCCGTCAGGGTGGAAGTTGGCGGCCAGGCGTTTCATGATGCCACAAAAGCAAACAAAGGCATGGCCCTCATGGTCCATGACAGCGAGGATGGGTGAGGCAAGGTCACTCATGCCCTGGCAGTAGGACACCTGTGGGTGGGTAACGGCATAGGTGGTGAGCAGGTCGTGCAGCGCCCGTAGATGTGGGCCATCCTCAGGCCCCGCATAGTAGGGGTGGGCCCGGTCAGTGCGCAGTACATCCTTGAGGACCGTGCTGCGGATGAATTCCAGGTCCTCAGGGTTCGCTCGCTGGGCCCACTCGCTCTTGAGCTGCTCATACTCGCGGCTCTTGCGTTTCATGTAGTCCATCCGCTCTCGGCCTGTCAGTCCATCTGGATACACGTTCAGCAGGTACCGCCACACCACCTGCCCAGGGGTGAAAGGGATGAGGCTGGAGTTCTCCAGATAAACCATACCCCAATGTCTATCAGTTGCCACCCACCCACCCCCCTTGGGCCTCTGTCTTCCTTCTAAGTCTGCTAGGCCTCCGACTGCTCGCCCCTCCTTAAAGAGAACTTCGTGCCCTGTAACATCTCCACCCTTGCCCACAGCAGTGTGGCTGACTGCATGTGTCTCAGGAGCTGTTAATGAGTGCAGCAGTGATGGACCCAACAGATGACTGAGGATGCTCACCTTTCGCAGCGAGGGCTCCACACCGCCATGATAGATCCGCAGGCGCAACTCCTCGGGTCGGGAGAGCTGGCCCTCGTGGTTCAGGTACGTGTGAAACTCAGCATCGCTCAGGGGTGGCTTGAAGGGCTTGACATCTTCCCCATACGACCAGCTCAGCACTTGTTGGACCTTAGACAAGGTACGGCCCACCTATGAGGAGGGAGGGAGGCCACCATCAGCTGTGTGGACTAGGGGCAGATGCCAACCAGCATGCTCAGAACCAGGGTGCCAGGAAGGCTCTGCCCTCCAACCACAGCTGGGTCCCTAGGGTCCCTGAAAACACCTGAGTGAGGATGGACTGTGTAAAGGGCAGGGCGGCAGTCGTCAGTGATGACCGTTTCTCAGCCAGCAACACGTCGGAGCCAATGACATCTTTGGGGCTGATTATGTCCCAGTCTTCTAGCAATGGGCCTGGGCAAACAGAACAAAGTGCTATAAGAATGGGGATGATAACCCAGACCTCAGGGCCGGCTTCCTCTCCTTCTACTGAAGCCGGGCTACCTGCAGGGGAACAAACAACTCCCAGTCCCTCTTCCTGTATCATCCAAATCATGTAAAAAACAAAATCAAACCATGAACAATTCTTTTGTAGTAGATGTCTCAGGAACTGGCTGGGCAGCCTCTAATATTTTAATGATATAAAGTAATATTTATTGAGCAGTTACTATGTGCCAAGCACTAGGACAAGCGCTCAACAGCAATATAAGAAATAATAATACTAGCTAATGCTTCCACAGTGCTGTATGCCAGGAACTATTCTGAATTCTTTGCCAATACTGACTCATGCAATAGTCACTTCAGTCCTATCGGTTGAGTACTACTACTACCATGACTCTCTTTGAGGAAACAGGCACAGTCATGATAAGGTACTTGCCCAAGGCCCCTTAGCTAGTGAGTGAAAGAGTGGAAATTTGAAGGCCAGGCCCAAGCTCAAGAGCCCAAACTCCTACTCTCATATTTTTGCCAGTCCTCCTCCCACAAACAGTGCACGCTAATATTACCATTCTCATTTTACAGACGATGACAAAAAGGTTTGGAACAAATAGTAAGTGACCAAGATTCTACAGCCAGGAAATAGTAGGGCTGGGATCTGAACTTCATTCACCCTAGTCCAGAGCCCAGACATACTTTAGAAATAAAATATTTGTGCAAAAGTGGAACAGGTATGCCGTATATGCTTTTTTTTTTTTTTTTTTGGAGACGGAGTCTCACTCTGTAACCGAGGGTGGAATGCAGTGGTGTGAACGTAGCTCACTGCAAACTCTGCCTCCTGGTTTCAAGTGATTCTCCTGCCTCAGCCTCCCGAGTAGCTGGGATTACAGGTGCCTGCCACCATGCCCAGCTAATTTTTGTATTTTTAGTAGAGACGGAGTTTCACCATGTTGGTCAGGCTGGTCTTGAACTCCTGACCTCACGTGATCCACTCGCCTTGGCCTACCCAAAGTGCTGGGATTATAGGCGTGAGCCACTGCACCCAGCCTCTTTTTTCTTTTTTTTTTGAGATGGAGTCTCACTCTGTCGCCCAGGCTGGAGTGCAGTGGTGCAATCTTGGCTCACTACAAACTCCACCTTTTGGGTTCAAGCAGTTCTCCTGCCTAAGCCTCCCAAGTAGCTGGGATTACAGGTGCCTGCCACCAGGTCCAGCTAATTTTTTTTTTTTTTTTGAGGCGGAGTTTCACTCTTGTTGCCCAGGCTGGAGTACAATGACGGGATCTCGGCTCACTGCAACATCCACCTCCTGGGTTCAAGTGATTCTCCTGCCTCAGCCTCCCGAGTAGCTGGGAGTACAAGCATGTACCACCATGCCTGGTGAATTTTATATTTTTAGTAGAGACGGGGTGTCTCCATGTTGGTCAGGCTGGTCTCGAACTCCCGACCTCAGGTGATCCACCTGCCTCGGCCTCCCAAGGTACTGGGATTACAGGCATGAGCCACCACACCTGGCCTAATTTTTGTATTTTTAGTAGAGATGAGGTTTCGCTATGTTGCCCAGGCCGGTCTCGAACTCCTGACCTCAGGTGATCAGCCCGCCTTGGCCTCCCAAAGTGCTAGGATTACAGGCATCTTTTTTTTCTTTTTTTGAGACAGTCTTGCTCTGTCCCCCAAGGCTGGAGTGCAGTGGTGCGATCATAGCTCACTGCAGCCTCAAACTCCTGGGCTCAAACGATCCTCTTGCCTCAACCTCCTGAGTAGCTGGGGCTTACAGGCGTGTGCCACCATGCGTGGATGATTTTTTTTTTTTTTGGTAGAGATGGGATCTTACTATATTGCCTATGGTCTTGAACTCCTGGGCTCAAGAGATCCTCCTGCCTTGGCCTCCCAAAGTGTTGGGATTACAGGTGTGAGCCACTGCACCTGACCGTTTCTCTTTCTTTTTCATTTTGCCCCGCATTCTTTCTTCCCACCTCACATAAGATGTGGTGGTTGAAGCAGCAGTGGCCATCTGAGAGTAGGTTCGAGAGGATCTTCAGAGATCCTCTCCTACAGCCCTGATACGAGAGGGCTACTAAGCCAACAATGGCAATGTCCAGTGGCTGGCTTTTTTTTTTTTTTTTTTTTTTGAGACGGAGTCTTGTTCTGTCACCCACACTGGCGTGCAATGGTGTGATCCTCGCTCACTGCAACCTCTGCCTCCCAGGTTCAACCAATTCTCCTGCCACAGCCTCCCGAGTAGCTGGGATTACAGGTGCCTGCCACCACGCCTGGCTAATTTTTTGTATTTTTAGTAGAGATGGGGTTTGCCAGGCTGGTCTCCAACTCCTGACCTCAGGTGATCCACCCGCCTTATGTGGGGAAAAGAAAGAGAGATCAGATTGTTACTGTGTCTATGCAGAAAAGGAAGATGTAAGAAACTCCATTTTGATCTGTACTAAGAAAAATTGTTCTGGTTTGAGATGCTGTTAATCTGTATGTAACTTTAGCCCCAACCATGTGCTCACAGAAACGTGCTGTATTGAATCAAGGTTTAATGGATTTAGGGCTATGCAGGATGTGCCTTGTTAACAATATGTTTGCAGGCAGTATGCTTGGTAAAAGTCATCGCCATTCTCCATTCTCTATTAACCAGGGACAAAATGCACTGTGGAAAGCCACAGGGAACTCTGCCCAAGAAAGCCTGGGTATTGTCCAAAGTTTCCCCTCACTGAGACAGCCTGATATATGGCCTCGTGGGAAAGGAAAGACCTTACATCCCCCAGCCCGACACGCATAAAGGGTCTATGCTGAGGAGGAGTAGTGAAAGAGGGAGTCCTCTTTGCAGTTGAGATAAGAGGAAGGCTTCTGTCTCCTGCTTGTCCCTGGGAATGGAATGTCTCGGTGTAAAGCCGACCATTCGTTCTATTCTGAGATAGGAGAAAATTGCCCCGTGGCTGGAGGCGAGATATGCTGGCAGCAATACTGCTCTGTTACTCTTTGCTACACTGAGATATTTGTGTAAAGTGAAACATAAATCTAGCCTACATGCACATCCAGGCACAGTACCTTTCCTTGAACTTATTCATGATACAGATTCCTTTGCTCACATGTTTCCCTACTGACCTTCTCCCCACCAACACTCTGTTGCCCTGCCACACTCCCCTTGCCAAGATAGTAAAAATAGTGATCAATAAATACTGAGGGAACTCAGAGACCGGCGCTGGTGCAGGTCCTCGCATGCTGAGTGTGCCGGTACCCTGGGCCCACTGTTCTTTCTCTATACTTTGTCTCTGTGTCTTATTTCTTTTCTCAATCTCTCGTCTCCACCTAACGAGAAATACCCACAAGTGTGGAGGGGCAGGCCCCCTTCACCTTGGCCTCCCAAAGTGCTGGGATTACAGGCGTGAGCCACTGCATCCGGCCCAAGTGGCTAACTTTCAAACTCTTTTGTGTGAAACCAATCAACTTCTATCTGTTTAAGCCACTGTCATTTGCAAGCAAATGCCATCCCTAAACAGCATTCCCATGGAGCCCAATTTTCCCATAGAGCTGAGGGGGGGAACAAACCCTAGGCCATGTTTGCATGTCACTGCTTTTCCCTGGATGTCTCATGGGGTACTGCAAACCTAAGGGGTCCAAAGAGAGGAGCCCAAGATCCACTCTAGACATGGCCTCCTCCTCTACTCCTCATCTCAACAAACAGCATCTCTATCTGTTCAGTTGTTTAATAGACCAGAAACCTGAGAGACATCCTTGTCCCCCTCCCACTCTCTTAACTCCCAGGTCCAAACCACCGCCAAGTCCTACGGCTACTGCATGTAAAGCATTCCTCCATCCTACCTGTTCTCTCATCTCCATCTTCTCACCCTGTCTGAGCCACCATATCTCTCACCTGAAACTGCCTCCTAACCAGTCCTCACTTCCTCTGTATTCCTCTCCAATCTCTCCCAACAGCTGCCAGAATGGTCTTTCTAAAACATTAATCAGAGCATTAAAACACTTAACAGGTAAAATGAAGAAGGTCACATTATGAAAAATCAGTAATGGTCTGAAAGTCTGAACAGAAGAACCACTGCAAGGCATGGAGCTAAGGTTCAATGATTTGAGTGAAAAAGTAGAGAGACCTGGATGCCAAGTCCAGGAGACCAAATATGGAAATAATAGGAAATGCAGGGGGAGAAAAGGGATCAGGTGGAGATGTCAGAATTAAACAAGTATGAAAGAAAATTTCCCTGAGATGAAGGAATGGCTCACCAAGTCTTAGATAGGATTAATTAACTAACAACACACAACAGGCCCCCCACCAACCCTATCCTTTTTTTTTTTTTTTTTTTGAGATGGAGTCTTGCTCTGTCACCCAGACTGGAGCACAATGGTATGATCTCGGCTCACTGCAACCTCCGCCTCCTGGGTTCAAGCCATTCTCCTGCCTCAGCCTCCCAAGTAGCTGGGATTCCAGGGGCATACCACCACGCCCGGCTAATTTTTGCTAATTTTTGTATTTTTAGTAAAGACAGGGTTTTGCCACATTGGCCAGGCTGGTCTTGAACTCCTGAGTTCAAGTGATCCGCCTGCCTCAGCTTCCCAAAGTGCTGGGATTACAGGCGTGAGCCACTGCGCCCAGCCCGAAATGCCCAAATTCTAAGAATAAAGAAAAACTCTTAGACTGGGCGCAATGGCTCATGCCTGTAATCCCAGCAATTTTTTTTTTTTGAGGCAGAGTCTTGCTCTGTTGCCCAGGCTGGAGCGCAGTGGCGTGATCTTGGCTCACTGCAACCTCCGCCTCCCGGGTTCAAGCGATTCTCCTGTCTCAGCCTCCCAAGTAGCTAGGACTACAGGTGTGCGCCACAACACCTGGCAAATTTTTGTATTTTTAGTAGAGACGGGGTTTCACCATGTTGGCCAGGCTGGTCTCGAACTCCTGAGTTCAAGTGATCCGCCTACCTCGGTCTCCCAAAGTGCTGGGATTACAGGCATGAGCCACCATGCCCAGCCTAATCCCAGCACTTTGGGAGGCCAAGGCGGGCGGATTGCTTGAGCCCGAGAGTTCAAAACCAGCCTGGGCTGAACATGATAAAACCCTGTCTCTACCCAAAAATATAAAAATTAGCTGGGCATGGTGGCGCACACCTGTAGTCCCTGCCACTCGGGAGGCTGAGGTGGGTGGGAGGATCGCTTGAACCTGGGAAGCAGAGGTTGCAGTGAGCTGAGATCACGTCACTGCACTCCCGCCTGGGAAATAGAGATCCTGCCTCAAAAAAAAAAAAAAAAAAAAAAGAAAAAGAAAAACTCTTGCAGCTTCCAGAGACAAAAAACGGCTGCTTACAATGGAAAGAAGGTCAGACAAGCAACAGACTTCTGCTTCACAACCCTGGAGGCAATAAGACAGTAGCTCACAGCACCTATGGAGCACTAAGAAGAAAGACCTGAGATCCAAGGGCCCCACACCCAGCCAAGACAGTACAGATCTATTCAGCCAAATAAAAACATTTTTGGCCATTAGAGTACATCTAACCCATGCACTTTTGGAGGAGAACAAAGAAGTTCTCTGAGCAAATGACTCCTGCATGACTAGAAGGGCTTAAGATAGGGAGAGACAAAGGGGAAGGTAAATGGTAATATTTATATATTATATATTATATTATATATATTACATATTTAATATTTATAGTTAAAATGACAACGATAACATGATTGGGGGTTTGTAATATTATATGTTACATTAGGATTCCTGAAACATAAGTGACTTAGTGTGTTAGTAAGAAAACAGAATGATAACCCGGAATTTAAAAAGAAAAAAAATTGGCTGGGTGTGGTGGCTCATGCCTGTAATCCCAGCACTTTGGGAAGCCGAGGCAGGCAAATCACTTGAGGTCAGGAGTTCAAGACCAGCCTGGCCAACATGGTGAAACCCCATCTCTACCAAATATAAAAAAACTAGCCGGGTGTGGTGGTGCGCTTCTGTTACCCCAGCTACTCAAGAGGCTGAGGCAGGAGAATTGCTTGAACCTGGGAAGAGGAGGTTGCGGTAAGCTGAGATTGTGCCATAGCACTCCAGCCTGGGCAACAGAGCAAGACTCCATCTCAAAAAAAAAAAAAAGTTGTCTAAGCAAAAGCTAGAAGTTAAGGGTTAGGGACCAGAAAACGAATAAGAATTACAAGTGTTCCAAAGCTCCATTTTAAAGGCCAGAAAAAGTGGGAGAGATTAAAGGAGAAAAAGTGGCCTAAAGATTTCACTGTTGGGGCGGGGTGCAGTGACTCACGACTATAATCCCAGCACTTTGGGAGGCCGAGGCAGGCAGATCATGAGGTCAGGAGATCGAGACCATCCTGGCTAACACGGTGAAACCCCGTCTCTACTAAAAATACAAAAAATTAGCCAGGTGTGATGGTGAGCGCCTGTAATCCCAGCTACTCGGGAGGCTGAGGGAGAATTGCTTGAACCCAGGATGCAGAGGTTGCAGCGAGCCAAGATTGTGCCACTGCACTCCAGTCTGGGCGACAGAGCGAAACTCCATCTCAAAAAAAAAAAAAAAAAAATTAGCCGGGCATGATGGTGTGTGCCTGTAATCCCAGCTACTCGGGAGGCTGAGGGAGGAGAATTGCTTGAACCCAGGATGCAGAGGTTGCAGCGAGCTGAGATCGTGCCACTGCACTCCAGTCTGGGCGACAGAGCGAGACTACGTGTCAAAAAGAAAAAAAAAAGATTTCACTGTCAGTTGCCTTAAAAAGCATAAATTCTGCTATGACGTTTTTACGAGAGGTATGAGAGACATACCTAAAACTAGGTGACACAAAAAGGTTAAAAATTAAAGAATCCTAAAGGTATATCTGGTAAACACAAACAGAAAAAAATAGTAGCCATGAGAATGTCAGAAAAAGCATCACTCAAGGCCAAAAGCATTTAACACAAAGAGACATTTTATACTGATTAAAAAAACCACCCCCTCAATCCCACTAATAAAACAGGCAGAGGCCAGGCGCGGTGGCTCACGTCTGTAATCCCAGCACTTTGGGAGGCTGAGGTGGGCGGATCACAAGGTTGAGACCAGCCTGGCCAACATGGTGAAACCCCATCTCTACTAAAAAATACAAAAAAAAATTAGCCAGGTGTGGTGGCAGGTGCCTGTAATCCCAGCTGCTTGGGAGGCTGAGGTAAGGAGAATCGCTTGAACCTGGGAGGCAGGGGTTACAGTGAGCTGAGATCGCGCCACTGCACTCCAGCCTGGGCAACAATGTGAGACTCCCTCTCAAAAAAAGGAAAAAAAAGGCCGGGCGCAGTGGCTCACACCTGTAATCCCAGCACTTTGAGAAGCAAGGCGGGCGGATCACAAGGTCAAGAGATCGAGACCGTCCTGGCCAACATGGTGAAACCCCGTCTCTACTAAAAATACAAAAATTAGCTGGGCGTGGTGGCGCGTGCCTGTAATCTCAGCTACTCAAGAGGCTGAGGCAGGAGAATCGCTTGAACCTGGGAGGCAGAGGTTGCAGTGAGCCGGAATTGTGCCACTGCACTCCAGCCTGGCAACAGAGTGTCTCAAAAAAACAAACAAACAAACAAACAAAAAACAGGCAAAGAATGTCTACAAACACAAACTCACCTAGTAGCAAAACCTGATCTGAACTGACAGGAGACTATATATAGTCTTTATATAACCCACGTAGTGTGAATATGCACACATTTCCCTGAAGAAACATCCAAGTGTTTCATTGTGGGCTGCTTGGCTGCTGGCCCAGACCCTGCTTGTGGTATTACATAATATTCATGATACGCGCATTTCCTTATCATAAAATTGTCAAACTTCCCAAACCCTAAATTAATATATAAACTCAGTGCAATGCCAGTCAGAAATTGAATGGGGGTTTTTCCTGGAACCGGATAAAATTATCTTAAGGTTTCTATAGAAGAATTCACATTTAAGAATAGCTAAGACAGGCTGGGCGCGGTGGCTCATGCCTGTAATCTCAGCACTTTGGGAGGCCGAGGTGGGTGGATCACGAGGTCAGGAGATCGAGATCATCCTAGCTAACACGGTGAAACCCTGCCTCTACTAAAAATACAAAACATTAGCCGGGCGTGGTGGCGAGCGCCTGTGGTCCCAGCTACTTGGGAGACTGAGGCAGGAGAATGGCGTGAACCCAGGAGGTGGAGCTTGCAGTGAGCCAAGATTGTGCCACTGCACTCCAGCCTGGGCGACAGAGCAAGACTCCATCTCCAAAAAAAAAAAAAAAGTTAAGACAAAGAACAGTGGGAGGATGGCAAAAGCTTATCGCCTGTAGTCCCAGCTACTAGGGAGGCTGAGGCAGGAGAATGGCGTGAACCCGGGAGGCGGAGCTTGCAGTGAGTTGAGATTGCGCCACTGCACTCCAGCCTGGGCGACAGAGCGAGACTCCATCTCAAAAAAAAAAAAAAATTTGACCACAAAACCACTGTCATAAAAATAACATGGTGTTAGCACAGCAGTAGACAAATAGAGCCCATTGGTAGAATGCAATAGAAAGCCCAGAAATAAATCCAAGCTTGTATATATGGAAACTGAATATGTGACAAACGTGGCATTTCGAATCACTGCAGAAAAGGTGATTATTTAATAAATGATGCTGGCAGGCCGGGCGCAGTGGCTCATGCCTGTAATCTCAGCACTTTGGGAGGCTGAAGTGGGTGGATCACCTGAGGTCATAAGTTCGACACCAACCTGGCCAACATGGCAAAACCTCATCTCTACTAAAAATACAAAAATTAGCTAGGCATGGTGGCGGGCACCTGTAATCCCAGCTATTTGGGAGGCTGAGTCAGGAGAATTGCTTGAACCCAGGAGACGGCGGCTGCAGTGAGCTGAGATTGTGCAACTGCACTCCTGCCTGGGCGATAAGAGTAAAACTTCGTCTCAAAAAAAAAAATTAAATTAAAAAAAATGATGCTGGCATAATTGACTATCTTGATTTTTTTAAAGCTAGGTCTGCTTATCACAATGCTGACAGAGAAAAGATTTATATGTAAAAAAGAAAACAATAAGCATAGTAGAAGAAAATATAGAATATTTGTATAAGCTTATGGATGGGGAACATGTTCCAAAGTAATAGGAGAAACTCAGCCAGGCACAGTGGCTCATGCCTGTAATCCCACCACTTTGGGAGGCCCAGGCAGGTGGATCACTTGAGATCAGGAATTCGATACCAGCCTGACCAACATGGTGAAACTCCATCTCTACTAAAAATACAAAAGTAGCCAGGTGTAGTGGCACATGCCTGTAATCCCAGCTACTTGGGAGGCTGAGGCAGGAGAATCACTTGAACCCAGGAGGCGGAGGTTGCAGTGAGCCGAGATCGCGCCATCGCACTCCAGCCTGGGCAATGAGAGTGAAACTCTGTCCCTCCACCTGCAATAAAAAGGAGAAACTCAGAAATCATAAAGAAAAAGATAGATATCTGTGTAGGCGTGCAATCAAATGTTTAATTTTGATAGGACAAAACAGATCCATCCCGTAAGCAAAGCCAAAAAACAAAAGATCAACTGGGAAAAATATTTGCAGTACCTATGATAGAAAGGAGGTTGGGGGCTGGGCACGGTGGCTCCCGCCTGTAATCCAAACACTTTGAGAGGCCGAGGTGGGTGGATCACTTGAGGTCAGAAGTTCGAGACCAGCCTGGCCAACATGGCAAAACCATGTCTCTACAAAAAATACAAAAATTAGCTGGGCATGGTGGTGCACACCTGTAGTCCCAGCTACTTGAAAGCCTGAGGCAGGAGGAGAGCTTGAGGTCAAGGCTGCAGTGGGCCATATTTGCGTCACTGCATTCCAGCCTTGGTGACAAAGAGAGTCTCAAAAAGAAAAAAGATTCATATCGGAAAAGTACAAATTGGTCAAAGGTCTAGGCTTTGTAATCTCCCAACTGTAGAGGTGACAGAAACTGGCTTTTTCCCAGAAAGAGGGACTGGGCCATCCAAACAGTCCCAACATGTCTGTTGCTTTCACAGCCATGAAAATGATCATGAGAATGCCATTAATATGTCTAATGATAGCTCCATATATTGGACACTTACATATTAATGTGTAGAATACCTTATGTTAAACACATACCGTTTATGTGTACAGACACGCAAATATGAATATACTCACATATGTGGATAAATGTGTGTGTAGGGAGTGTAAATAAGTAAAGGACATGCAAAGTTACACATCAAACCGATTCCCTCGGGGCAAAAAGGGTAGGGTAGGGGATTGAGATTAGGCATAGCGTTCCCAGGAGACTTCAGCATTATTTAAAATGCTTTTATTTTTAATAAGAATGTATTTACTGGGTAATGAAAGATTAGTTTCTCTTAAAAATATGACTCCAATCAAATTCCCGTCAGGATTTTAATGGAATAATAAGCTGATTTATTAAATAAAAAGAACAGTAAGTGAACAAGAATATTCAAGAAAATTTTTTAAAAAGGAAAACATGAAAACATATCATAAAACTATAATGATTAAGGCTGGGTGCGGTGGCTCTTGCTTGTAATCCCAGCACTTTGGGAGGCTGAGGCGGGCAGACTGCTTGAGTCCAGGAGTTCAAGACCAGCCTGGGCAACACGGCGAAACCCTGTCTCTACAAAAAATACAAAAATTAGCTGGGCATGGGGGCATGTGCCTATAGGCCCAGCTACTCAGGAGGCTGACGTGGGACAATTGCTTGAGCCTGGGAGGTGGAGGCTGCAGTGAGCTGAGATTGGGCCACTGCACTCCAGCAAGGATGACAGAGTGAGACCCTGTCTCAAAAAAAAAACAAAAAAAAAACCCTCAAAACCAAACAAACAAACAGAAAACAAACTACTACAATGATTAAAACAACATAGAATTGGCTTATAATTTAATAAATAGATCAACGTAAGAGAATCAGGAATTCAGAAACAGACCGATGTTGTGCAGGAATTTGGTAAATAAGACAGAGGGCTTTTTTTTTTTTTTTTTTGAGATGGAGTCTAGTTCTGTCACTCAGGCTGGAGTGCGGTGGCACGAGCTCGGATCATTGCAACCTCCGCCTCCCAGGCTCAAGCAATTCTCCTGCCTCAGTCTCCCGAGTAGCTGGGATTACAGGCGCCTACCACCACGCCCGGCTAATTTCTGTATTTTTAGTAGAGACAGGGTTTCGCCATGTTTGGCCAGGCTGGTCTCGAACTCCTGACCTCAGGTGATCCACCCGCCTCGGCCTCCCAAAGTGCTGGGATTACAGGCGTGAGCCACGGCGCCTGGCCTAAAAAGATAACCTTTTAAAGATGTATTCCTGCCAGACTACTGGGTGTCTTTCTGTCTGTCTCTCTGCTTTACTGGCATTCGTCCCAGTTCTCATGCACTTGGGGTTTTCTCCACATGTTTCGTAGCCATGCAGATTTGATTTTTTTCCTGAAATAGTGCTACTGTGTCTCTTTAACAGGTGAGGAAAACAAGGCCCAGGGAATTAAGTGACTGACATAAGCACATATGGCTACTCAGTGGCAGAGGTTCCTGTGTGTCTGGCTACCTGGCTTTTCCTATTTGGCTTCCTGCCCATCTCTGTCACTATCTTTCCCTCTGACTCTTGTTTCTCTCTCTCCTCTGTCTCTCTTTTGCAAAGCTGCCAATTTTAACAAGTCCAAAATGTTGTAGAGTTAAATGGTTAAGAACAAGGACTCTGGAGCCAGTTCAGCCACTGCCTGAGTTCAAATCTTGCTCTTCAACTTACTGTCTGTATAACTGGGACGAGTCCTGTCACCTCTCTGAGCCTCAGTTTCCTCATCTATAATATGGGGAAAATGATTGTCCCTACTCTATAGGATTATTTTGACAATTCAGTGAAAAAATATTATGTGCACAGAATGGCCCTAAGTGTTCACTACACATTAGCTAGTTATATGTTATTATGACATCAATAAAGTGCTCGACTCATCCCAAATGGGCACATGAGTTTCCTGAGGCTGGGAACCACATCTTCCACTCCACAACTATTTAAAACAATTTTGAACCTACAATAAAGTTAAAAGAATACACTGAACACCCATACATACTTCATCTAGATCCTCTATTAACATTTTTTTGGGCCACATTTGCTTTATCTCACTCTCTCTGTATATAAACACATTATTTTTGCCAACTTATTTGCAGACATCATGACATTTTACCCCTTCATACTTAACTGTGTCTTTCCCAAGAACAAGGATATTTTCCTTCAATAGATATGATACCACTACCACACTGCTATGGTTTGAATGTGTCCTTCCAAATTCATGTGTTGCAATTTAATTACCAATGTGATCATATTAAGAGGTGGGGGCCTTTAAGAGGTGATTAAGTCCTGAGGGTAGAGCTCTCACAGATGGGATTAGGGCTCTTTTTTTATTTTTTATTTTATTTATTTTTTGAGATGGAGTCTTGCTCTGTTGCCCAGGCTGGAGTGCAGTGGTGCGATCTTGGCTCACTGCAAGCTCCGCCTCCCGGGTTCATGCCATTCTCCTGCCTCAGCCTCCCGAGTAGCTGGGACTACAGGCACCCGCCACCACGCCCGGCTATTTTTTTGTATTTTTAGTAAAGACAGGGTTTCACCGTGTTAGCCAGGGTGGTCTCGATCTCCTGACCTTGTGATCTGCCCGCCTCGGCCTCCTAAACTGCTGGGATTACAGGCGTGAGCCACCGTGCTCAGCCTCTTTTTTTTTTTTTTTTTGAGATGAAGTCTCGCTCTGTCACCCAGGCTGGAGTGCAGTGGCAAGATCTTGGCTCACTGCAACCTCTGCTTTTCGGGTTCAAGCGATTCTCATGCCTCAGCCTCCCGAGTAGCTGGGATTATAGGCATGTGCCACTACACCCGGCTAATTTTTGTATTTTTTTTAGTAGAGACAGGGTTTCACCATGTTGGCCAGGATGGTCTCGAACTCCTGACTTCAGGTGATCCGCCTGCCTCAGCCTCCCAAAGTGCTGGGACTACAGGCATGAGCCACCGTGCCCAGCGGATTTGGGCTCTTATAAAGAGGTTGAGGGTGTGGGTTCACTCTCTTCTGCTCTTCTGTCATGTGAGGATGCAGCAAGAAAGCCCTCACTAGACACACAACCTGCCAGCACCTTGATCTTGGACTTCCCAGTCTCCAAAACTGTGAGAAATAAATTTCTCTTCTTTACAAATTCCTCAGTCTGTGGTATTCTGTTATAGTAGCACAAAACGACTAAGACACACACCCAGGAAATTTAATACTGATACAATTATCTAATGTATGGTCTGTAATCAAATTTTGAGACCACGTCCTAATTTATCTGTGTGCTCGCAGGGACCAGAATAGGCAAGAGTGGAAGAACAAAGATGAGAAGAGAAAAAGTGGCTGAGAGGTCAAGGGAACAAATGAATGAGTGAGCAAGAATACAAACAAATGAATATGGGTGCAGAATGACTGAATGAATAAACACAACTAGCATTATTATAATACGCATTGTTATATTTAGGTATTATAACTGAAATACATAATGCTAAAGCTATACCGTTATACTATATTATAAATCTGCATTATATCTAATTATTACATACATTACTCGGTTATATGTTATAATAGTATAATACAATATAATTATCATTATTAGAGATAACACTTTCTGAGCCTTCATTATGCAGTCATGCACTGTTCCAGGCATTTTATATGAATTTCCCCTCACAATGGTTCTAAGATACAAGGCCTCACAATGGTTCTAAGATACAATTATCTCTTTACAAGTGAAGAAATTGTGGCCTAGTGGCTGAGCCAGGATCTATAGCTAGGATACCTTGCTACCCATCCCACCATGAGGGAGTGTACTGTGAGGGGTAGCATCACCCTATGGGGTAAAGGGGTTCCAGAGCAGTGCTCCTGGGGGCACTGAGTACTCACTGTCCTCCGAGGGCCGAATATCTACACGCAATTGCAGGTAAGGTTTGGAGGCAGTGGCAAAGGCTGTGCTGAGGTCCCAGTCAGATAGAAGTGAGAGGTAAACTTCCTGTCCTAGCCGGTCCCGGCCCAGGTAGCTGATGCCAAAGTTCTTCTTCCTGGACAGGGGATACGAGGGAGCTCTCAGGGCCCCTGGTGCCCTGGAGGCCTCAGGGACAGTTTCCAAAACAAGGAGGGTAATATAGAAGGCGTTGAAAACAACTTCCTACTATGTGCAAGGTACTGTGCCAAGGATTATGGGCAGCCTGAGATCAGGTCATTTATACCCACTTTGTTACACAAACACATACAAGCAGGTACACACCTGCTTGTATCTGGAGGTCACATTGGAAACTGGTAAAATGTTGGCCGGGTGCAGTGGCTCACGCCTATAATCTCCGCACTTTGGGAGGCCGAGGTGGGTGGATCACCTGAGGTCAGGAGTTTGAGACTAGCCTGGTCAACATGGTGAAACCCCTTCTGTACTAAAAATACAAAAAAAATTAGCTGGGTGTGGTGGCAGGTGCCTGTAATCCCAGCTACTCAGGAGGCTGAGGCAGGAGAATCGCTTGAACCTGGGAGGTGGAGGTTGCAGTGAGCCAAGATTGTGGCATTGCACTCCAACCTGGGTGACAGAGCAAGACTCCATCTCAAAAAAAAAAAAAAAAGTTGGTCCCCTCTGGGGTAGATGTGGGACAGAAGTGGGAAGAAAGCAGCCTTCTTACTACATAAAAAAAAAGCAATCTGTGTTTGTTATTTTTCACAACAAAAATGTTTATGTAAGAAAGTCTAATAACAACTAAGAATTTTTCAGCTATACTTGTGCAACTATGTAAAGAAGTTTGTTGCGTGATGCTCATCATAACCATGGAAACATCCTAAATACCCAACAATTGTGTACTGTTTGAATTTCTTACCATGTGTATGTATTCCTCCAAAATCACAACAAAATGACTATCACATCTGCCCCCAAGAGACACCACTTTTCAGCTATCAGATTGGCAAATTTTGCAGTTTTACAGTAACCAATGTTTGCGAGGGTGTGAGGGAAACAGGCATTTATGTGCTGCTGATGAGATCATAAATTCGTTTTTTTTTTTTTTTGAGACGGAGTCTCACTCTGTCGCCCAGTCTGGAGTGCAATGGTGCGATCTCGGCTCGCTGCAAGCTCCGCCTCCCGGGCCCATGCCATTCTCCTGCCTCAGCCTCCCAAGTAGCTGGGACTACAGGCGCCCACCACCACGCCTGGAGAATTTTTTGTATTTTTAGTAGAGACGGAGTTTCACCGTGTTAGCCAGGATGGTCTTGATCTCCTGACCTCGTGATCCACCTGCCTCAGCCTCCCAAAGTGCTGGGATTACAGGCATGAGCCACAGCGCCCGGCTGAGATCATAAATTGATAAAACCTGTCTGGAGAGCATTTTGGAAACACCCATTAATAGTTCAAAAAGCAGGCCAGGTGCGGTGGCTCATGCCTGTAATCCCAGCACTTTGGGAGGCTGAGGCGGGTGGATCACGAGGTCAGGAGATCGAGACGATCCTGGCCAACACGGTGAAACCCCATCTCTACTAAAAATACAAAAATTAGCCGGGCATGGTGGCGCACGCCTGTAGTACCAGCTACTCAGGAGGCCGAGGCAGGAGAATTGCTTGAACTCAGGAGGTGGAGGTTGCAATGAGACGAGATCACACCACTGCACTCCAGCCTGGACGACAGAATGAGACTGTCTCAAAAAAAAAATTTTTTTTAAAGCAAATACCCTTTTACCTGGCAATACCACTGCTAGGAATTTATCCTATGACTAGATGTTTCCAAATACAGTAGTCCCTCTTTATCTACAGGGGATACATTCCAAGACCCCCCCGAGTGGATGCCTGAAACTGCAGATAGTACCAAGCCCTATATATACTATGTTTTTTTTCATATACATACATACCTATGATAAGGTTTAATTGATAAATTAGGCACAGTAAGAGATTAACAATAATAGAACAATTATGACAATACAGATGCTTCTTGACTTATGACAGGGTTATGTACCAATAAACTCATCGTAAGTTGGAAATACTGTAAGTTGACAATGCATTTGGCTGGGCGCAGTGGCTCACCTGTAATCCCAGCACTTTGAGAGGCTGAGGCGGGCGGATTGCTTGAGCTCAGGAGTTTGAGACTGCCCTGGGCAACATGGCGAAACCCTGTCTCTACTAAAGATACAAAAAATTGGCCGGGTGCGGAGGCTCACGTGCCTGTAATCCTAACACTTTGGGAGGCCGAGGTGGGCGGATCACTTGAGATCAGGAGTTTGAGACCAGCCTGACCAACCTCATGAAAATTAGCTGAGTGTGGTGGTGCACACCTGTAATCCCAGCTACTCTGGAGGCTGAGGCATGAGAATCACTTGAACCCGGGAGGCAAAGGCTGCAATGAGCCAACATCGGACCACTGCACTCCAACCTAAGTGACAGAGTGAGACTCTGTCTCCAAAAAAAAAAAAAAGAGAAGATCAAAAAACTATCTGGGACTGGGTGCGGGGGCTTACACCTGTAATCCTAGCACTTTGGGAGGCCGAGGTGGACAGGTAACTTGAGGTCAGGTGTTCGAGACTAGCCTGACCAACATGGTGAAACCTTGTCTCTAATAAAAATACAAAAATTAGCAGGCGTGGTGGTGCGTGCCTGTAATCCCAGCTACTTGGGAGGCTGAGGCAGGAGAATCACTTGAACCCGGGAAGCGGAGGTTGCAGTGAGCTGAGACTGCGCCACTGCACTGCAGCCCGGGGGACAAGAGCAAAACTCCGTCTCAAAAAAAAAAAAAAAAAAAATTATCCGGGCATAGTGGTGCATGCCTGTAGTCCCAGCTACTTGGGAGGCTGTGACAGGAGAATCACTTGAACCTGGGAGATGTCACTGCACTGCAGCCTGGGTGACAGTTAGACTCCATCTCAAAAAAAAAAAAAAAAAGAAATAAAAAGGAAAATGCATTTAACACATTTATCCTACCAAACATCACAGGTTAGCCTAGCCTACCTTAAACGTGCTCAGAACGCTCACATTAGCCTACAGTTGGGAAAATCATCTAACACAGAGTCTGTTTTACAACAGTGTTGAATATTTCATGTAATTTATTGAACACTGTACTGAAAGTGAAAAGCAGAATCGCTGGGCACTTGCAGTACAGTTTCTACCAAATGCGTATCGCTTTTGCACCATTGTAAAGTTGAAAAATCCTAAGTCCAGTTATTGTAAGTTGGGGACTGTCTGTAAACTGTAATAAAAGTAATATGAATGTGGTCTCTCTCTCTCTCTCAAAATATCTTATTGTATGTAATATTTGCAGACTGAGGTTGACCATGGGTAACTGAAACTGCAGAAAGCAAAACCACAGACAAAAGTAGACTACTGTGCTCCAAGACATGCATACGTGGCTGTTCACTGTGGGATTATTTGTAGTAGTAAAATAAACAAAAACCCTACCAAACAAAGGCCAGATAGCCACTGTAGAGGTCGGTGGCCCACTGGCCAGTCCCCAGCATCTTCCCACTCACCCACTCAAATCAAAGGCTCGGATGAGGATGTGCTGCAACACGTCGAGCGAGGTGATCTGGGGATCTACAGCAAAAGAGCGGAACTCTGGCGGCAAGAAGCTCTCACATTTCTGGGGAGAGAAGACATGGGGTAGGCCACCAGGGGCCCCATCACCATGCTGAAGAGTGAGGTGCAGAGTGGTAGAAGGCAAAGTCAGAGAGGTGCCAGGGGCCAGATCAAGGCAGGTGTTCTGGACCACAGGGTCCAGTGAGGAGGAGGCT
This sequence comes from Homo sapiens, assembly GCF_000001405.40. Taxonomy (NCBI): domain Eukaryota; kingdom Metazoa; phylum Chordata; class Mammalia; order Primates; family Hominidae; genus Homo; species Homo sapiens. The sequence continues at coordinate 48,541,181 of NC_000023.11, read as the reverse complement.
ACTGCAAGAGTTCAGGCCCCCAATCCTTCTTCTATATCCCTTCAACTATGGTTGCCAGAATCACCGTGTCCAGTCTGGCTCCTGTTAAATCAGTCCTCTATGGTGCTGTAACCAATCTAACACATCTACCTACAACACTCCCCTGCTTCAATCTCTTCAATGGCAACCCTAGAGTCCCAGCAAGCGGGCCTATGGGGCCCCAGCCAGCCTCTCACCAGGTTTTTTGAACTTTACACTCTAGTAGTACCAAACTGTTAGAAGTTACCTTGAAACCATCCTGACTCCAGGCCATTGATTGTGCTGATCCCCTGTCTGGAACATCCCTCCCACTTTCTTCACGTGGTTCACGCCCAGCTCAGGCATCATCTTTTTTCTGAATGTCAAACTTCTACCTTAGAGCTCTATTACACTGAAGTGATGTGTGGACCCTCTTATCACTGCCAGTGCCACTGGTTGGTCGGAGCCACCATCATTGTTTACTGGAACTATGGCAACAGCGTTCTTCCTCAGCATACACACCAAAGGCCCTTGGCGATCTGTCTCTGTCTTAGCGCTCTGATTCACCTCCTACCACTCTTCCCCTCATTCTCTCCACTCCAGCAATCAGGAACCTACGGGAACATGCCAGGCTCATTCCCATCCTCTAGTCTTTGCCCTTGCTATTCCTTCTGCCTAGAATACTCTTCCCTTCTAATATGCACATGGCTGACTCCTTTTATTCGGGTCTCTGCTCCTTCAATACCTCCTCTGGGGATTTCCCTGTACAACCTTGGCTAACGTGACTCCCTATTTCATAACCTTTTTCATTATTTTAGTGTCCGAAGCATCTCATTTCTTTAGTTGTCTCCACCCACGAGCCTGTCAGCTCATCAAAGTGGGAACTTGCACATAAGTGCACTCTCAACACATGGGTTGACTGACTCCAGAGCCAGCACCTTCTCATTCCTCAGAGCCCCACCCTCAACTACTGCGGCCCCTCCTCCAGCCCCATAGCCCCTCCCCTTTGTCTATAAGCTCCACCCATTCATCCCATAGACCCCCGCCTCGTCCCTCTATTTTCAGTCCCACGCCCCAAGGTACGTCGCTAACGCTCTCAGGCTCTCAGGCCCTCCCTACCCCTCGCCATCATCACTTGGCCCTCAAGCTTCGCCGCTCAGGTTATGTCCGAAATCTCAGGTCCCGCCCTCCATCCTATGACAGCCACCGCCTCCCCCTCCCCTGGGATGCCTCGGCGGCTGGGCCGACTCACCGCCAGCCTCACCTTGACTCGGACCCGCACCACCTCTCGCTCCTCCTCCTCAGCGGCCGCCGCCGCCTGAGCTCCCACACCGGGCGGGGGCGCTCCGGAGCCAGACAAGTCCGAGGCCCCGGAGGCTGTTGCCATCCCGCCGCCGCCCGTCTCAGGGTGACGGCTGACCGTTGCCCCCCACCCCGGCGCACACTCTACTGTACTGACGCCCGCCGCCCCACCTCGTGCCGGGGCGCAGGCGCAGAGGGCGCCGCGCGACCCTACCCCCCACCGTCCCTCCCACCTGGCCCTGCCTGGAGGTCGCCTCTGCGCCTGCGCCTAGAGTGCTGTTGCCAGGAGCCCCGCCCCCAAAAGTCGGGCATTTTGCTCTATTTCAGCTAGCGTGCAGACGCCTACTGAGGCCCCGCCTCCCCCAGCCCCGTGGTTTGGTTGTTTTGACAGCATACTTCCGGATTCACGGAGGTGTTAAACTGACGCCTCGTTCGCCAAGAGAAGGGGGCGGGGAAAGGAAGAGGCTGCGTGATGACGTCAGGCCCACACCCCGCCTCAAGTTGCCTCACGCCTCTGCTGGCAGATGATGTCATCTATTTCAAATACCAGTGGCCCTCGCTTCAAATGAATCCACTGAACAGAAAAAAATCCTTTTTTTTTTTATTTTTTTAGGCAGGGTCTCGCTCTGTCATCCAGGTTGGAGTGCAATGGCGCGATCACAGCTCACTGTAGCCTCAAAGTGAGCTATGATCAAGCGATCCTCCTGCCTCAGCCTCCCAAGAGCTGGGACTACAGGCGCGTGCTACCACGCCCAGCCAATTTTTGTATATCTTGTATAAACAGGGTTTAGCTGTGTTGCCCAGGCTAGTCTCGAACTCCTGACCTCAAGTGATCCACCCGTCTCGGCCTCTCAAAGTGTTGGGATTACAGGTGTGAGCCACAGCCCTCGGGTAAAGTGTTTTTAAAAATATACTCAGCAGGGTGCAGTGGCTCACGCCTTATAATCTCAGCACTTTGGGAGGCCGAGGCGGGCTGATCGCTTGAGCCCAGGAGTTCTAGACCAGCCTGGGCAACACAGCGAGACCCCGTCTCTAACAAAAAATTAAACAATTAGCTGGACGTGGTGGCGCACACCTGCAGTCCCAGCTACTCGGGAGGCTGAAGCGGCAGGATGGCTGAGCCCAGGAAGTCAAGGCTGCAGTGAGCGGTGATCACACCACTGCCCTAACCTGCACCACAGAGCAAGGCCCTGTTTCAAAAAAAATTAATAATTTATACCCTGACTTAGTAAGGTCAGATAAAACAGGAAAATGGTTTACACATTGTGAAAATTCATGGAGATTTTGTACACTGATGATTTTTGTACTTCCTGTATGAATGTTATACTTCATTAAATAATTTGCCCCCAAAAAACACTATTATGCTCTCTGGAGTTCTAGCTTTTTAGTTTGCCTTTGTCTGAAACTTGACGAGATCATACTTTCCCAAGTTTACACATCTAGGAGGCAAATTTCCAGGTAATTCAACTCCAGGAAGGACACTAATGCTTCTAATTGAAACCCAGGAAGAAGTTAACAATCAAGCCTTCAGAAGGCAGAAAGCGAGACAGACCCAGGGAGCTCAGCAGCATATCTCTAAAGCTCTGCCATTATTGAACCAGCTCAAAGGATCCCCGGTCTTTGTGTCCCTTTTCCAAGTTTCACATTCTCAGATCTTGGGGAATCACTGAATCACTGGAAAAGCCCTCTGTCCAGCTTGGTCTAGAGATTTCTTTGAAACCTGACTAAAATGTTGGTACTGACTGCCAGGGACCAGTTGAAAGAGAAGTGGCCAGGCTCAACTACGAACCAATCAATGGGGCCCAAATGATACCATCTATAAAAGATCAGCTTTTTGGGGTCCCAGAGCAGGGTGGATAATGGATCCGGAAGAGCAAATGGGGAATGCCCAGCAGAGCATGCAAAAGGCTCAGCAATGTGCTGAGCACATAGTTAGTGATCAAAACAATGAATGGAAGAAGCCAAGAATAAATGAAGAAAAATTTTAAAAAATAAACTGAGTCAGGCACAGTGGCTCACACTTGTAATCCCAGCACTTTGGGAGGCCGAAGTGGGAAGATCGCTTGAGCCGGGGAGTTTGAGACCAGCCTGGGCAACATAGGAAGACCCTGTCCCTACAAAATTAAAAAAAAAAAATTAGCTGGGTCTGATGGTGCGCACCTGTGCTCCTAGCTATTCGGGAGGCTGAGGTGGGAGGATTACTTGAGCCTGGGAGGTCCAGGCTGCAATGGAGTTGTGATCACGCCACTACACTCCAGCCTGGGTGACAGAGTGAGAACCTGATTAAAAAAAAAAAAAAGCCCACAAAACTTTGCTTTTGTCTTACCTAATCTTCATAACATGTTAAGGTTGGTCCTGTTCTTAAATGGTGTATGTCTACTAGATATTGGCTGAATTATTGAATATATCTTAGACTCTTCTGAGAAACTTTATATGTGGCAAAATGCAAAAAGGCAGTCTTCCCACTTAATTGCACAACATCCGTGCGGTTTGGACAAAATACAGGCTGCACTTACAAATGTTATTTCTGGCCGGGCACAGTGGCTCACGCCTGTAATCCCAGCACTTTAGGAGGCCGAGGCGGGCGGATTACGAGGTCAGGAGATGGAGACCATCCTGGCTAACACGGTGAAACCCCGTCTCTACCAAAAATACAAAATAATTAGCCAGGCGTGGTGGCGGGCGCCTGTAGTCCCAGCTACTCGGGAGGCTGAGGCAGGAGAATGGTGTGAACCTGGGAGGCGGAGCTTGCAGTGAGCCGCCACTGCACTCCAGCCTGCACTCCAACCTGGGCAACAGAGCGAGACTCCGTCTCAAAAAAAAAAAGTAAACAAAAAACAAAAACAAATGTTATTTCCAACAAAGGAGTCTTGTAAGATACTAGCACTCCAACTATTGTGTCCGTGTCATATGGACGCAACCCTCAAGGTTAACTTTTTAGGTAAGTCTGCAATTCTATTTTGGTGTCTTTTAAGACAACATGTTGCCTTGGTATTAACATTAAATAGATATCTCTATTTTTAGAAGGTATAAATAATGGGGATTTTCTCTGAAAGCCAGAAAAGGATTATTGGCATGTCTCTCTTGCCCCATGTGTTTAGAGTCAAAATCACTTATAGCACTGCTGGATTTTCTGATGGAAACAAGGAGTAAGAGCCTGCTTTTCATTTATCATAGGGTGGGATGTGCAAACCATTAGCCTGGAGTTTGGAATCGATCCTAAGGACACTGGGGCAAAGGTTTAGACAGGGGTATGATGTGGTCAGATGCCTCTGTCTTGGTCCTGGGGAGAGCTTTGGATGGAAAGATACTGGAAGCAAGGAGATCAAAAAGGAGGTCCTTGCCATAGTCCTGGGGAGAACTTTCTTTTTTGTTTATTCATTCTTCCATTCAACAAATATAAAGTATATGCTAGGCAGTCTACATAAATTAATTCTTATAATCTGCATAAAAACCCTATGAGGTAGTATCTTAGTCCATTTTTCTGTTGCTATAATCAAATACCCAAGACTGGGTAATTTATAAAGAAATTTGAGAGGCTGAGGTGGGAGGATTGCTTTGAGGCCAGTTCAAAACAGCCTCAGCAACATAGCAAGACCCTGTCTCTACAAAAAAATTTAAAAATTAGCTGAGCATGGCAGTATGCCTGTAGTACTAGCTACTTAGGAGGCTGAGGCAGGAGGATTGCTTATGCTCAGAAGTTTGAGGCTGCAGTGAGCTGTGATCATGCCACTACACTCTAGTCTGGGTGACAGAGTGAGACCCTGTCTCTAAAAACAACAACAACAACAACACCCCCCCCCCACCAAAAAAAAAAAAGAAAGAAAAGAAATTTATTTCTTACAGTTCTGGAGGCTGGGAAGTCCATGGTCAAGGAGTCACATCTGGTGAGGGCCTTCTGCTGGTGGGGCCTCTCTGTGGAGTGGCGAGGCAGAGCAGGGCATCACATGGTAAGGGTGCTGACCTTGCTAGCTCAGATCTGTTTCTCCTCTTAGAAAACCACTAATGCCCCACCCTTATGACCTCATCTAATCTAATCCTAATTACCGCTCAAGGTCCCATCTCTCAAATACCGTAGTCAGATTTCCCACCTCCTTAATTCTGTTAAAAAAGAGATTTAGTTTCAACATGAGTTTTGGAGGGGAGAAACATTCGAACCATAGCAGGTAGGTGTTATTACTCTAAGCATTCTACAGATTAGAGTACTGAAAGCCAGGGAGAAACAAGCTCAAGGTCAAAGGGGGTAGTGTCACAGAGAGTAGGCAGTGCAATGGATGGAACTTGGGGCTATGCCTGTTGTGTTTGAGGAAAAGCAAGGAAGTCAGCATGCCTTTAAGTAGAGTGAATGATAGGTGAGTGACAGCAGACGAGGTGAGAATAGAGTGAGATCATGCAGGGCTTTGACCTTAACAGTGAGGCATTTCTCCAAAGCTATATACTGTAGGCCTAAGCAGAGCCAGGATTTGAACTGAAGTCCACAGGTCACTTGATATTTCTTTTTTTGAGACGGAGTTTTGTTCTTGTTGCCCAGGCTTGAGTGCAATGGTGCAGTCTCAGCTCACTGCAACCTCTGCCTCCCGGGTTCAAGTGATTCTCCTGCCCCAGCCTCCCAAGTAGCTGGGATTACAGGTGCCTGGCACCACACCTGGCTAATTTTTTTGTATTTTTAGTGCAGAAGGGGTTTCACCATGTTGGCCAGGCTGGTCTTGAACTCCCAACCCTCAGGTGATCTGCCCGCCTCAGCCTCCCAAAGTGTTGGGATTACAGGAGTGAGCCACTGTGCCCGGCCTTACAGAGGTCACTTGAAGCCAGTCTACAGGTATCTGTGGTTTTATTATTTATTCTTTTCCATCTCTTCAAAACTTCTCAAGTACCCAGTTGTTTTATGATGGAGGGTCTATAAGGTAATGATAGACGGCAGGATGAGTGATGGGGGTCTGTAGAGTAAGTGAGGGGTGTCTGTTGGGTGAATAATAGCAGGTCTGTGGAGAGTGACGGAGGATCCCTGGGGTGGATGGGAGTCTGTGGGTACATGATAGGTGCACTATGAGGTAAGTCATGGGGGTCTGAGGGGTGAATGATGGCATCTGTGGGTGAGTGATGGGGTGTATATGGTGGATTGTGGAGGACCGTGAGTTGAGAGATGGGATGGTGGTGTGAGTGATAAGGGGTCTGTGGGATGAGAGATGGACTCTGTGGGTTGAGTGATGGCTTCTGCAAGGTGAGTTATGGGATGCTTATAGGGTTAGTAAAGGGGCATCTGTAGGATGAGTGGTGGGTCTGTGGTGTCAGTGATAGGGGTTGTTAGGGTGACTGATGAGGGGCTTCTGGGGTGAGTTATGGGATCTTCAGAGTGAAGATTTTGGGGGTGATAGGGGCCTGTGGGGGTGAGTGATGGGGTTGAGGTCTGTGTGGTGAGTTACGGGGTTTCTGTGGGGTCAATAATGGGCAATCTGTGAAACGAATGAATGTGTGTTGGTAGGGAGAGTGATGGGTATCTTAGGAGTTGATGGGGTATGTGGGAAGAGTGATGGGGGATCTGTGGGGTGGCTTATCAGAAGCCAAGAGGCTGAGTGATGGAATATATGTGGTAGGAGTGTTGGGGGCTCTGTGAGGTGAGAGCTGTGGCATCTGTGGGGTGAGTGATGGGGAGTGTCATGAACTGAATGATGTCCTCCTCCCCAAATTCATATGTTGAAGCCCTAATATCAGGGGAACCAGCCCCCAATATTTCAACATAATGTCACTATATCTGAAATAGAGCCTTTAAGGAGGTAATTAAGGTTAAATGAGATTATAAGGGTGGGGCCCTAATTCAGTAGAACTGGTATCCTTATAAGAAGAGGGACACTGGGCATGAGTGCACAGAGAAAGGGCCACGTGAGGACACAGCAAGAAGGTAGCCATCTGCAAGCCAAGGAGAGAAACCCCACCAGACACCAACCCTGATGGCACCTTGCACTTGGACTGTCCAACCTCCCGAAGTGTGAGAAACTGTTTGTTGTTTAAGCCACCTGGTCTGTGGCATTTTGTTACGGAAGCCAGAGCCGACTAACACAGGGGAGGATTAGGGTCTGTGGGGTTAGCGATGGGGCCTCTCTGGAAGGTATGATCAGGGGATAATAAACTGAGTAATAGGGATCTGTGGGGTAGTGACGGGGTCTGTAGGGTCATGAGGAGCCTGTGGAGTGAATGGGGTATTGAGTGGCGAGTGGCAGGATTCTGTGGGATTAATGATGGGGGCTGTGGGGCAAGTCTGTAGGGGGAGTGAAGGAGGACTTTGAGGAATGGGGGATCTGTAGATGGCTGATGAGGATCTATGGGGTGACGGGGGCATCTGTGGGGTGGGGGAATGACTGGGGGTCTGTAGGGGTGCTGATGTGCTAGCTCATAAGGTGAGAGGGCTTTGTGGTGTGAGAGATGGAGGGCCTGTGAGATGAGTGGGAGGCACCTGTGGGGTTAGTAATGGGGTGTCAATGGGATGAGTGATTAGAGCTCTGTAGAGTCAGTGATGAGTGAGTCTGTAGAGTGAGTGAAGTGATTAGGGGCCAATAAGCTGAATGATCCAGGGGTGGAGTCTGTTGGATGAGTAATGTGGCTCTGTGAGGTGAATGACGTGAATATGTAGGGTTCACGATAGGGCCTGTGGGGTGAGTGATGGGGGATCTTTAGGGTTTGTGATGGGAAGTCTATAGGGTGGGTGTTGGGGGGGTCCATGTGGCAGCAATGCAGGGGAATCTGTGGGCTGAGTAATCAGGGCATGTGATGGGGGTTTGTGGGGTGAATGATGGAAGATCTGTGAGGCTAAGTATTAGGGAGTGAGTGGGGTGAGCACAGAGCGGTATTACTGACTGAATGGTATCTCCCCAAAATTCATGCTGAAGCCCTAACCCCCAATACTTCAGAATGTGACTGTATTTGAAAATAGGGCCTTTCAAGAGGTGATTAAGTTAAAATGAAGTTGGTGAAGGCGGGTCCCAATCCACTCTGGCTGGTGTCCCTATAAGAAGAGATTAGGACACCGACATGCGCAGGCAGAGGGAAGACTGTGTGAGGACATGGCGAGAAGGTGACCATCTACAAGCCTCAGGGGACACTAAACTGGTTGACACCTTGAACTTGGATTTTCCGCCTCCAGAACTCTGAGGAAATAAATTTCTGTTGTTTAAGCCACCAGGTATGTGGCATTTTGTTATGGCAGTTTTAGAAAACTGACACAGATTTTGGTCCTGGGAAGTGGGGTGCTGCCATAATAAATACCTAAAACATGGAAGTAGCTTTGGAACTGGGTAATGGGTAGAGGCTGAAAGAGTTTTGAGGTGCATGTTAGAAAAAGCCTATGTTGCTGCTATGATCTTAATATTTGTGTCCCCCCAACCTCCAATTCCTATGTTGAAACCTAATCCCCAGTGTAATGATATTAGGAGGTGGGGCCTTTGGGAGGTGATTAGGTCATTCCCTTATAAGGGATGAAGGGACCGGAGTTCTACCCTCCCACCATATAAGGGTACAGAGGGAAGGAGCCATCTGTGAGGAAGCAGGCCCTCACTAGACACTGAATTTGCCAACACCTTGATTTTGGACTTCCCAGACCCCAGAACTGTGAGAAATAAATTTCAGTTGCCTATAAGCTACCCAGTTTATAGTATTTTGTCAGAGCAGTCCAAATGACTAAGACAATTATCTTGAAGGCTACTGGTAGAAATATGGATGTTGAAAGTGCTTCTGGTGAGGCCTCAGAAGGAAATGAGGAATATGTTATTGGAAAATGGAGGGAAGGCAAAGAACTTGGTTAATTGTATTCTAGTGTTTTGTGGAAGGTAGAACTTGTGAGAGGCGAACTTGGGAGATTTAGCTAAGGAGATTTCTAAGCAGCATATTATGTGGCCTTTTTCTCCTTGCTGCTTCTAGTAGAATGCAAGAGGAAAGAGAGAAATTGCAAAAGAAATTGTCAGGCAGAAGGGAACTCGAATGTGAAGATAAAAAAGTTCTCAGCCTATCCAACACTGCAAAAGCTGAGAATGTGTTCTGGTGAGAAGACAAAGGGTGTGGCTAAACAATCATGCCACAAAGAGATCATGGGTGTGACTCACTGACCTAATCAGCCATCTTGGCAGAAGCCAGGAATACAGATGGGTAATACCAGCAGAAACACGGCCAGCTGGGACTAAAGAGGACAGAGATGGGACAAAATGAAAGAAGACTGTAGGACTTCTGGGATTCAACAGGACACGACAACAGAGCTTTCTGGCTGTGAACATGCATTATACTTCAAGAAAAAGGGAGAATGATCCCAAAGGTGGGGCTGTCTCCTCCTCAGTTCCAGAGGGCAAAGAGGCCTCCTCTGTTTCAGTGGGCCAGGCTGCCACCCAGGGCTCAGGGAGAGACACCGCCTCTCCAGTGAACCAGGAAAGTGGGGCCCCCAATCTGGTGGGCCCAGAGGACAGAACATAGAGCCAAACAGGATTATTCTCAAGCCTTAAAAATCTAATAGAATTTGCCCTATTTGGTTTCAAACTTATTCGGAACCTGTGATCCCTGTTTTTTCTCCTGAGACAGGGTCTTGCTCTGTCGCCCAGTCTGGGGTGCACTGGTGAGAAGAGGGCTCACTGCAGCCTCGACCTCCTGGGCTTAATCAATCCTCCCACCTCAGCCTCCTGAGGAGCTGGGACTATAGGCATGTACCACCATACCTGGCTAATTTTTTAGTTTTTTGTAGAGGCGGGGTTTCACCATGTAGCCCAGGGTGGTCTCAAATACCTGGGCTCAAGTGACCCTCCCATCTCAGCCTCCCAAAATGCTGGGATTACATGCGTGAGTCACCACGCCTGGACTGTGATCCCTTTCTTCTTTGTGATTTCTCCTTTTTGGAATGGAAATATCTATCTAGCTTATGCTTGTCCTACCACTGAATTTTGGAAGCAGATGATTTATCTGGTTTCACGGGTTCACAGCTAGAGAAGAATTTTTGCATCAGGATGAATCATACCTCCAGTCTCATTTACACTTGATTTGGATGATATTTAGGTAAGACTTGGGACTGAAAGTTAATGCTAGACTTGATTAAGAGCTTTCAGAGTGGCTTATGGCACAGTGAATTATGCCTATAATCCCAACACTTTGGGAGGCTGAGGTGGGTGGATCATCTGAGGCCAGGAGTTCAAGACCAGCCAGGCCAACATAGTGAAACCCTGTGGTTGCAGTGACCTGAGATCGTGCCGTTGCACTCCAGCCTGGGCCACAGAGCAAGACCCTGTCTCCAAAAAAACAAAAGAGAGTTTTGGGCTGCTGGGATGGGGGTGAAGGTATTTTGCATGCAAGGACATGAATTCTGGGAGGCCAGAGAGAGCAGAATGTTATAGACTGAACTGTGTCCTCCCCAAATTCATATGTTAAAGCCCTAACCCCCAATACCACAGAATGTGACTATATTTGGAGATAGGGACTTTAAAAGGGTGGTTAAGTTAAAATGGGACTCATAGAGTGGGCCTAATCCAATACAAATGGTGCCCCCCACTTTTTTTTTTGGGACAGAGTCTCACTCTGTTGCCCAGACTGGAGTGCAGTAGTGCCATGATGTTGGCTCACTGCCACCTCAACTTCCCAGGTTCAAGTGATTCTCCTGCCTCAGCCTCCCAAGTAGCTGGGATTACAGGCATGTGCCACCATGCATGGCTAATTTTTGTATTTTTAGTAGAGATGGAGTTTTACCATGTTGGCCAGGCTGGTCTCAAACTCCTGACCTCAGGTGATCCACTTGTGTCAGCCTGGGATTATAGGCATGAGCCACTGTGCCTGACTGGTGCCCACCCCCCACCTCCTTTTTTTTTTTAAGACAGGCTCTCACCGTGATCATGGCTCACTGCAGCCTACACCTCCCTAGCTCAGATGATCCTCCCACCGTGGCCTCATGATGCCCAGCTAATTTTCAAAATTTTTTTTGTAGAGATGGGGTTTCACCATGTTGCCCAGGCTGGTCAAATGGTGTCCTCATAAAAGGAAATTTGGGCTAGGCATGGTAGTTCACACCTGTAGTCTCAGCTACTTGGGAGGCTGAGGTGGGAGGACCACTTGAGCCTAGGAGTTTGAGATCAGCTTGGGCAACATAGTGAGACCCCATCTCTACAAAAAATTGAAAAAATATTGCCGGACATGGTGGTTCACACCTGTAATCCTGGCACTTTGGGAGGCAGAGGCGGGTAGATCACCTGAGGTCGGGAGTTCGCGACCAGCTTGACCAACATGGAGAAACCCCGTCTCTACTAAAAATACAAAATTAGCTGAGCATGGTGGCACATGCCTGTGATCCCACCTACCCGGGAGGCTGAGGCAGGAGAATTGCTTTAACCCAGGAGGCAGAGGTTGTGGTGAGCCAAGATCGTGCCATTGCACTCCAGCCTGGGCAACAAGAGTGAAACTCCGTCTCAAAAAAAAAAAACAAAACAAAAATTAGGTATAATGGCATGTGCCTGTTGTCCCAGTTACTTGGAAGGTTGAGGTGGGAGGATCACTTGAGCCCAGGTGTTTGAGACCAGCCTGGGCAACATAGTGAGAGTCCATTGCTATAAAAAAAAATAAATATAGCCATGTGTGGTAGTGCACACCTGTAGTCCCAGCTACTTAGGAGGCTGAGGCAGGAGGATCGCTGGAGCCAGGGAGGTAGAGGCTGCAGTGAACCATGATCATACCACTGCACTCCAGCCTGACACAGAGCGAGGCCCTGTCTCAAAAAAAAAAAAAAAAAAAGGAAATTTGGACACACAGAGAGACACCAGGGACAGGGACGCTAGTTCATAGAGACCATGTGAGGACACTGAGAAGGTGGCCACCTGCAAGCTACGGACAGGGGCCTCAGGAGAAGTCAAACCTGCTGACACCTTGATCTTGGACTCCAGAACTGTGAGAAAATGAACTTCGGTGGTTTAAGCCTAGTCTGTGGCATTCTGTTATGGCAGCTCGAGTTAAGACCAGGGGACTGTGGGGCCAGTGATAGGGTCTGTGTAGTGAGTTATGGGGTCTGGCGGGGGGTCAGTGATAGGGGTTTGTGAGGTCAGAGGTGGGAGGTCTTTAGATGCTGATGGGGGTCTGGAATAAGTGAATGATGGTGGGATCTGTGGGGTCAGTCATAGCGCATCTCTGGGGTTAGTAATTAAGGATCTCTCAGTGTTAGAGTCAAGATCTTTTATTTCCTGATTTTAAAAATCGTCACCATCATAGACCTCCTGGCTTCTCTTGTATCTGTGTTCTAATGGCTCCCAGCAGTGCCTTCACACAGCCCCTTTATTCCCCTTCTTGTGCCTGCCCATGAGCCTGAGTGTGACAGATCAATTAGCTTTGTCCCTCCAAACTGTGGGAGCAGGACTAGACTCTTCTGGCAGGCAGAGAGCTCCTCCTCGGCCAGTGTTCGAGCCTGGTCCACCACTCCTCAGTTCTTCTTGCTCTTGGCTTTTGTGGCCTTGGCATCCAGCGTGCTCTGGGCATGAGTGAGGTGCTTCACAGCATCAAGCACAAGGACTCCAGGCAGCACCAGCCACAGGGCATTCATGAAGACAAAGTAAAACCAGAAGTAGAGAGGGTGGCCCAGCTCTCCGTGCTGGAATCCGTCGCGGTGCTCTGTCAGGAAGTAGAGCACATCCCCATAGATCTGGCCTGTGGGTGGCAGGAGGGGAAGGAGAAGCCCCAGTGAGGAAGGGGACACTTTCGCCAATTCTCTATTCCAAAGCACTTTCCAAGTCATCATTCAAGGTCTCAGAGCTAAGTATTCTGAAATCACAGAGCTGAAAATCTGAGAAATCAGAAAAGTGAGATTCCAGACACCAGAGAGCTGAGAATTTCAGAACTCAGGAGAGCTCACACCTTCAGATTTAAGGAAGTTCAAAATCCTCAAATCCAAGACAGCTTAGGATTCTGGGACTAAAGATAACTCATATCGCTAGAACTAAAGAAAGCTAACAATTTAATAACACAAGATGACTGAGGCCGGGCACAGTGGCTCACACCTGTAATCCCAGTACTTCGGGAGGCCAAGCCAGGAGGACTGTTTGAGCTCAGGAGCTTGAGACCAGCCTGGGCAACATGGCGAAACCCCATCTCTACTAAAAATACAAAAGTTAGCCAGGCACGGTGGCACATGCCTGTAGTCCCAGCTACTCAGGAGACTGAGGCAGGAAGATCGCTTGAGTCTGGGAGGTGGAGGTTGCAGTGAGCCGAGATCACACCATAGCACTCTGGCCTGGGTGACAGAGCCAGACCCTGTTTTAAAAAAAATATGACAGAATCTTACATGAAGGGATCTCAGAGCCCTGATCCTGGAGGTTCCAGGGGCTTCTTGCCACCCTGGGCCACCTCATGTAACCTTCACAGGAGACTTTGTGATGGAGAAGGAGGAGGAGGAAGAAAAATGAACCCTCCCCACCTGAGAGTGCAGGCTCAGAGAAGGGCATGACCTTTCCAGAGCCTCAGGGGGTTTGTCATTCAGTCTGACTTACCCCTGGAAGGGCACCGTTGAGAGATCCCACCCACAGGGATACATCTGTGTCTGTGGATCCCCCATCAACCCCTCTAGTGCCCAGTGCCCCTCTAGTGCCCTTTCCTTACCCACAGAGACCACAAGCTGTAGAATGAAGCGGAGGGGATGCTGGCGGAGAAAGGCGATCACCACCCACAGGCTGAGTGGTCCCCACAGGCAAGCTGTGATGGTTTCCATGCACACTGTGAAGTTGTCACCCCTGCAGGAGAAAGCATGAGGGGACACTGGTATCGGTGTGCTCTTCCTACAGGTTAGCCCATTAGTGCTCCCCAACTCACCACCCCCCGAAAACCAATGCCAGTCTCCATTGACAGAGGCAAACACTTACAGGATGTATCGGCTGTCTCCCTTGGCATACTCTTTCCCTGAAGAAAAGAAGAGAGAGATATGAAGAATAAAGGCAGTGAAAGGAACACACACTTGTGAGAGCTGGGGGTCCCTGCAAGAAGACAGACTTCATAACCTTCCCATGCGTCTGCTTCCTCATCCGTGAAATGGGGTAACTGTTTGGATTCTAGTGGTTTATTTCTCTAAAACAAGGTAATATGTGTAAAGCCTGACACAAAACAGTGTGGCTGTGATTGGTACTCAAGAAGTGTGTGTGGTATAAAAGGAAGCAGGTGTAGATGATGGAGTGAGTGAAGTAGCCAATGAGAGAGAGAGAATGTAGGTGAACAGATGAGTGAATACAAGAGTGAGCAGAGAATCAGAAAGAAAAAGACCGCCGGGCACGATGGCTCATGCCTGTAATCCCAACACTTTGGGAGGCTGAGGTGGGATGATGGCTTGCATAAAGGAGTTCAAGACCAGTCTGAACAATATAGTGAGACCCCCAACTCTATAAAACATACAAAAATTAGCTGGACGTGGTGGCACGTGCCTACAGTCCCAGGCTGCAGTGGGAGGATGTCTTGAGCCCAGGAGGTTGAGGCTGCAGTGAGCTATGATAGCACCACAGTGCTCAGCCTGGACAACAGGGTAAGACCCTGTCTCAAAAAAAAAAAAAAAAAAGAAAGAAAGAAAAAGATCATCCAATATAAAATAGGCAGAAGACTTGAATAGGTTCTTCACAAAGAGGATTTCTAAATGGCCAATAAGTATATGAAAGATGTTCAAACTTCCATTAGTCACTAAGGAAAAGCAAATTAAAACCATAATGAGATATCACTCACATCTACTGGAATGACTAAAATTTAAGAAACATCTGACCAGCCGGGCACAATGGCTCATGCCTGTAATGTTTTTTTTTTTTTTTTTTTTTTTTGAGACGGAGCCTTGCTCTTATCGCTCAGGCTGGAGTGTGCAGTGGCGCAATCTCAGCTCACCACAACCTCCGCCTCCCAGGTCCCAGAGATTCTCCTGCCTCAGCCTCCTGAGTAGCTGGGATTACAGGCACCTGCCACCACGCCCAGCTAATTTTTAGACTTTTAGTAGAGACGGGGTTTCACTATGTTGGCCAGACTGGTCTCAAACTCCTGACCTCAGGTGATCTGCCCGCCTTCGCCTCACAAAGTGCTGGGATTACAGGCATGAGCCACTCTGCCCGGCCTTGTTTATAATGGCAGAAGATTGAGGGAAAATGCCCATCAATACTACACAAGTCAAGCAACTGTACAATGTCCATGCTTTGAAAGCTCTTTATGAAATCATGAGGAGTGACCTCATTAAAAAAAGCAGCTGGGTGCGGTGGCTCATGCTTGTAATCCTAGCACTTTGGGAGGCTGAGGTGGGCAGATCACTTGAAGCCAGGAGTTGGAGAACAGCCTGGGCAACAAAGCAAGACGCCATCTCTTAAAAAAAAAAGTTGTTAAAAAAAAAATAACTTGGTGGGGTGGCACATGCCTATAATCCCAGCTACTAGGGAGGCTGAGGCAGGAGGATTGCTTGATTGCCCAGGAGTTCAAGGTTGCAGTGAGCTATAAT
Organism: Homo sapiens; assembly: GCF_000001405.40. NCBI lineage: Eukaryota > Metazoa > Chordata > Mammalia > Primates > Hominidae > Homo > Homo sapiens. The sequence goes on along the minus strand of NC_000023.11, from coordinate 48,525,430 downwards.
CATGCCACTGCACTCTAGCCTGGGTGACAGAGCGAGACCCCGTCTCAAAAAAGAAAATGGCTTCTTTGGTTTTCTTGTAAGGAAAGAAAGAAAAAGAGAAAAGATTAGAAGTATATATAGCATATTACCATTTGTGTAAAAAGGGAAAAGTGCAAATAATGATAATAATAGTGAACAGTTACATGGCAACCACTGTTTGCCAAACACTGTTCTAAGTATCTTACATATAGTTGGTTATTACTATTATCCTCCTTTTACAATTGAGCAAATTGAGACTTACGTGTGTAAATAAACTGAAAAGAAACATAAACAACTATCAACAGTGCCTAACAGCGTTTGGGGAAACTTAGTGGATAGAAAGCAGATTTTCACTGCAAATCTCTTTAAATGGTTTTTTGACCCACGTGAATATACATGCAACAAAAAAGTTAAATAAGGCTGGGCACGGTGGTGCGCACCTGTCATCCCAGAATTTTGGGAGGCTGAGGTGGAAGGATTGCTTGAGCCCAGGAGTTAAAGAACAGCCTGAGCAACATAGCAAGACCTTGTCTCTACAAAAAAGTGAAAATATTAGCCAGGCATAAAGGTGTGCACCTATAGTATAGTCCCAGCTACTGGGGAGGCTGAGGCAAGACGATCGCTTGAACCCAGGAGTTGGAGGTTGCAGTGAGCAATCATCATACCACTGCACTCCAGCCTGGGCAACAGAGCAAGACCTTGTCTCAAAAATAAGTTATCTACCAGTTTTAGAGAAGGGCAAAAAACAAAAAGAATAATAATAACAATACATAATAATTTTTTTTTTGAGACAAAGTCTCACTCTGTTGCCCAGGCTGGAGTGCAATGGCATGGTCTTGGCTCACTGCAACCTCCGCCTCCCAGGTTCAAGCAATTCTCCTGCCTCAGCCTCCCTAGTAGCTGGGATTACAGGCGTGTGCCACCACACCCGGCTAATTTTTGTATTTTTAGTAGAGATGGGGTTTCATCATCTTGGCCTGGCTGGTCTTCAACTCCCGACCTCGTGATCTGCCTGCCTCGGCCTCCCAAAGTGCTGGGATTACAGGCTTGAGCCACCGCGCCTGGCTAATTTTTGTATTTTTAGTAGAGATGGGGTTTTGCCATGTTGACCAGGCTGGTCTCAAATTCCTGACCTCAAGTGATCCACCTGCCTCGGCCTCCCAAAGTGCTGGGATTACAAGCGTGAGCCACTGTGCCCGGCCTATAATAAATTTTTTAAAAGATTAAATAAAAATTTAAAATAAATCAATGGAAGAAGAATAGGTGGATAGGTAAACATGCAAGCCGATCCCTGCCCAGCAAATCCCATCCCACAGCATATGAAAGAAATCAGGACTCACAGAGTTGAGATAAGAAGGCTTGGTCTCCAAGCAGGTCTTCGTAGTAGAGAACGAACCAGCCCTCGATCACCAGGTGAATGAACCCACACACTGCAAACCAGCACAGGGACAGTCGCCGCCAAGTCCCCAATGGGACAACCGCAGCACGACCTGACAACAGCCATGTGGTCACGACTAAGACCCCTGTGACAGAGAAGAGGCCAGCCAGTATATGCCAGGTGGGGCGGTCATTAGGTACAAAGTTGTCCAGTCTTAGGTGCTGAGGCCAGTATGGGTGCAAGGGGCCCGCGTTGGTAGTCATGTCTTTGTGGGCTGATGGCTGCGTGTGTATAGGCAGGAAGTTAAAAAAAAAAAAAAAAAAGGAACAGAAAAACCTGGACAAATAGAAAGTACAGAATGAGATAATAAAATCAAATTCAAATAGTTTATTATCATGAGAAATGTAAATGGACCGAATTTACCAGTTAACAGACAGGATTGTAACACTTCTAATTACATTCCGTTTTTTTTTTTTTTTTTCAGACGGAGTCTTGCTCTGTCACCCAGGCTGGAGTGGAGTGGTGCGACCTCGGCTCACTGCAACCTCTGCCTTCCGGGTTCAAACGATTCTCCTGCCTCAGCCTCCCGAGTAGCTGGGACTACAGGTGCCTGCCACCACGCCCAGCTAATTTTTTGTATTTTTAGTAGAGACGGGGTTTCACCGTGTTAGCCAGGATGGTCTTGATCTCCTGACCTCACGATCCGCCCGCCTCAGCCTCCCAAAGTGCTGGGATTACAGGCGTGAGCCACTGCGCCCGGCCTACATTCTGTTTTAAGACCATGACTAAAGGCCAGGCACCGTGGCAGGTAATTCCAGTGCTTTGGGAGGCTGATGCAGGAGCAGCACCTGAGGCCAGGAATTCAAGTCCGGCCTGGGCAACACAGCGAAACTGTCTCTAAAAAAATAAGAAAATCAGTCAGGTGTGGTGACAAAGGCCTGTAGTCCCAGCTAGTAGGTAGGCTGAGGCAGGAGGATCGCTTTGAGCCCAGGACTTCAAGGCTGAAGTGAGCAGTGACCACATCACTGCCCTCCAGTCTGAGACTCTGCCTCTAAAAAAGAAGGCCGGGCGCGGTGGCTCACGCCTGTAATCCCAGCACTTTGGGAGGCCAAGACGAGTGGACCACTTGAGCTCAGGAGTTCAAGACCAGCCCGGCCAACATGGCAAAACCCCGTCTCTACTAAAAATACAAAAATTAGCCAGGTGTGGTGGCGTGCGCCTGTAGTTACAGCTACTCAGGAGGCTGAGGCAGGAGAATCGCTTGAACCTGGGAGGCAGAGGCTGCAGTGAGCCGGGGTCATGCCACTGCACTCCAGCCTGGGCAACAGAGCGAGACTCTGTCTCAAAATAAAATAAAAAAGAAAAGAAAAAGAACATGACTGAAACACAAGGCCACAGAAAGGCTGAAAGCTTGTTCCAGCCCTTTAGAAGCCATATTATGATGTGGTAGAAACAGTCCCGGTCTCAGCCCTCGGGGGTCAAAGTCTGGTGGGAGGCACATGGGAACAACACCTGATCCCAGCCCTCCCTGGTCACAGTCTGGCGAGGGAGATACAGGACCAGGCCTGGTGTCTTCCTTCAAGGGTCACAAACTGCTCACGACCACCAAACCCAGTCCTGTGCTCCGGGGTCACGGTTTGGTAAGAGACACAGGAACCAGGCGTGGTCCAGTTGCACAGGTCAGCGTCTTAAACCGTTCAACAAAAAGCTATTCCCTCCCCCACGTAGTCCTGAAAACTGCAACTGGGGGACAGAGGAAAGAAAACGAATCAGAACTACAACCCTCGGTGCCAGCGTTTGGAAAGCCAGAGCCTCCCCGCGAGAGCGTGCAACGCCGTCAACCTGCAGGGAAGAGACGGATATTGAAAGGCCGGTGTCTGGCGTGCAGCGCTAGAACGGAACACAAAGCCGGTCAATCCGAACCAGAACCCTCCAGTCCCGCTGCCCAATGAGAAGACGGATCTTCTGTCCTCTGGACAACCGTGCGGTAGCTGGGGGTCTCGCGCAGGCGCAAAAGGGCGGTGGGGGGGGCGGGTGGCAAAGGGTCTCGCGCTGGCACGCCGAGGGCTGGCCGCGTAGCCGGGGAGAGCTGGGGGAGGGAGCAGGGGCCGGGTGGAGGGCACTCACCAAGGCGCGCGACGGCAGCGGCCTCCCACGCTGGCTCCGGGCTCTCTTTAGGCTGGGTCTCGCGCTCTGTCACATCCCTAGTTCGGGCTCATCCCCTAGTGGGTTCTCTTGCCTTACGGAGCGAGCCAATGGTGAAGCGAAGAAGGCGGCCCGTGCCGCTCCCAACCAATAGACACTCTCTTTGTACCTCTAGCCCCGCCCCCGCGCGTGGCGCCATTTTCACCTGAGTTAGGTTTGGGGTGGAGACTGGGACGCGCCAAGGTTAGTGGGCGTTTTGGATCCGTAGCCAATCTGCATCGAGTCCTGGCTTCAATTTCCCCATTCCCTTATCAGTCGATCAAAACGGGGACTCATTAAGGTCTGTACCCGCTTCTTCCGCTGGTGAAATTAGCGTTGCGTTGCATCCTTTCACCTCCGCCCTTTTCTAGGTAGAGTAACCCTTAGTATAATGCAACGAAACTGTTACAAGCAGATCACACGCTATACACTGCAACCACCCCCTCCCCAGCTCTTCAGTGCTCAGAACTCCTCAGTCCTAATAGCAGCGGTCATTCTCTCTTCTCCCGACCTCAAGTCAGAAGAACTAGTTAGAACCCAGGCCTCTCAGTCCTACTGACCAATTGGCATGAAGACCCTCAATCTCCATATGCCAGTTCTAAAAAGCCAATCAAACGCCTAACCACCAGTGGGCCCCCAGATGGAGCAATCAATCAGAATCCAGACCCATCCCAGACCTCCCATCCAATTAGAACCCACAACCCTCAGTCCTAAGGATAAATAGGCACCAACCCTTCATCTCTCTTGCTTTCTCTCCTCTGTGTCCCACTCAGAGCAACCAATCAGAATGGGGATCCTTCAGTTTTCCAGCCAATCAGGCCTCCCCCACATCCAACTATGCAATCTGTCCCTGCCCTGATCAAACCAAGCAGGACCAGGATCCTGCCATCTTCAGGCTCATCATCTAATCAATCATAAACTAACCATGAACCAATCACAGTCTGCTCTCTCTTCATGGTTTCCAGCTTCCAAACCTTTATCCATGCTGTGCTCCCTTCCTCACTCATTCCTATTCCCCTCTGAGCAGTGAAGAAGAAGCCTATTGAATATTTCCTACTTTTATTTGACAATAACAAATTGTATATAAAAAGGAAGAAGGAAGGCGGGGAGGCCCTGGATCTCCCCTTCTCTGTTTCCCCAAGCATCCCCCTCTAGGCCCCAGCAGGCACCACCCCCTTCCTGCCTTGTGGTGGGGTGGGGATTGACAGGCATGAAAATGGTGTGATTTTGTGTGTGTGTGTGTGTGTGTGTGTTGAGGTGTTGGGGGTCAAGGATGGAGGGGGTCAAGGAGTAGAGAGAGGGCCTTCCCTCATCCCCCATCAGTGGCACCCTGAGAGGGGTCTTAAGAGGGTTATGAGGGTCCACAGATGTGCCTCAGCCTATGAGACGGTAGAAGATCCAGCATCCAAAAGTGACCCAGTGACTGGCCCAGCTGAGCTCTGACCACTTGTGGACAGTGTATGCCATGCCGTAGCCCTGTGGGAGAGAAAGAGGTGATGGTCCCACTTAGCAAGGACAAAGAAGTTCTTAGGAAAACCCATCCTTTGCCCAAGGACATTTCTGTGACTGCTCTAGGCGAGGCCCCGCAGAAGGGCCTAGGTACATATGAAAGGTGACCAGATATAGTTTTTGTCTTCTTCTTTAAAAATCATTTTAAAAACAAAGTGATCCCATTCTCTGACCTGTTATCTCCCTAATATATAAAGAGCTCCTAAAAATTAATTTTTTGGAAAGAAAAATTGCCAGAGAAGGTGAATAGGTCATTCCAGTAAAGGAAAAACAAATGGCTCTTAAACATATGAAAAGATGCTCAGCCTCATTAATAATCTTCCTCATTTTATTTATTTTCTTTTTGAGACAGGCTCTCATTCTGTCACCCAGGCTTGAGTGCAGTGGCACGATCTGAGCTCACTGCAACCTCTACCTCCCAGGTTCAAGAGATTCTCCTGCCTCAGCCTCCTGAGTAGCTGGGATTACAGATGCTGCACCACCATGCCCAGCTAATTTTTGTACTTTTAGTAGAGATGGGGTTTCACCATGTTGGTCAGGCTGGTCTCGAACTCCTGACCTCAAGTGATCTGCCTGCCTGGGCGTCCCAAAGTGCTGGGATTACAGGCATGAGCCACCCCGCCCGGCCATCTTCCTCTTTATTGAAGTGGCAAACATATCCAGGAAGTCTGAGAGGCACTCTGTACTGGTGGGGCAGCAGGCACATTCAGGCATTGCTGGTGGGAGAGCACAAAAGTACTACTCCATTGAGACTATCAACAGATCCTACAGATCTGTCCACACCTGTGTGGATCCACTTGGGTACAGAGTTCCTGCTGCAACATCACTTGCAATAGGAAAGGACTAGAAATTACCTGATGTCCACAAATAAGAGAAAAAATAAACTGTGTCACTTCCTCATAGTGGAAAAAATGAATGAGGACACTATATCCTGATGTGGAAGATTTTCAAAAATTGCAGAACAGTATCATTCATGTGTTATCTTTAGGGTAAAAACTGGCAAGGGGGTAGAATTAAAATATATTTTTATATTTGTTTGATATGCTTAAATTTTGGAAAGATATTTTAATAAAAGGATAAAAGTGGGCTCAGTGCGGTGGCTCACGCCTGCAATCTCAGCACTTTGGGAGGCTGAGGTGAGTGGATTACCTGAGGTCAGGAGTTTGAGACCAGCCTGGCTAACATGGTGAAACCCCGTCTCACCATGTAACCTGTAAGAGGGTAGGGGGCAGAGGGTGGGAGCAAATCTTTTCTCTAAATATCTTGAATACTGTTTGGTTTTTGAAGCACATGATAGGCATTCACTATTTTAAAATATTTTAATGAAAACAAAACAAAAACTTTATTTAAAAAGAAGCAAAAAGCCAGGTGTGGTGGCATGCATCTCTAGTCCCAGCTACTTGGGAGGCTGAGGTGGGTGGACTGCTCGAGCCTGGGAGTTTGAGGCTGCAGTGAGCTATGATTGTGCCACTGCACTTTAGCCTGGGTAACAGAGTGAGACCGTGTCTCAAAAAAAAAAAAGAAAAGCAAATCCCAGATTTTGCACACTTAACCTGAATTAAAAACTTTTTAATATCAAAAAACACAAAGTTTTGTTTTTGACTGAAACCTAACTAAAAGAGAAGCAAAAACCTGGATTCTGCAAGAGCCATATGAATAAATGTTATTTTTAAATTGTTCTTAATTTAAAAAGGAGTAAAATCTGGTATTTGCATACTCAACATGAACAAAAATAGTGCATACATTTTAACGAAAAATTTTAAAGTGCAGAATCCAGGGTTTGTACACTCAACCTAAGTAAAATAAAATATATATTTTTTTGGCCGGGCGTGGTGGCTCACGCCTGTAATCCCAACACTTTGGGAGGCTGAGGCGGGTGGATCACCTGAGGCCTGGAGTTCAAGACCAGCCTGGCCAACATGACGAAATCCCATCTCTACTAAAAGTACAAAAATTAGCCCAGCATGGTGGTGCGTGCCTGTAATCCCAGCTACTCAGGAGGCTGAGGCAGGAGAATTGCTTGAACCCAGGAGGCGGAGGTTGCAGTGAGCTGAGATCGCACCATTGCACTCCAGCCTGGGCAACAAGAGCAAGACTCCGTCTAAAAATATATATATATATTTAAATTAAATAAAACAGGGTGCTCATGCCTGTTATCCTAGCACTTTAGGAGGTTGAGGCAAGGGGATTGCTTGAGCCTAGGAGTTCAAGACCAGCCTGGGCAACATAGGGAGACCCTGTCTCTACAAAAAAAATTAAAAAAACATTAGCCGGGCTTAGTGTCATGCACCTGTAGTCCCAGCTACTCAGGAGGTTGAGGCAGAAGGATGGCTTGAGCCCAGGAATGTGAGGCTGCAGTGGGCCGTGATCACACCACTGCACTTTAGCCTGGGTGACAGACCTTGTCTCAAAAAAAAAAAAAAAATTAAGAAGTCTTGCAAATTCTACCTAAACAATAATGAAGTGAAATAATTAACACAAGTAAAACCTGGATTTTCCACTCCATCTCTATAAAGTGATTTTTTTTTTTGAGAGAGTCTCGCTCTGTTGCCCAGGCTGGAGTGCAGTGGCATGGGCTCACTGTGACCTCCACCTCCTGGGTTCAAGTGATTCTCCTGCCTTAGCCTCCCGAGTAGCTGGAATTACAGGTGCATGCTATCACGCCTGGCTAATTTTTTATATTTTTGGTAGAGACGGGGTTTCGCCAGGTTGGCCAGGCTGGTCTTGAACTCCTGACCTCAAGTGATCTGCCCACCTTGGCCTCCCAAAGTGCTGGGATTGTAGGCGTGAGCCAGCATGCCCAGCCTAAAAGTTATTTTATAAGTAAAATAAATAAACATATTTTGCACACTTCACCCAAATAAAAGACCTAACAGTGTGACTCAAGCAGAGGGACTATGGGAAAGGACCGAGGAGCACTGGCTGCCCAGGCGAAGCAGCACAGTCTGAGGAGCTCAGGCCTCAGCTTCCCAGCCTTTGTCCTCATGGTTTCCCCCCGCCAGATAGCGCCACCCTTGGTTAACCACACAGCCCAGGGCCCCACCTCACCTGCTCCTCTGTGGTGTCATCCACATCGACATCAAACAGGGAGCCCAGGTAGGCCAGGTGGAAGATGGCCAGAGCTCCAAAGAGCAAGTTTAAGGCTCGCACCCCCAGGCCCTGTGGGGGACAGATGGATATACTTGGCAACTGGACCTACTCACTGTGTCCCACCTCCTCCTGCACGGGGGAGCCCAGGGGACACACAGGGCACAGTGGGTTCCAGGACTGAGGATGCCCAGGGTACCCCCTGAGATAGGGAAGAGATGGTTCAGGGAGCCTCCTATGCAGAGGCATCCAAGATGAGGGTACTGTTCACAGTGAGGGCATCCTGGGTTGGGGGAGGTGCGAGTCTCCAGGCAGAGGAGGAAGAGTGGCAGGGCTTTGAGTCAGGGCTTTATAGTAATGAACGGGAGTTGGGTGGGAGACAAGTATGAAGTTGTCTGTACTTCTTATTGCAAACAGAATGAAAAACACACAACAAAACCAAATCCCCACCATGATCTAGAGGGCCCATGCCTCCCACCCATCTCCCCTCCTCACCCTACCTCTGCTCAAGCCACCCTGGCTGCCTTGCTATTCCTCAAAGATTCCAGGCCCTCTCCTACCTCAGGGCCTTTCCACTGGGTGTCTCTCTGCCTGGAACGTTTCCCTCTCTCACCTCCTTCGGTTAAAGGCCTCAAACATCACCTCACCAGGGAGGCTTCTCTGACCTCCCTATTTCAAATGGAAATCACCCCCATACTTCCCGTCCCCTTTGCCCTACACATTTTCTCCTTAGCACTACTTGCAATCTGACACACTATTATTAGACTTTACTGACTCATTTTTTATCTACTGTCTGCCCGGTTAAAATGTTTGTCCCATAGGGCTGGGACTTCAGTCTGTTTCATTCACCGTGTCTCCAGCACCTAGAGCACCAACAGGCACTCAACGGATGTTCACTGGGGGAAACGAATGCCAGGTGTGTATACAGCAGATGCTCGATAAATGCCTGTTAGGGAAACGGATGCCAGCGAATAGAGGAGAGGTTATGGGGATGGCTCAGGCACCAAAAGAAGAAGGTGGGCACCCTGAGACACATACAAGATAGAGATAGAAGGAACATTTTTGACAGGGAGTGTTGGGCACAAGGTTGCCCAGGCTGAACCCTCACCAAGCGATGCTGGTGCGAACAGTCTGGCGGGCACCGCTTTGACAAGACACAGGCACTGAGGATCCGAGCCAGGCGCTTCCGGAGGACTAGGGTGGTGGGGAGAGGTAAGGGGGTCAGGTTAGCCTCAGGGGAGGCTGTCTCCAGCCCCCCCACCAACCTTCTATCCAACGGCTGGGCTGGGCCCTGCACTCACCATGCTCCACGTAAGTGATAAAAGCCAGGGACAGCAGGACCGCAGCCAGGTGGAAACTGAAGCCCTGGGGGAATGCAGATGACAATGAAATGAGTGAGGAAGAGGCCCTGCCACCCGCCCCCACCCAGCTTCCACCCTGATCCTGCTCCACCCTGCTCACATGTAGGAGGGCGCTGGCTGCATAGGTGACCAGCACAGCCGAGAAGGTCCCCAGGCGGAGAGCATTCTTGAAAACATCTGGAGGGGAAGAGATGTGGGATAAAATTCTCCTGAAAGTCCCCCAGCCCCTCCTGGAGGGCCATCAGCAGGATGAGAATACCCACAACCTGTTGGAGCCCCCAGGATAAAGTCCTTAGATGGCCTCAAACTTCACATGCCCAAAGCCCAGCTCCCGATCTTCCCAGCCTGCTCCTCCCAGTCTCATCAAGTTCAGTCAATGTCAACTCCACGTTTCCAGTTCCTCAGGGCAAAAACCTGGGAATTACCCTTGATTTGCCCTCCCCAAACTCCCACATCCAAATTCAGCAAATTGTGTGAGTTCCACCTTCAGAATATGCCAGAATCTGAGCTCTCCTCTCCACATCCACTGCCACCACCACCATCACTGGCCTGGATGATGGCAGCGGCCTCCTCACTGCTGCATCCTCGATCCCTCTTCTCAGTCTGTCCTCACAGCAGCCAGAGGGATCCTGCTGCAACCCGAGTCAGCCCAGGGCCCTCCTCTGCTCAGAGCCCTGCCGTGGCTCTCATCTCTCTCAGAGAAAAAGCCAAAGTCCTCTCCATGGCCCATGAGGCCCTCCGGGCCTTCCCTGACCTCACCGCCTGCCACTGGACCCTGGCTCACTCTGCTCCTGCCCTGCTGGCCTTCTTGCTGTTCCCCACACACCAGGCAAGTTCCCGCCTCAGGACCTTTGCACCTGCTGTCCCCGCATCTGTTACAATCCTCCCCCATATATCTGCGCTCCCTGCTCCCTCACCTGTTTTGCATCTTTGCTCCAATGTCACCTCCTCAGGGAGACTTGCCCTGGCTAATTTTTTTACAATTGCAATACCCTACCCTCCCCACTCCTATCTCCTGCCAGCACTCCTGGATCACCTTTACCTGCTTTTTTAAAAATTTTTTTTTTTAACCATAGCACTTATCAACACCTGAGCTATTATGTATTTTTTTTCTCGTATTTATCATCTGCCCCCCCAGGAGAACTGCAGCTCGACAAGGGTAGGGATTTTGGGTGCCTAGCACACAGAAGGTGCTCAGTAAATGTTGTATGAATGTATGAAAGGGCCTGGATTACCAACACAGCTGGAGTGGTGACTTGGTGACTCACAGTTATTTAGCCAATAAGACATGGGCAGGTTCCAGCTTGTGACAACTTCCACCATTGACCGAGGCAGCTCCACATTCAGTGGCTTGGACACCGTCAGGTCCCTGGGGGCAGAAGAGATATGCAAATCCATTTGGGATCTCAACTCATCTGACCGCCACACTTCTGTCTTGGCCGTTCCCTCCCCTGGGAGCACCCGCCCTCCTCCCTGCAGCTCCTCTAGGCAGCACCCTGTGGGAGAGGGGGTCCCCAAGCCCCCCCACCATTCCAGGTGATCCTTCTCCTCGGTAAAGCCAGCCCCCGCCAACGTGGCCGTGGCCTCGGAAAGAAAGCCCACAAAATAGTTGCTGAAGTGGAAGGAGACAGCACTCTCGTAGGCTCGCAGCCACCTGGGGAGAAAGGGGCAGGGGTGAGAGGCATCACGTTCAGGTCCCAACATGATACCCCACCACATGTCAGCATCCTGGGCCCCGCTCTGTAGACTCACCTTACCATGGTGCCCCTAGGGCCCCCAGGGGTCAGGAAGGCAGCAGAGAAGAAAGAAAAGAGAGTCAGAGAGGCCCTGGAGGCTGGTCTGAATTGTTCAGACAAGACAGATGAAATGTAGCCACAAAAAAGGTGAACTATGATAGTCACACACAGACATCCACCCTCAGGCAGTTAGTCTTATGTGGCTCAAATGGATGCATGAGCTATCCTATAATATGGCATGGCCCTGCAGGCTCACGTGGCCAGACGGCCAAAGCCAGCCACCATCAGAGGCCCGACTTCACAGACCTGCACCCTCTAACAGCCAGACACAAATCTTATCAGACTCCCAGCCTTGCAATGCTCTAACCTGACTCAGCGACTACAGGACAGCCAAAAATCCCTGAGCTGGGCACAGAGACCATCAAACACCCTGCTGTGCACACACACACCCCCCCTACTAGTTGTAATCAGACATGGTCAAAAACAGGCAGCATCCTGCGTTGGAAAAAGCATAGGTTCTGAAGTTAGGCCTGGGATTCATGCCTGGCTGCTTAGCTGGGTGACACTGGTCAAGTCACTTGACCTTTTGGAGACTCATTCGGCATTAGACCTAATCAGCAGCCAGGGAGTAGGGGAGGGGCCATACAACCAAAGAGCCAGATCAAACCCTATAGTCAAACTAGAGGCAGTCAGTCCTGCAGACAGGCACAGACCAGAGTCGGGTACAACCCCTCAGCTAGACAACACCAAGCCATCAGGGAAGGCAGACACACAGGCAGAGGTAGTCCATGAACTCCACAGACAGGCATATGACATGCCACAGTCAGACCCATTCCTGGCCAAAGCTACAAAAAGTCAGAATCTTGAACACAGATTTATCTTATCCAATGACAGCCACATACCCTATCACTGATGATGGCACAGCCAGACAGCCACACAGGCTTACATTCGGGGGTCAGTGGCCAATAGACAAACATACATCATACATATCCCTAGACAGAGTCACTGACAGGTTAAAGTCACCCAACCAACACATACTTGTCACTCTCCATGACAGTTAATATGACTTGCTTCTAACAGCGAGACAGCTGAACAGATGGACAGCCAGAGACAGTATGTGTTGGAGTGTCAGTCAAACAGAGTCACAGAGCCAAGCTTCGTCAGCCAGCCAGCCAACCACAGTCTCTGTCTAGTCATGGAGTTGACGGTCAGACACACTTGGACACACAGAACCCATTGGTCATGGGCTCTGCCCCCACTCATGTCAGCCCCACTCCACGTGCCCTCACACCTGCCCTCATTTACCTGGCTTTGCGTTTCTTGCTGTAGTAACAGAAGACAGAAAGAAGCATTAAGAGACAGGCTCAGAACTGGGGAAACCGCGGGTCCCTACCCAACCCCCTCATTGCTGGGCAGGGGCCTCGAAGGCTGTGCTCACTTGCGAAGGAGGCGGTCACCGTTGAGGGGGATGAAGTACGGGAAGAGGTAGGGGCCCACGCAAGTGGACAGCACAAGGCACAGCAGGGCCAGTGCCAGGCTCCGGGCCACCTTCTGCAGCCACCGGCAGCTCTGTAGGGATCAAGCACTCCATGAGTGCTGCCCCAGGGTGGCTCCCACAGTCCCTGCCCACCCATCCACTCAGGACCTCACCAGTGGGCGGCCTTGGACAGCTTGTAGGTAGCTGTGGAAGGATATCCAGGGCCCGAAGACGATGGTGCCCACGAAGTAGAGGTAGCCCATGAACTCCACTGGCGAGGGCACCGTACCCACCTCGCCCCGGTCCAGGTCGAAGCCCAGAGACACTGCCTTCATGGCCACAATCATCTGTGCCCCTATGTGTGGTGCCCATGGTCAAGTGGATGGGCAGAGAGCAGATCAGCATGGCAAGGAGGAGGTGCACCAGGTGAGATGTGGTAGGAAAAGCGGGCACAAGGATGGATAGGTGGGCATGGGACAGATAGGCAGGTGGGCAAGGAAGCCCAGGACAGATAGATGCCCTTACTCCAGAGAGTCAGGCACATACATGACACGAGACAGACAGACTTCGGGAAAATGCACGGTGGAAAGAGACACGGACCCAAGAGTAATGTGAGGTCTGCACGTCCAGTGGGGTGGGCAGGTGAGGGAGAAAAGCAGGAGAGGAAAGGCACAGGGTGGGGGCAGTTAGGAGACGAGGAGTGGGGCAGGGGGGTTGGGCAGGTGAGAGGGGCAGGGCTACCTACCTCGCATCTTGTGCCATGTCACGGTGTCTACCATGTGCATCTCACTGAGGAAAAAGGTGCTGGTCTTGGTCCCATGACACTCATGGCCTCTGAGACCATGGGGGACAGGGGAAGGGGGTCCAAGGTGCCCAGAGGGTTCTACCTCCTCCTGTCCTACAACAGTCTCATGGTGGAAAAATTCTCCCAGGCTCCCTCCTCCAGGGGGAGCCCATGCCCAACCTGTCCCTTACAGTCCTGTGAAAGGACAAATCTCCCAGATTCCCTTCTCCAGGGACACTCCACGTCCTACCTGTTCTGTGTCTCCTCATAGGCAAATGATTCTCCCAGACTCCCTTCTTTCTCCGGGGAATCTCACCACCCTCCCTGTCTTGGACAACTTCATATGGGGCCTGGGGACCCACCCATGCACTTCAGCCAACAGTGTGAGGATAAGGATGCATACTCATACCCCATGAGTAGGTAGATGAGGATGGTGACGGATAGGAAGACGCCTCGATGGGAGGAATGTCGGCAGAGGAACAGCACGAGGTAGCACAGGAGGCTGAGCAGCACGACCCAAACCATGTGCAGCTGGAAGAAGTGGTAGAGGCTGAAGAACCCGCCTGCCACGGTGCTTGCATGCTTCAGGTAGGATGGCAACCCTTTGGGTGAAAGGGAGAAAGAAAGGGAGAGAGAGAACGAGAAAGAGAGAGAAAGAGAGGGAGTGGGAGGAAGGGAGGGAGGGAGGGAGAGAGAGAGGGAGAACAAGAAAGAGAAGGTTGGTGGGCTAGTAGGAAGGGGAGGATGACCTGGGTAGAGGGCGTAGCCAGGGCAAAGGCCTTCAGGCTGGAATGTAGTGGGATTGGAGGGGCCCAAAGCAGGTGTTGGGGAGCTGGAGAGGGTGGCAGGGCCTGGGTTTAAAGAAAAGAAACATCTATAAAGGGCATTTGGGGGACCTTGGAAGAAATTCAAATATCAATTTATATAGGATAACATTATTGTATCCAGATTCAATGTCTTGTGGGGTGATGGTGGAGGATGTGGTTGTGGGAGATGATGTCCTTGTTCTCAGGGGCCACACACTGAAGGATGTGGGGTACAGTGTCATGATGTCAGCAGGTTATTCAGGCAATTCAGGAAGATGATAGATAGATAGATGGATAGATAGATAGATAGATAGATGGATAGATATACAGATAGATAGATAGATAGACAGATAGAGCCAGCTAACGTGGCAAGATGTTGACAGAGAATCTGGTGATGCATACGTGGGTGCTCACTGTACTATTTTTTCAACATTTCAGTAGCTTTGAAAAATTTCAAAATAATAAACCTGGGAAAAAATAGAACATCCATTTAAAATTAAAAAAGAAAGAAAGAAAAAAGAAAGTGTAGAACCTTCGGATCTCAGATTTCCAGAAATCTCCGCCTCCTATAGGAATCTTGGGGACTTGGAATCTTTCATTAAGATACAGGCCTGCTATGACTGTGGAAACATTTCAGAATCCTAGAATCCAGAAATCGCATCATGCCCTGATTATAGAAATCCACAATGCCAACATTTTAGAAGTCTAGAATGTGAGAATTTCAAATTGTCAGAATCTCCAAACGCTGTAATCATGGTACTTTGGGATTCCATAACCCTGTGACATCAGCATGCCAATGTCTTATAACCTTGGGATGTAGACATTTCAGAATCCCAAGATCCAAGAATCTCAGCTTTCTGGAATCCCAGAACTCAGGAATACTGAAGGGCATGGCTTGGCATGGCAGGATGTGGCTCGGTGTGGCATGGCATGGGGTGGCTGGCATAGTAGGATGTGGTATGGTGGAATGGGGTTTGGCCTGGTGGGATGTGGTGGGGCTGAACATGTTGGGGTCCAGCTTGGACATGCTAGGGCCTGGCAGGATGTGACAGGGTAAGGTGTGGCTCGATATGGATGAATGTGGGAGGTCTGATATGGCCTGGCATGGTGGCACACGGTATGGCAGGCACTTACCGAGCCTCCAGAGGAGGCGGCAGGCGAGGCAGATGGCAAGGAGCAGCCAGATCTGGTCAAGGCCCTGCTGGGCAGTAGGCAGGAGACAGCCTTGCAGTAGCTGCTGGAAAAATTCCTGGCGGCTAAAGGTGGCCATTGCAGACCCCCACGGATGGATGGCCAGATGGATAGATCTGTCAAAGCAGGGACACAGAGGGAGCGGGTGTCCGTGGGGCAGACCTCGCTTAAAGGATGCACTCTGGCACTCACATTTCAGTTTGGGGCTGCCCAGCCCATGTAGAGGCACGGTACTGGAGGACTGGGGGAAGGCGTGAGAAGTCAGGTACATCAGACTGAGCCACCAACTGTGTGCATGTGGGTGTTCGGCATGCACACGCACAGCCTGTGACCTGGAGTGAATGAAGGACCTCTGTCTCTCCAGTGCTGTGAACAGTCCAGTCCGATGGTGATGGGATGGCATACATTTCAGGCCCATATATCAAATGGGGCGGGCGACGGGAAGGGGAATCCCTGGTTTCCAAGGTAGAGTCGCTCTGAGTGGAGGGCAGAGAGGGGGATTCTGTGACACTTGGGGGCCGTGTGCATCTCTCCTTGTATGGATGCGGCGGCACGGGGAGGGGGGGTGTCCTGTATCCTCCGCGCCCCCCATCTCATCCCCACCCGGCGAGAGGCCGCCAACAAAGTCCTGCCCAGGTCCGGGGGCTGCAAGGAGGTGGTGGTAGGAGACATAGCCTGAGGGAGAGTCGGAAAGGTGATGGGGAGGGGGTCCTAGCACTCGCGCTACAGATCCGCCTGGGGAGGCCGGCCCAGGGATGGGAGCTGGGGAGCCGCGTGCGCACTACTGGCGACCTACCTGGCAGGAAAGAAGCCGTGGTCCTGGGGACCGAGGACGCGCTGCCGCCGCCGCTGCCTCCTCCGGGCAGCCTCCCCCGCAGGCCGCAAGGCCGGGACCAGCAGCGGCTCCCAGAGCGGCGCGGCGAGCGGGCCCTTTAAATCCCGGGGCGGCCCGGCCGCCGGCTCGGCCAATGGGAGAGCAGGAGGGGGGCGGGGACGGGGACGCGGAGGAGGGGAGCAGGAGGATTGAGGGGAGACCGGCGCGGGGGGACGTCGGCGCGCAGGACGTTCACGCCCGCACCTTTCCGGCCTGTGGCGGTTTCAGCCCCAGACCGTCTGCCTCCGGAGGATTTCTGGCCATCCAAGAACAAACTTCCGAATCTCCAAATTTCCAAGCCTTGGAAGTGAGAAGGGAAAGATGGGGGAGGGAGGAGGGAAGCCGCTGCACCCCCAAATAGTCACCCGCGCACGTCCTCTAAATACCGTGGTGTCCCCGTTTCACAGATGGGAAAACAAACCGAGATCTCTCCTTCCCCAACCTTTGAGAGAACCGAAGTAACTCCCAACCCTCCCACCTCCTGGGACCGGCCAGGAACATTTATAAGTAATGACTGTGTCACCTAGGAACACAAATTAGGCGCCTGTGCTTCCCCTGGGGACGAGCTGTGAGCACTTGGCGTGTCGTCGTTGAGAAGTGATTTGCATGCTTAATTCCCCAGCAGACTCTTTGCTTCGAAGGTGACCCCAGCGACTAGTAAATGTTCTCTGTGAACTAGAGGGAGGCTAGTACCGAGCACTTAAAAGGGGGGCATTTATAAAGCTCTTAAGGGCCAGGCTCGGTGGCTCACGCCTATAAACCCAGCACTTCGGGAGGCCAAGGGTAGGAGGATAGCTTGAGGTCAGGAGTTCGAGACCAGCCTGGCCAACATGGCGAAACCCCGTCTCTACTAAAAATACAAAAATTAGCCAGGCGTGGTGGCGCACGCTTGTAATCCCAGCTACTCGGGAGGTTAAAGCAGGAGAATCAGGAGGCAGAGGTTGCAGTGAGCCAAGATCGCGTCATTGTGGGCTACAAGAGCGAAACTCCGTCTCAAAATAAATAAATAAAGACTGGGCGTGGTGGCTCACACCTGTAACCCAGCACTTTGGAAGGCCGAGGCGGATGGATCACCTGAGGTCATGAGTTTGAGACCAGGCTGGCCAATATGGCGAAACCCTGTCTCTACTAAAAATACAAAAAATTTAGCTGGGCGCCTGTAATCCCAGCTACTCCGGAGGCTGAGGCAGGAGAATCACTTGAGCCCAGGAGACGGAGGTTGCAGTGAGCCGAGATCACGCCATTGCACTCCAGCCTGGGTGACAAGAGCAAAACTCCTTCTCCAAAATAAATAAATAAATAAACAAGAGCGAAACTCCTTCTCTAAATAAATAAATAAATAAAATAAAAAAGAAAGCGCTTACACTGGCCCCATCCGCACCTCTATCTGCACCAACACTAAAGATTTATGTAGCACCCGCCTTCTACCTACCCTACTGCTGCAGTTTCTAGGCATTCCCCTTTGTACCTAGGCTGATGAAGGGCCTATTTTTCCAAAAGAGCACTTACTGGGCGCTTACTGCACTACATGCTTAGCTGTGACGTGGAAGGGAGAAGGAAGCCCAGGTCAAACTGGACGCCACCCTGACCTGGGCAGCCAACTGAAACAGATTTTAATCAGATTAACAATGGCCTGTATGGAGCTGGGCAAGTCATGTTCACTCACCCGTCTCCATTGTCCTTTTCTGTTAAACAAAAGAGTGGGCTTGGCAGGTTTTTGCTGGGAAACACCAATGGTAATTGAAGAGAAATGTATATTTTCTCTCTATTTTAACATGAAGTTAAATGGAGTTCTAGCTCATAAATTAGTATTCATGTATTACAAACAAAAAACATTTAATACGGTAAGAATATGTATATATAAGGAATAATAGCTTAGACCAGATGCACAAATATCAATTCTTTTCCTTAACAGCAGAATACAGGACATACATTTTATGAATTAAATTTCATTTTAATTTTTTTCTCAGTTGTCAAACCCACTCAAGTTGAGTCAACAATGACCCACAGCACCTACCAGAAATACTTCCCTCAATTGCAAGACTTGGCATTTAAAACTGGAAGATTCTTACCACATGTGCTCCTGGGCTTTGCGGACTTGATTGTTTCCATCTAGGCTTTTGACCTGTGTCACAAAGAAGTAGGATCTAGGTTTTAGGATATATAACGAACATCTACAAATCCGAAGAGGACAAACAATACACTTGGCAATAGACATTGGGTACAAATAGGTAATTCACAGCAGAAGAAACCTAAAATGGTCAATATGTATAATATATGAAAAGATAACCCAATCTCTTTACTGCTCAGGGAAATGTAAAATTAAAACAACAGTGAGATATAATACCATTTTACATCTACCAGATGTTGTGCTTCATATTTTTATCACTGGAGCTTAGTAGAGGGTGGACACTCAATAAATGTCTGTGGTCATTCTAGGTTGTGGTTTCTGGGGTGTTTTAGATGAGCTCTCCATAATTAAAGAGATACAAATTAAAAACAATGATATACTATTTTTCACTTATGGGACTGACAAAAATGCCAAGCCTTATAATGATAACATATTTGCTCTCTCTCTGTCTCTGTCCGTTTCTTTCTCCCCATGTATATACATATGTAATTTACATATATATAATTTTTCTGAATGATATACAGTGATTTTTCTGAATTATTTGTTAGTGGTTGCGGATATGACACCCTTTTAACTAAATACTTCAGTATGAATATCCTAAGAGCAAGGACTTTTTTTTCTTTTTTTACATTGCTACCAGCATAGTATGAGGTTTCCATTGCTCCACATCCTCACAAATACTTGTTATCTGACTTTTTGGTTCTAGCCACCCTGGTGGGCATGTCAATAGTGTCCTTGTATAGGAAAAGGGAATCATAGGGTCACAAGATACATTCTGTTATCAGGTTTTTTTAGTCTCCTCCAATGTGGAACAATGTCTCCATCTTCACTTAACTTTCATGATCTTGATGTTTTGGGAGAGCACAGACCAGTTCTTTGGAAGAATGTCCTTCAATTTGGGTTTATCTGATGTCTCCTCATGATTAGATTTGAATTCTGCATTTTTGGCAGGAATTCCACAGAAGTGACGCTGTGTTCTCAGCGTTATCAGGAGGCAGGAGGGTTCAGTTAGTCTCGAAATTGTTAGTATTAGCATTGATCTTTTGCTTAAAGTGGTCTTCTAGTTTTCACCAGTATAAATTTACTATTTTTCCCTTTGTAATTTTTTTTCTTTTTTTTTGGAGACAGGGTCTTGCCCTATTACGCAAGCTTGAGGGCATTGACACAATCATGGTTCACTGCATCTTTGAACTCCTGGGCTCATGTAATCTTCAAGGACTACAGGTGTGAGTCACCATGCCCGGCTAATTTTTAAATTTTTTGTAGAAACAGTCTCACTATGTTGCCCAGGCTGGTCTCGGATTCCTGGGCTTAAGCAATCCTCCTGCATTGGCCTCCCAAAGTGCTGGGATTACAGGCATGATCCCCTTTTGTAATTAATAAGTAGCTTTTCGGGAGATACTTTGAGACTGTAACTCTGCAATTTTTTTTAAATCAAACTTTTACTCACTACTTTAGCATTCATTGGTGATTCTTGCCTGAAGCAATAACTACTCTGATGGTGGCCAAATAATGATTTTTCTTTTACACATATACCTGGGATTTTACTGTGAGGAAGAGCTTTGTCTCTCTCTCTCTCTCTCTCTGGGACTCATAAGATTCTTATTTTATTTTATTTTTTATATTTATTTATTTATTTATTGAAACGGAGTCTCGTTCTGTCACCTAGGCTGGAGCGCAGTGGTGTGATCTCCACTCACTGCAACCTCCACCTCCTGGGTTCAATGGATTCTCCTGCCTCAGCCTCCCGAGTAGCTGGGATTACAGGCACCCGCCACCACACCTGGCTAATTTTTGTATTTTTAGTAGAGACGGGTTTTGCCACGTTGGCCAGGCTGGTCTCGAACTCCTGACCTTAGGTGATCCACCCGCCTCAGCCTCCCAAAGTGCTGGGATTACAGGCATGAGCCACCGTGCCTGGCCAGATTCTTATTTTGTTGATTGACTGATTGATTGTTAGGGTCTCACTGTGTTGCCCAGGCTGGAGGGCAGTGGCTCAATCATAACTCACTGCAGCCTACAACTCCTGGGCTCAAGTGATCCTCCTGCCTCGGCCTCCTGAGTAGCTGGGACTTTTAAAAATTCTTTTCTGGGCCAGGCGCGGTGGCTCACGCCTGTAATCCCAGCACTTTGGGAGGCTGAGATGGGTGGATCACCTGAGGTCAGGAGTTTGAGACCAGCCTGGCCAACATGGTGAAACCCCATCTCTACTAAAAATACAAAAAAATTAGCCAGGTGTGGTGGTGGGCGCCTTGTAATCCCAGCTACTCAGGAGGCGGAGGCAGGAGAATCGCATGAATCTGGGAAGCAAAGGTTGCAGTGAGCTGAGATCACCACTGCACTCCAGCCTGGGTGACAGAGCTAGACTGCAATACTCCGTCTCAAAAAAAAAAAAAAATTCTTTTCTAGAGATGGAGTCTTGCCATGTTGCCCAGCCTGTTCCTGAACTCCTGGCCTCAAGCCATCCTGCCACATCACAAAGTGCTGGGATTACAAGTGTGAGCCACCATGCCTGGCCCCACGCTAGATCTCGAAGAAAAATTATGAGAACTCAAGGTCAAGAAAGGAAGGGAGGGGGGTTCTAGGTAGCTCGCCTGACCTGGGCAAATGCAGAGGGAAATTGAGAGATGGGAATGAGGTGCTACTGGTGACAGGGTCTGTGAGGGTGCACACTCTGGGACGCAGCAGCTGGACAGGGAAGATGAGGCTCCTTTAAGCTGAGACCACAGTGTGTGAGCGTCCTTGAGGGTAGCCCCGGTGTGGGGGTTCCTTTATCCCTCAACCTGGGATCTCACTGCCCCATTCTACAGAGAGAAAGGCAGGACAGGGAGAGAATGAAGCCATCCTTCAGAAATGCGCATGTGCGTATCTTGCCGGTTAGTTCTGTGGCCTGTGCAGGGAGAACACTGTTGTGGCCAAGGGGAGCTTGGGGACGGGTTCTATGTCTGCTGGACATACCTCACCTTGGGACCAGCAGCCACAGTTTCCAGTTCCTACCCAGCTGTTGGCTCACAATGGGACTTTGAAGAAGTCAATCTCTCTAGACCTCGGTTTCTCCATCTGTTTAATGGTATTACTGATGCTCTAGACTCAAGGCCACTTAATTAGGAGTCTGTGGACTAGGGGCATGCAGAGATGGGGTTCCAAAGAGTCCTTGAGCTTACAGCCAACTCTGTAAGTGCTGTCAAAGTCCTCTAGCCAAAACCCCCCAGGAACACATGTGTGGTTGAACAAGTTGGGTTTATTGCTCATTGCAACAAGGGAGGGTGTACACTGTGGGGAACCGTGGGGTGTCTCAGTAAAAGGGAGTTAGAACTTATAATAGGATTGGGGCTTGTGTTCAGTGATTTGGGGGATGGTTTAAGGAAGCAGGGCTTTGCTCTGGATAGGGAGTGGGGCTAATTCTATGATTGGATATCACAATAAATTTTATCTAGAAGGAGGGCAGACTAACTAGAGTGGAGGCTAAAGTTGTCATTGGCCAAAAAAAAAAAAAAAAGTGCATTGTATAGCCAAGTCGGGGAATACTTGGTCATTTTTGTGGTTTGGACAATGTATTCATGTGTCTGTGCTAAGACAAGATGACATACTGATCTTGTTTTTGTCTCGATCCATCACAGTCAGAGTGGCCTTGTCTGATACTGATGTTTTGTGAAATTGTCCGTGTTCAACAGGAGGGCACTAAGGTCTAGCCGTGGGTATCAAGCCAGCTCTGGGATGTCAGGGGCTGCTTGTCTCTTTCTCAGCATGTTCCTAGGGAGCGAGCTCTCAGCTTTCATCAGATTTTCTGGGAAATCTGGAATCTCACAGAGAACCAAATGCTTAGTCTCTAAAACCACTTGTAGCCAGACAGGTGCCGCCCATTTTACAGAGGCTACAACTGAGGCTCAGATGGGATAAGCAGCTCCTATGGCGATGTGAGGTCGTGTGTGTGTGTGTGTGTGTGTGTGTGTGTGTGTGTGTGTGTGTGGCGTAGGCACCAGCAG
This sequence comes from Homo sapiens, assembly GCF_000001405.40. Classification (NCBI taxonomy): domain Eukaryota; kingdom Metazoa; phylum Chordata; class Mammalia; order Primates; family Hominidae; genus Homo; species Homo sapiens. The sequence goes on along the minus strand of NC_000023.11, from coordinate 48,502,908 downwards.
AGCCTGTGACAATGGTGAAATTAAATCACTCTGTAAAAAACAGTCTTTGTGAAATTAAATGCCTCAGTCTTAAAACCAACGCAGACTATTAGATGTCAGTAAGAAAGACTGTTTGGTTTCTTTTGCAAAGATCAGCTTTTCTTATTTGTGCTTTTTAAAAAGTCGTTTTTATAACCCCGATGAAGGGGAATTTGACATCTAACAAAAATGCATATTTTTCTTTTGCACCAGCGCTCCCACTTCCAGCAATTTACCCTGAAGATACTCCCCCAGACACTGTGAAAATACAAATGCACAAGGTTATTCATTGTGGCACGGTTTATAATTGCAAAATATTGAAAACAATATCACTTCCTATACATAGGCAGTGATTGAATAAACTGTGGTGCAGTCACACAATGGAGTTCTGTGCAACTGTAAAATGATTGAGGAAGACATCTATGAACTGATGAGGAACGATTTCCAGGACATACTGTTTTTTGTTTGTTTGTTTTTTGAAACAGAGTCTTGCTCTGTTGCCCAGGCTGGGTGCACTGGCATGATCTCAGCTCACTGCAACCTCGGCTGCCCGGGTTCAAGTGATTCTCCTGGCTCAGCCTCCCAAATAGCTGGGGCTATAGGTGCACACCTCCACACCGGGCTAATTTTTGTATTTTTGGTAGAGATGGGGTTTCTCCATGTTGGCCAGGCTCTTCTTGAACTCCTGACCTCAGGTGATCCTCCTGCCTCGGCCTCCTGAGTAGCTGGGATTACAGGCGCCTGCCACCACGTCCAGCTAATTTTTGTGTTTTTAGTAGAGACGGGGTTTCACCATGTTGGCCAGGCTGGTCTTGAACTCCTGACTTCAGGTGATCCACCCAGCTCGGCCTCCCAAAGTGCTGGGATTACAGGCATGAGCCACTGCACCCGGCCAGGACATGCTGTTAAGTGGAAAAAGCAAAGTGCAAAAAAGTAAATATAGGATGCAAGCATTCATGTAAGAAACAAGATGATATAAGAAAACATACATGTATTTGTTTATCTTTACAAAAAGAAACATTGGAAGGATAAAGCAGAAACTATTGAGATTGGTTTCCTAGAGGGAATGGGTGAGAGGGATAGAACGGAGAAGTGACAGTGACACCTCTCTGAGTAGACTTTTTGGCCTAGTTCTGACTTTTGAAACCATCTTGTTTCAAATACCTCAAAAATAAATAAAATCAACAAGGATAGGGGAAATTACTGTCAGTGGGGATGTAAAATGGTGCAACAGCTGTGGAAAACAGTATGGAGTTCCGGCCAGGCCAGGTGGCTCATGCCTGTAATCCCAGCGCTTTGGGAGGCCAAGGTGGGGGGATTGCTTGAGGCCAGCAGTTTGAGACCAGCTTGGGCCACACAGTGAGACGACATTTCTACAAAAAATTTTTTTAAAAATTGGCTGGGCACAGTGGCTCATGCCTGTAATCCCAGCACTTTGGGAGGCCAAGGCGGGCAGATCACTTGAGATCAGGAATTCAAGATGGCCAAGATGGTGAAACCCCATCTCTACCAAAAATTAAAAAAAATTAGCCAGGTGTGGTGGCACGTGCCTGTAATCCCAGCTACTCGGGAGGCTGAGGCATGAGAATCACTTGCACCTGGGAGGCGGAAGTTGCAGTGAGCTGAGATTGCACCACTGCACTCCAGCCTGGACAACAGAGTGAGACTATCTCAGAAAAAAAGAAAAAATTAACCAGGCATGGTGGCATGCACCTGTAGTCCCAGCTACTCAGGAGGCTCTAGCGGGAGGATTCCTTGAGCCTAGGAGTTCCAAGCTGCAGTGAGCTGTGATTGTGCCACTGCACTCCAACATGAGTGACAGAGAAAGACCCTGTCTCTAAAATAAAGCAAAAAAAGATCCAGTTTGATATCACTTCCCAGGTCGGGGAGACCCTTCCTACCTCTTGCTTCTGGGATTCCCACACCCTGGGCAGACCCTATCTTCATAAACCTTATCACACAAAAGTGTCTGTCTCCCCACTAGGCAGTGCTGCATCTCTGCTGTCTGTGGCCTCCAGTGCCTGCACTAGGCTCAGCATCTAGACGATGTCTGGCAAGCGTTGACTACAGGACTCCATCAACCAATGAATAGCAGGGGTGACGAAGGGCTGGGTGCTGGCCTCTCCCTGCCTGGAGAGTGCTTGAAATGGGGCCGCCATAGGACTTTTGGGTTTTGGGGAGGTCCTCCTCACCCTGCAGCCCTGTTGTCCTTGGTTCTCTCTCTCTCTCTCTCTTTCTTTTTTTGAGACGGAGTTTCACTCTTGTTGCCCAGGATGGAGTGTAATGGCACGATCTCGGCTTACTGCAACCTCTGCCTTCCAGGTTCAAGCGATTCTCCTGCCTCAGCCTCCCAAGTAGCTGGGATTACAGGCATGTGCCACCACGCCCAGCTAATTTTGTATTTTTAGTAGAGATGGGGTTTCTCCATGTTGGTCAGGCTGGTTTCGAACTCCTGACCTCAGGTGATTCACCTGCCTCAGCCTCCCAAAGTGCTGGGATTACAGGCATGAGCCACCGCACCCGGCCGCCCTTGGTTTTCTACCCCACCCTACCTGCAAACTGCTGCCCTTCTTCCTTCTAGAGCCAGCTGAGGTCTCTCCACAGCTCCTGGCACCCTAGGGCCTCCTGGCATATCATCTGCTGACCCAGTTTCCTCTGGCACCCTGAGATCTGACTGCACTACTCTCACACCAAGCTATCAAGGCTGAGGACTTTTCCTGACCAAGTCTGACACCTGGAAGGCTGGCAGCCCTGGGCAGAGGGATTGGTTCACTACTGAGCCCCATCCCCTGCACGGGGTGTCATTCTTAGGACACATCCTCAATTGTCCTCCTGGCTCTTACTCCTTGTGAAGGACAACATCATTCGACAGAGCTAACAGCACCCAGTGCTCCTGGCAGAGGTCTTGGGATGGTTTCTTAGCATAAAGATTCAGCTACACTCAGGAAAATTCAGAAGCTGCTGCTCTTGAGGAAATTCTTTTTTTTTTTTTGAAGACAGAGTCTTGCTCTGTCACCCAGGCTGGAGTGCAGTGGCACACAATCTTGGCTGACTGCAACCTTTGCCTCCCAGGTTCAAGCAATTCTCTTGCCTCAGCCTCCCAAGCAGCTGGGATTAAAGGCACCCGCCACCACGCAAGATGAATTTTTGTATTTTTGTAGAGACGGGGTTTCACCATGTTGACCAAGCTGGTCTTGAACTCCTGACCTCAAGTAATCCACCTGCCTTGGCCTCCCAAAATGTTGGGATTACAGGTATGAGCCACCGCACCCGGCCCCCTTGAGGAAATTCTTAGAGTCCCAACTGGAAGTGGCTTTGACCTTCTGGCCCTCTTCCCTCAGCAACGTGGCCATGCATCCTGCAAGCCCTCCAAGCCCTGCAGAGCCAGGTAAATTGGGGTGCACATGCCTGATTCCCCTGACCACATTGTTTCCCTGGTATGTGTCCCCAAAGCGTGTGGTGTGGACCAGAGTTTATGCTTGGATCTGTACACCCACCAGACATCTCAGCATCCCACTGTCCATCTGTCCATCCATCTCAGGGACAGTTTCTGTAAATGGCGTTCTTCCTGAAGTCTTTTTCTTTCTTTGAATTGCAGGCTGGGGGTTGGCACATGTGTCTCTTTGGGGCCTGGAGCAAAAGCGGGCTGGCTACCCCAGGCCAGCTTCCCCAGGCCTCTGGCCACACTCTGGGTGCTGGCTCTTTTGCTCAAAAGCCATCCCTGGCACCCCAGGACTAGGAATTAAAGCCCCTGCTCAGCTTCCAAATGCCAACTTCTTTTATTTTATTATTATTTTTGAGACAGTCTCACTTTGTCGCCTAGGCTGGAGTACAGCAGCGTGATCTTGGTGCTCACTGCAACCTCCGCCTCCCGGGTTCAAGCGATTCTCCTGCCTCAGCCTTTGGAGTAGCTAGGATTACAGGTGCCCACCACCATACCCGGCTAATTTTTGTATTTTTAGTAGAGATGGGGTTGCACCATGTTGGCCAGGCTGGTCTCGAACTCCTGGCCTCAGGTGATCTGCCCGCCCCAGCCTCCCAAAGTGCTGGGATTACAGGCATGAGCCACTGCACCCAGCCCAAGTGCCAACTTCTGCCTCAGCCCTTCATCCACCCTGCGCTTTAACCACACTCATTCTCTCTTACACCTCCCAGGGTTTATCTACGCTGTTCCCACTTCTAGGAATGTCCTTCCTCCTCCTCTCTCCTGGCAACACCAAGAGATCTGTCAGCACTCGGCTAAAATGTCAGGGTCATAATCAAATGCTCCCTGGGGTAACCACAGCATTGATCACAGAATCATGCAGCGAGATTTGCCTGTGGATGTCTCTCCAGTTAGACTGGGAGGGCTGAAAGAGCAGGAGGGGATATGACTCATCTCTGTGCTCCCAATGCATGGCACAAAGCTGGAGCCACAGCAGTGACCAGTTATGTGGGTGTGCGGATGGGTGGCTAGATAAACAGATGAATGAATAGTGGGTAAGTGGGTGAATCATGGGTGGATGAATGGGCGCAAGGCTAAGTGAGTGGTTGAGTAGATGAACTGTGGGTATCTACAAGAAAGAGCGGGTTGATAACAATTCTAATGTTCTAACCTGCTCCATCTGCTTCCCAATCCTCTTCTCTGACCCTCTCACACAGAACTCATCCTTAATGGTTGGATGAACTGACTTCTCTCTGCCAAGAAATCAGTGTTAGGAACAGACACTCGATGAATATACACCTACACAACAGCTTTGCAGCAGAGCTGAACTGACAGGCTGATAGCTAGACAGACAGGTCCCTCAGAGGAGGGGAGCAGAAGAGCCGGGAGCTCAGATGCGCCTGGGAGGGCCATCTGCTCTGAATGGAGACAGAACATGGGAAGGAGGTTGCTCTCTCCTCCCGGGGCTGCCTTTGAGCTGCCTGGTCCATTGAGTACTTGGCACACTCCCTGACATCTCCCCATCCTTTTGCCACACGGCCCTAAATCTCACTAGAAGATTAAGTCACATCCAGTGAGGCTTTGCCTTCTTCAGAATCTGGTAGTCATTGACATTTTAGTATAAATTGCCTTTTAATCTGTCATGGGAGGCAGAATTTCCGAGTTTAGGAGTGATGGGGTAACTTTACAGCATAAAGCTGAGCACCTGAAAGTGGTAGGCAGAGAGGGACTAAGGCTGCCAGTGGTTTTACTTAAGGATTCAGCGGTGGCCTACTGTATTGGGCAGGCATTCCTTTTACCAACTCAGCACCTCTTTCCTCTTCTATGAAAGACCACCTTCTTTCTTTCTTTCTTTTCTTTTCTTTTTTTTTTGAGACAGGGTCTCATTCTGTCACCCAGGCTGGAGTGCAGTGGAGTGAGAGGTGCAGCCTCTCACTCCAGGGCTCAAGAGATCAGCCTCCCAAGTAGCTGGGACTACAGGCATGCACCACCACACCAAGCTAATTTTTGTATTTTTTGTAGAGACGGGGTTTCACTATGTTGTCTAGGCTGGTTTTGAACTCCTGGCCTCAAGTCAGCCTCCCAGTGTTCTCGGATTACACATGTGAACCATCATGTCTGACCTCCATTTTCTTTTTTTTCTTTTTTTTTTCTTTTTGAGATGCAGTCTCGCTCTGTCACCCAGGCTGGAGTGCAGTGGCATGATCTTGGCTCACCGCAACCTCTGCCTCCCGGGTTCAAGCAATTCTTCTGCCTCAGTCTCCCATGTAGCTGGGATTACAGGCGCGTGCCACCACGCCTGGCTAATTTTGTATTTTTAGTAGAGATGGGGTTTCACCATGTTGGCCAGGCTGGTCTTAAACTCCTGACCTTGTGATCCGCCCGCCTCAGACTCCCAGAGTGCTGGGATTACAGGTGTGAACCAACACACCCGGCTGGACCTCCATTTTCTTTTAGCAACCCCCTTCCTCCTCACCTCACTCCAGTGCATGTTGTTCTTGTGGGGCTAACTCCCCCACCTCCCTGCTCCCACCTATATCTTCAGGAGTGGACTCATGACTAGACCAGCCAATCAGAGCAATCTGTCATTGTGACCACAGGGTCAGGAATGGGTGTGACTCAAGCCAGGCCACATGATCTAAAGCTGGAACTGAAGGGAAAGAGGCTTTGCTGTCCTCTGGGACTCCTTGCTGTTTAGGGATAGGCGAGGCAGCCACCACCTGGGAGAGCCTGCCGAGGGCCAAGCTCTCAAAGATAAATCAGACCTCCTGGACAGAGAGAGAGAGTCCTCAGACACGCTGTGCATGGCCAAAGCTCACTCTGTCCCAGGTCTCTTCCATTACCTGAGTAATTATTCCCTTTTACCTTAAGCTGGTTTGACTGGAGTGTCTGCCACTTACAACTCACAGAACCCTGAAGAATACATCCACCTTCCTGCCCTCTCAGCCCACATGGGGTTATCGTCCCATTTTGCAGATTGGACCTCTGAGGTCAGAGCATGCCAGCCACAGAGGAGAGTCTGGACTGGAAGGGACCCCAGAGGCCACTGAGTCCATCCCCCCAACCCAACCCCCACAAGTTCCCCAGGTAGGCCTCAGGAGTGGTCTGGCTGCAAACCTCCCCTTCACTGGCCACAAAACTTGGGCAACTTGACTCTCAACTTGCTGGGCAGCTTCCTATGCTGTGGCGGGGACTGGGTTTTGCCTTTGTGTGGCGGGGACTGGGTTTTCCCTTTGTGTCTGGTGTACTTTGTCTCTAATGGCAGGGCCTGGGCTGGGAAAGGGTCAGCCTCCAGCCGTTACACCCTTGGAGAACATTTGTTCTTCCCCAAAAGGCGGCTGCAAAGGTCCTCAGCAACTCACAGCTCCGAAGTGCCCATTGTACAGATGGGGAAACCGAGACCCTAAGAGGTGATTTCTCCTAGGGCACCCCACCATTTCCTGTCAAGAACTCACCACTCCTTGTGCTCCTCCTCATTTGTGCCTTGGGCTTCAGGATCTCCTGGATGGCAACATGGGGGTTCCAGAGAGCAGGTCAGGCCTGTTTTCCCTGGCCAGGAGTCTGAGTTTCCTGATCCATCACCCGGGGAACACTTGTTGGGTGTTTCATCCAAGGATGGAGCAGCTGGGTCCTGCTAGGCCAGCATCTCGAGGGGGCCCCAAGCATCCCTTCAAAAATGTCCACCACTGGAAGTTCTGCAAGTCAAACAGACCTAATGACTAACAGCTGATAAATATTGAGCGTTTACTCTGTGCCGGGCAATTTGAAGAGCTTCGTGTCCATAATCTCATTTAATCTTCTCCACATCATATAAGGCAGGAACCGGAACTAACTACATTTTATAGATAAGGAAGCTGGGGCCCAGCAGTTGAAATAGTATACCTAGAATAAAGCTTTCCTATGGTCATCACCAGCATAGCAGTTCAGGATGGCAATGGGGGCATTTCAGCACTTCCCCTGGCCAGGACCACCTGGGGTGGGGTGGACGGCTGGTTGTGTCGTGGGTCTGAATCAAGGCACAGCACAGAGGGTGGGACCTGACAGATGACCCCCTCATCTCAGAAGGTCACTCCATATCCCCATGGTGGAGGTGTGTCACAGCCCTCCATTCCATTCCACACCTGGGCACAGCATATCCCCCTCCTTCCAGGAGCAGGGCAGCACCCAGAGTAGCTTGAGTTCAGCTCTGCCTTCCAGTCCCAGTCCATGAGGGTCACTTCAAGCAAGTCCCTTCTCCCCCAGCTTGGTGATCTCATCTGTACTGTGAGCTGGTAGATGCAATTAAAAAATTATTTCCAAAATGGTAACATCACGACTCCTACAAATATAAAGTGAACATGTGTCAAGGATTTTTAGATCATTTATTTATTTATTTTTGAGACAGAGTCTCACTCTGTCGCCCAGGCTGGAGTGCAGTGGTGCAATCACAGCTTACTGCAGACCTTGACCTCCCTGGCATCAGATGATCCTCCCACCTCAGCCTCCTGAGTAGCTGGGACTACACACGCTCACCACCACTCCCAGCTAATTTTTGTACTTTTTGTAGAGACAGGGTTTTGCCTTGTGGCCCAGGCTGCTCTTGAACTCCTGGGCTGAAGTGATCCACCCGCCTCGGCCTCCCAAAGTGTTGAGATTACAAGCATGAGCCACCATGCCTGGCCCAGATCATTTATGAATGAGGGAACTGGTAATATGTTACACTAGGCTCAGAGGAGAATCTGAAGAACAAGCATATATAAACTCCCAGAGATACTGCAATGGATTTGCCAATAGATGCAATATAATATCTGGAATAATCTTTTTCTACAGGATAGAGATCAGCTGTATCTCTACAGGACAAAATTCATTTATTATGGATGGGAATTATCAGTCCTGCACAGGTTAACTTCTCTCTACAGAGGTGCAAAATGGCCCAGCCAAAGACAAAAGTGCAGCCCGCTATAGAATCAGATACGCCATAAGGGGCTTGGGTAGACCACATCCAGTGTTCCATTGAAAGGACACCTGGGGAATAGTTTTGTCCATTTAAAAGTTTTTTACAATTTTTCCTGATAAGCATAGGGCTGCGCTAGACAATGGCTGAGTATTTTTTTCCAGCTCAGAGACATCCCGGGTGAAGGTATGCCTGGCTCTGGGGCCATGTTCACTTTCTGCGCATGTCCAGATTTCCTTTGCCTTTAAAAACCTGGACACTGAGGGGCGCCACTAGCTCACATAATGCCTGCGTGAACTTTAGAAAAGGATGCCCCTTCCTCCTGATGGACGCGGCCCCAGGCCAGGCCCCAGTGATGCTAGAGGAGCCCAGGGTGCATTCCTGCTCCCAGTGTCCTCTGTGGCCAGGCAACTTTTGTTAGAGCACAGCCTGCACAACTGTGCCCAGTGGCCTGTGGCTGCCTGGCGTTCTGCAGTCAGTATTGTTGACCTTCTGGAGGATCTAAAAGAAAGCCATTGGCTCAGAGCCAGGCGTGGTAGCTCGCACCAGTAGCTGAGGACGGAGGATCAGTTGTGAGATCAAGGCTGCAGTGAGCTATGATTGTGCCACTGCATTCCAGCCTGGGTGACAGAGTGAAACCCCTCCACCCCAGTCTCTGGAAAAAAAAAAAAAAAAAGAAGCCATTGGCTTGGGGTTGAAGTGGGGGCACAAGAAGGTCTTGACTCCGCACCTGGGAGCTTTTTGGGGTGAAGCTGATCAGGACTGGGGTGCCATGACTGGAAGGGGAGATTTGTGTCCATGTACCCCTAGGGGCCCATGCATGGGAATGCTCATGTTTTCAGCTGTGCCAATGGGCTTGGATCTTGGTGTCTGTGCAAGTATACCCTTGGGGGACCACTCTACATCTGGGCCAGCTTGGAATTCAGGAGCAGCAACATCCTTCTCCAGCTGGGGTCAGGAGGAAGGTTGTGGGTTCCTGTGCCTCCCCTGCTATGGTCGGGTGGGTTGGTGGGGGACCAGGGTTCGTGATGGACGTGCCCCCTCCTAGCCCAGGGTTTCAACCCCACCAGGCTTCCCCCATGCTGACTGGCCTGTGGCCATGGCTCCCCCAGCCCATTTCCAAGCTTTGCCTCTGGGGCAGGGTGTAAAGACTCTGAAGTGGCAGAGGAGCAGGAGGGTGGCCCAATCTTGGGGAGCAGCCAGCTGCCTGCCCACTGTCCATGGGCTCCTCTCTCAGGCTAAATGCTTCCCGGGGCCTGGGCTGCAGACAGGCAGGCCATGTGACAATGGAGAAGACCGAGGCCCAGAAAGGGGAGGCAGCTTACCCTGGGCCCCAGGGGCCCGTGGAATCCTGGACAGTTCTTTCTTTTTTTTTTTGAGACAGAGTTTCACTCTTGTTGCCCAGGCTGGAGTGTAATAGCGTGATCTCGGCTCAATGCAGTCTCCTCCTCCCGGGTTCAAGCAATTCTTCTGCCTCAGCCTCCCAAGTAGCTGGGATTACAGACATGTGCCACTGCGCCTGCCTAATTTTGTATTTTTAGTAGGGACGGGGGTCTCTCCATGTTGGTCAGGCTGGTCTTGAACTCCCAACCTCAGGTGATCCGCCTGCCTCGGCCTCCCAAAGTGCTGGGATTACAGGCGTGAGCCACTGCGCCCAGCCTGGACAGCTCTTTAAGCCTAAACTGCCTGTTACAGGGACAGAGAGAACTACCCCCGCCCCCAGCTCCAAACTCTGGTTCATCTCTGGGCTCCTCCCAGGCCTGGGTACTTGGTCTTCTACAAATGATAAAAGAGCTGGATGCAGCTTCCTGGCTGAGCAAACACTGTTTTCCCACTCCCAGACATTAGTCTTCTGAGTGTCCCTTGTCGTCTGTCCCCCTACCCCATCCCTGCAGTCCAACTCCTCTCCATTGCTGTGGGCCCTGTCACTGCCTCTTCCTACCCCTCCCCTCTAGGAAGCCTGCCCCGAGCCTCCAGGCCCAAGTGTTTTCTCCCTAACCCTAACCCTAAGCCTTGCTCCCAGGGACTTCCTGACCCTTCTGCTTCCTATCATGGTGACTCACAAGCATTGCTCATCTTCCCAGCCCTCCGGAGCCTGGCCACATTGTCTCTGGGGGCTGAAAGAAGGAAGCTCTAGCTTTCTCTCAGATAACAAGGTTTGAGACAAGTAAAATGGCCCCAAATTTCACTCCCTTAGCTCTGCTGAAACCTGGATTCATGGAGGTAGCGCATCCCTTGATTTTCTTTATGATCCCCAGCCAGGTGTAGGTAGAGGTAAATCTGCACACAGATCCCTCCATGGTGCTACATATGCATGCATGAATGCCATCTGTGGTCCCCCAAGGGTACACATACACAGACACCAAGATCCAAGGCCATTGGCACCGCTGAACACGTGAGCATACTCATGCATGGGTTCCTAGGGATACATGTACACACATGCCCAGACCCAGGTCCTTGGACACACTTGAAGCCATGCGCACACACATGCATGGACCTCCAGAGTTACACATGCACACATACACACATGCACATGCACACACACACGCGCACACACACACACACACACACACACACACGGGCACCCTGAGGTACCTGTACACAGACACCGAGGCCTGGGTCCATGGGCACACCTGATCACATCCACACACCCATGCACGTTCACACAGGTTATATGTTCACAAATACCCAGACTGAGGCCCACGGACAAATATGCACCTGCAGTACACACTCACACCTTTATGGGCATCCAGGGGGTATATGTACACAGACAGCCAGACCTGAGCCCATAGGCACACTTGCACTTTTGCACACACACATGCATGGTGCCCAGAGGTACATGTGTACAGACACCACAATCTAGGTTCCTGGGCACTTGTGCATCTGTGCACACACACACGTGGGAAATCCCTGCAGCCATGCATACAGCATGCCCACGTACATGTGCACAGACATCTACGCCCAGGCCCTTGTGTACCTGTTCACTCACACTTGCACGGGGCGGGGGGGGCGGTGCCCAGGGGTATACATGCATAGATACTAGACTTACCAGCTTGGGCCAATGTGCTCCCCTTCACTTACGCACTCACACACAGCCATGCATGTGCACGCTGGCATACACATGTATATACACAGACACAAACACTCAGGCTAGCACCCACGGACATAGGGCTTTGCACATAGAATCTCATATATAAGTACACCCTCACACATATGCACAGTTGCTTTTCACAAACACCCCTGTCAGGGAACAGGTCCCCATGTGCCTGCTACACCCTAGCATCTCCATGAGAATTCACACTTGAACTTCTGTTGCCCATATGCACTTATAACCATACCTGCATTCAAAACAGCAAAGCATGAATGCACACACATGTGCCATGTATGCATGCATGCACAAAAGGACTAATGTGCACACACATGGGCATAAGCACACCACGCACTCCTGCATAACTTCACACGTACTGGTACGCACACACCTATGTGCGGGCATGCATACCAATTATCCCGAGGCTCTTCTCCACCAACCCTGCATAACTGGTGATGGCTCCCAGCTCTGGCATCGGGCAGAACTTTCTTGTGAGGTACGGGCTGTGACTCATAATTCACTCCAGCTTTCCTCAGCTCCTGTGTCATCTAGAGAGACTCAGAACACTTGCCCCTTCCCTTGGGCTGCCACCAAGCCTGAGATGACACCACACCTATTCTCCCGAACCAAGGCATCGAGCAACCTGGCATGAACCAGGTGTGGGTGGAGTGTTAGAGGAAGCCTTGGGGCAGTTCTGAAAGCTCCCCAAGCAATTATTAGTCATTTTGTTATGTGGCAGAGGATATTCCATGGACACCGCCCCCAGAACCTGCAGGAGTGCCACGGATTTCATTCCAGGCTTGCCCTGGGCCCCTCCTGCTGCTCCAGAGCCCCCTTCAGCTAGACGAGGAGGATGTGCTGAATTTTCCTTCCTTCACTTGAGCACTGGCTCCCCTCATACCTGGCCAACACGAGTCTCTTGAAATCAGCCTTGAAACTGAGAGCCAATTAGCTGCTCAGACTGCCTTAACAAAATACCTCAGACTGGGTGGCTTAAACCACAGACGTTTATTTTCTCACAGTTCTGGAGGCTGGAAGTTCAAGATCAAGGTGCCGGTAGGGTTGGTTTCTGGTGAGGCTTCTCTTTCTGGCTCGTAGACAGCCACCTTCTTTCTCTGTCCTCATGTGGCTTTTCCTTTGTGCGCCCACAGGGAGAGAGGGAGGGAGCTCAGGCATCTCTTCCCTCTCTAATGAGGACACCGGTTCTATCAGATTAGGACCCTGCCCTTATGGCCTCATTTAATCTTAATTACCCCCATCTCCAAATACAGTCACATTGAGGATTAAAGCTTCAACAAAGGAATTTGCTGAATTCACAATTCAGTTCACAGCAGACAACAAAGGGAGCACTACCTTGAGCAGTTGAGGGAGGCCCCGGCTCCCTCCTTTTCCTCAGGTGCATTCCTGAGATGTGTTTGTGCAGGAAGGAGAGGGGTAAGGACAGGCATGAGCACAGCCTCTCTTGCAGAAATAGAAATCTTTATTGCTTGCAAAGTACTGCACTTTTTTTGTTTTGTTTTGTTTTTTGTTTTTTCTTCAAAACAGGGTCTTGCTCTGTTGTCCAGGCTGGAGGGCAGCAGCATGATCTCAGCTCACTGCCGCCTCAATCTCCCAGGCTAAAACGATCCTCCCACCTCAGCCTCCCAAAGTGCTGGGATTACAGGCATGAGCCACCATGCCTGGCCAGTACTGCACATTTTCCAAAAGTTATAACTTAAATGTAAAGAGTTATAATTTACATACGATAAAGTTCACCCTTTTGGCATACAGTTCTCTGAGTTTTGACAAACAATAACAGTTGAGTAGCCGCCACCACAGCAGCCAGAGGGATCCTGTTGCAACCCAAGTCAGCCCGGGGCCCTCCTCTGCTCGGAGCCCTGCCATGGCTCTCATCTCTCTCAGAGAAAAAGCCAAAGTCCTCTCCGTGGCCCACGAGGCCCTCCGGGCCCTCCTTGACCTCACCGCCCGCCACTGGCTCCTTGTTCACTCTGCTCCTGCCCCACTGGCCTGTTCTTCAAATGTGCCAGGCACCTCAGGGCCATTGCCTCAGGGCCCTTGCCTTTCTTTCTTTTTTTTGAGACAGAGTCTTGGCCTATCACCCAGGCTGGAGTGCAGTGGCACAACCTCAGCTCACTGCAACCTCCGCCTCCCAGGTTCAAGTGATTCTCCTGCCTCAGCCTCCCAAGTAGCTGGGATTACAGGTATGTGCCACCACGCCTGGCTAATTTTTGTATTTTTAGTAGAGACGGGGTTTCACCATGTTGCCCAGGCTGGTCTCAAACCCCTGACCTCAGGTGATCCACCCACCTTGGCCTCCCAAAGTGTTGGGATTACAGGTGTGAGCCACCACATCCGGCCCTTCGCCTTTCCCTGGATCACTCTTCCTCTAGATACACCCTCCCAGCTCACACTGACAGGGAAGAGTGCACTCCCAGGTTTACACTGACTGCTATAGGGACCTTCCCAGGGTCACACAGCCTGGGGTGTGGATCCTCTTGGAATCACACAGGTGAGGGTGTAGACACTCATGATGTTACTAGATTTTGGAGTAAGAAATCCTGAGGTCATGCTGATTGTGGTGTAGCCACTTCTGGGGTCACACAGAGTAGGGTGTGGCCACTGCTGAAGCATCACAGACCGGGATGTGTTCTCTTAGGGTCATACAGATTGGTGTGTGGGCAACACTGGAGTCACGCAGACTGGAGTGACTTGGATCACCGAGTTTGGGGTGTGGACACTTAGGGTCACACAGTCTGGAAAAAGGACATGGCTAAGGATACATAAACTGGGAAGTCAGCACCACTGTGGTCAAGTGACTGTGATGTGGACACTCCTGGATTCCCATAGGTTCGTCTGGGGACACTCCTGTGGTTACACGACTTGTGAAGTAGACTCTGCTGGGGTCACACAGACCCAGCTGTGGATATGCTTCGTCTGTGTGACTGGGGGGTGAATGTCCCCTGAGTGACAAAGATTGGCGAAGGGACACCCTTGGGCTCCCAAGACTTGGTGTAGATCCTTCTAGACTCCCACTGACTGGGGGGAGGGACACTCCTGGAGTCACACAGACTTTGTTGTGGACACTGTTGGTGTCATACCCACTGGAGTATAGACACCTCTCAGGACATGCAGATAGGTGTGGACACTCCTGTGGTCACACAATTTGGTGTGAACATTCCTCTGGTCACACTGACTGGGGAATTGACTCCTGTGTGTTTACAGACACTGGGGTGTGAAGACTCCTATGGTCACACAGACAGGGCTGTGCCCTCCCCTGGGTCACCCAGACTGGAATGTGGACCCACCAGTAGTCACTGGCACTGGAGTTTTACACTCCTGTGGTCACAATGACAGGGGAGTCGATAGTCTTCTGGTCGTACAGATGGGGGAGTGCACCTGCCTGAGGCCGTCAAGATGGGTATAGACACACTAATAGCCAGAGACTATGGGGTTTGGACAACACCAGGGTCACATATGCTGGGAACTGGACATTACTTGTGTCATAAAAACTTGGGTGGGGACACTCCTGAGGTGGCTGGACTGGGGCAAAACCACTCCCAGGACACCACAGACTGAGCTGTGGACTCCTCTGTGGTCACCGTTTGAGCTACACATTTATGGCACCACTAAGATGGCTATGGAAACTCCAAGCCATTGCCACTGCTGGACTCACAGAACCTGGCGTGAGGACACTCCTGAGGTCTCACAGGCTGTCGTGTGAACGCTGCTGAATTTGCACTGTAATGGGTGTGGCTACGCCTGTGGTCACACGGCCTTTTGTGTGGACACTTCCGCCATACATTCTTGGGCTGTGCATATTCACAGATTGGGGTGTGGGCATTCCTGTGGTCACACTGACTTCGGTGAGAAGACTCCTGGGTTAAGTCACCATGGTGTGGACACTCCTAGACTGACACAAACTGGGGTCTGGACATTCCTGGAGTCACACAGACTGGGGTGTGGTTATTTTCGTGGTCAGAGACCGGAGTGTAGACATGCCTATGAACACACGCTCCAGAATTTAAACACCATTTCTGACTGGAGATTGGACAATGGTTTTCCCAGACTTGAGTGTGCATACTCCTGGGGTCACACATGGTAACTGGGGTGAGTCACAGTCAGGTGTGGAAACAGCTGGGGTCGCAGACTGGTATGTGGATACTCCTGAGGTCACTGGACTGTGGCGTGGATAGTCCTTGGATCACAGAGTACGTGAATTTCTAAGGACACAGGATTAAGCTGTAGAAAACAGTTCTGTTCGTGTAGCTGGGGAGTTTCTGTCAGCTCCTGTTCATTAAGTTATAGAAATTTAGGACTGCAGTCCAGGTAGACTTTCTGACATTGCTTTTTTTTTTTGAGACAGAGTCTCACTCTGTCGTCCAGGCTGGAGTGCAGTGGCGCGACCTCGGCTCACTGTAACCTTCATCTCCCGGGTTCAGGTGATTCTCCTGCCTCAGTCTCCTGAGTAGCTGGGATTACAGGCATGTGCCACCGCACCCAGCTAATTTTTGTATTTTTGGTAGAGACGGGTTTCACTATGTTGGCCAGACTGGTCTCAAACTCCTGACCTCAAGTGATCCGCTTGCCTCAGCCTCCCAAAGTGCTGGGATTACAGGCGTGAGCCACCACGCCTGGCCCTGACGTTTCTTTAAGACAGGTTTTTAACCTAAAAAATTTGTTCTGAAGTCTGGGTGCGGTGGTTCACGCATGTAATCCCAGCACTTTGGGAGGCCGAGGTGGGTGGATCACCTGAGGTCAGGAGTTCGAGACCAGCCTGGACAAAATGGTGAAACCCCGTCTCTACTAAAAATACGAAAATTAGCCGGGTGTGGTGGCGGGTGCCTGTAATCCCAGTTACTCGGGAGGCTGAGGCAGGAGAATCGCTTGAACCCAGGAGGCAGAGGTTGCAGTGAGCCAAGATCACACCACTGCACTCCAGCCTGGGTGACAGAGCGAAATTCTGTCTCAAAATAAATAAATAAATTTGTTCTGCAGAACCCTTTGGCATCTGGTTAAATCTGTGAACCCCTTCACAGAATATTTTTAAAAGTATATACATACACATACACACACACACAATTACAATGGAAGCCAATTACATTGAATTACAATTATTACTATATATTAAATTGAAACAAAATTGAGATGCAGTAATATATGGGCTTTTTAATTAATACATCAACTTACAGGATCTGCTATCATTCCAAGAGGTGACAAATATGAACAATACTTCAAGATGCCCTTTTTATGTTACATTACAGTTGCTGTAACTGGTTTGTATTGGTGGGAAAATCCCAGGTACTGCTTTTACTACTGTGATTTGTTGCCAGCATTTATAACTTGGGAGTAAGGCTAAATTTCAGTTTCATTGCTGAAAATAAAGATGTAACATTTTCTTCCATCAAGTTCATGGTTACCCCTGGCTTCTATCCAGGTTAAGAATCCCTGCCTTTAGGGAAAATTCTGGACATAATCAGGACACTCCTGAAGAGGTTTAAAGAAGAGGTAAGACCTCACTCAAGAATTCCCACTGCAGTACAGACAGACTTTCATGGTTTCTTTCCTTGTTGTCTTCAGGGTTGTTGCAGATCCCTCCTCAGGGCTTGTT